>NC_000002.12:10930267-11237023 GCF_000001405.40 Homo sapiens
TCTATATTGTTGGTTTGGTGTTCAACTGTGTTCATCTTATCATTCATCTAATTGACCCTTTTTGGAACTGTGGTTCTTAATTTCCAAGACATCTTTGTTTTCCTGTTGTTGCTGTTTGGTATCAGCTTATTGTTCCTTCAAACTTGGTTCTCTTATGCAGAACTCCAGGAAGCAGGAGACAATAGTGGTTTTGTGAAGCCTGAACCTGGAAGACTAAAGTGGGTAGGGGTGAGATCTTTGTAGTGTCTGTGCGAGACAGAGTCTCGCACAGAAAGGCAGAGCTTTGGGCGCAGAAAGCCCACAGTTCAAATTCTTCCTTGGGACTGACCAACACGCAGTATGATCTTAACTCAGCTGTAGGCTCAGCTTCCCCATCTGTAAAATGGGAAAAATAATTCCTGGTGTGTAGGCTTGTGGTGAGGATGAACGGGGATGGTGTGGGCAAAGCTCCCATGGGCCCTGGATGTGTACACTGATTGTGAATGAGTCTTCATCAGTTAACCTAGCACACGGCCCCTTTCATCAGAGTGGCAAATTGCCTTTTGTTATTCTTCACCCCGTGAGCTGTCTTGTTTTTTGACTATATATATGTGTATGTATGTATTTTAGGCATTTCTGGGCAGCTTCTCATGCATATTCAAATTCAAGCAGTTAGGGTTCTGGGAATGATTCATATGTTTGTTGCACAATGTAATCGATCTTAATATAGCCGTGTCACCAAAGAATGTAATTGCACGCGGGTCTCACCTCCCCCACCATCTGTTTGGGCCAAGGGAGATCAATAATCCCCATAAACTTCTGCCCCCCAGGCCTAATAGAGACTTGGTTGGCAGGGTTGAGGGATCCCTTTTTATCCCCTGGCTTTTAGTTTTTCATCATCCTTTCTACAGATGACCTGCAGTCAAGAGGGGAAAGTTGGGGATGCTGTGCATGTCCCTAAGCTCTGGTGACAATTCCTTGTACAGGGCCCATGATTTAGACCAGGTGTGATTGGCCCAGCAAGGCCCATTCCCGCTGCACCAGACAGAGCTGAGCAGCTGCCACCTGGGGGTGGCGTGGCCCCAGAATGGGGACACAGGATTCTGCAGGGAAGTAGAGCCGGCTTCAAGCTGTCGCCTGGTTTAAGTCCTTCCTACACCTCTTCAACTGTGAGGCACATAGTAGGTGCTCAATAAATACGTGATGAATGAATGAAGGCATTTGCCCCTCGCTATGAAGAACCCATTTTAGCTTGCTTATGTCAATAACACTTCCCAGCAGCCCTGATCTCTACCAGGCACATTTTATTAACAAAACGTTTACTTCTGATTCCTCTAATTCATCTAATTTCTCCTGGGGTCCTGTGGGGGCCAGCGCTCCCTCCCATCATGACTTGGGAGGCCAAGTGCGTGTTGTGTGTAGCTCTGAGCGGAGAGCTGGTGGGGTAGAGCCTCACACAGGGTCCTCCTGGGAATGACATCTGGGGCTGGGTGGTCGCTCAGCAGCGGCTATGGGGCCGGACCAAGGCCAGGTCCACGTTTGACGCAGTGCAGTTGCGGAGGGATGCTTCCCTTGATCAGCACTCCTTGGGGCAGGCATGTTACGGGTTCCCAGGGAGGAACAAGTGGGCCAGAAACCCTATGGGGGCTGCTAGATGCCACCTGCTGCTCCTGGCAGATGAAGTGTGGAGCTCACGCAGCAGTCTGACTCGCAGTCTGAGACCTGTGGTTTCCCTGGCAGGCCCTGGGGTCCCAGGACACGCATGGACAGGCTCCAGGCATGAACAGAGGCCCAGATCACAGCAGGCATCTCCAGGTCTGTGCCTTCTGTGCATGTGGCTCTTGGTCAACCCTGGCACCTGCTCAAGGCTGGCCAGGTCATCCCTTCCAGAGGGTGACTCAAGAGTCCCTGGAAGCCTTCCCTCAAAGTAGCCCTGGCCAAGATTCCACCATTCACGGGGTCAACCGCGATCATCCCTTTCTCATCTTTGAAACGTGAACTACTCATATTTCTTGAGCATTTTATAACAGACAAAGCCTTGAACGCACACCCCTTCACAGCGCTGCTGCTCTGTAGGGCTCTACAGACCGGTGGCTGGGACCTGCAGAGACCTGGCCCTCGCTCCCCTCCTTCCAGGCTCTCAGCTTGGCAAGCACTCTGCGAAGGATGGGCCGGCCTCTGGTCTCCACAGGTGAGGAGAGTGGGGCCTCGAGGTGAAGTGGGATCCCCAAACAGGCAAGAAGGCCAGGAAGAGGAGACAGGCTGGGAAAGCTACACACCTGCCCAGGGCCCACCACCAGAAAACCCCAAAGTGGAGGACGGAGCCCCCTCTGAGAATACGGCCAGAGCCTTCTCTGGGCACCGGCTGCTGCCTGAGCTGGCTTTGTGGAGCGAGGCCTCCAGTCCCAGAGACAAATGTCTGCTGCATTACTGTTCTGCTTGAGGCCGGGCTCATACCCTGTTCCAGGAGGACGCACACACTTCCGCTCCCCCTGCAGGGTCCCCCTGTCCTGACCTGCCATTGTTTTGTGTGTGTTTCCTTTCCACGTGGAGTCTGAAGGGGAGGATGTATCTGTCTGGGTGCGCATGCTGGGATCTGGGAACCACTTGCTCTCAGAGGCTCCTCCAGATGTCCTTTCTCAATGACACTGTCACAGCAGGGGCAGAGCCCTCTGGGAAAGCCACCTGGGAGGCTTCTTGGCAGCATGCAGTTCTTGTCACAGGGCTGCCTGGGGACCCCAGGCTGGACACTGTCCGTGGGCCAGCAGGCCTTGGCGGTCAGCAGCCTGCATGGCCAAACAGCACCCCAGGCAGCCAGGGGGTCAGGGCGCTGAGGGGTGAGCTCTGGAGCAATGTGTGCCTGTGTGTGTGCCTGTGTGTGTTTGTGCCCTTGTGTGTGTGCGTGTACATGTATATGTGTGTGTGTGTGCATGGAGGGAGAGGAGAGCAACTCCTCCTTTCTCGCAGGAGACATTTCCCAGCCTGGACTGGAGGGGTCGGGACTCACGAGTCTTCCCAGGCTTTCCTCAGGGCTGCCCTCCTGTCCCACCACCCCATGAATGAAAGGGGTCCTTTCATTCCTTCAGCACCCCTTTCTGCCCCATGAGACCCATAAATAGCTCTTCCATACCCACGCCTTCTTCTGTAAATGATACAAATCCCACTCCACAAACTCAGTAGACCACACTTTTCGGTCTCGTTGTGCCAAATAAACGTCCCTCGGATTCTGAGCTACCAGGACGTCACTGGGGGTGGTCTTTGCTAGGGCTCTAGGGCTCCTTCTCCCTCCCCAGGGATGGGCAAAGGTCCTGACGGGGCCTTTTTATAAAAGTGAGGTAAAATTCACATGACAAAATGAACCGCTAGTCATTTTAAAAGTACGATCCAGTGGCATTCAGCACATTCACAGTGTTTTGCCGCCATCACCTGCATCTGGTTCCAGGACACTTTCATCATCCCCAAAGGACACCCTCTACCTGGAACACAGCCACTCCCCAGTCACCTGTGAGGCCCTGGCAACACCAGCCTGCTCTCTGTCCATCGGGATTTACCTACCCTGGGTGTTTCGCATGAACAGAATCCTGCACTATGTGGCCTTTTGTGTCTGGCTTCTTTCACTCAGCATCATGCTCTGGGCTCGTCCACATTGCCGGGTGTGCCAGCTCATTCCATTTTAGGGCTGAGTAATACTCCCTGCTACGGCGATGCCACGTTTGCTCATCCATTCACCCACTGATGGACACTGGGTGGTTTCCAGGTCCTGGGGTCTTTTCTAGCACCACATAGTCAAGGGGGCGCCTGCATTCTCGGGTCTGCATTAGCTCCCTACGAGCCACCCACCCACTGTACCATCACTTGGGTTCCAGCTCCTGCCTCTGGACAACCTGCAGCCCTGGGATCCCTCATGACCTGTGTCCAGGCTGCTGCCAGGCAACAGAGTGCGGGTCCCCAGTGTTTGCAGGAGCCATGTTATCTTGTGGGGAAAATCTCTCTTTTCTGTCCTGCTGTTCCCATCTCTTCTCAAAGACAGTCAGTCTCCTCTTTAGAGATAAAGTAGCCCACCATGCTCTGCTTGGAGAGGGCAGGAAGGGGACCAGTTCCAGTCACTTCTGCTTTCAGCCCTAGAACCCACATGGCCTCACACAGAGACAGGCTCCCCAGGCAAGCTTCCTGCCTCCCGCAAGGGAAGGGAGAGAGAAGAGCAAAGCACACATGGATTCTCAATACGTGATCCTGCCTCACCTGCCCTGTGCTGGCATCCGCGTGCCCATCTCCACTGGATCCCTGTTCCTCCTCCAAGTGTTGGAGGGGGCAAGACTGGGGTTTGCAGCCTCATCTACAGGGGAGGAGAGCATGAGGCCCTTTCCAGCTGGCCGACTGTGTCCCCCTCCCTCCACCCCGCCCTGCTTGTGCCCCTTGATTTTGGCTGCTGTACTTTCTCTTAGGTTTGGCAGACCCCTCATCCCTGGGAAAGCCCCCACCTGCCCCTCCCTCTGCCTCCCTGTCATTGTCTTCCTTCTTTGGCAGCCTCCCCGTCCTGTGGGAGGCTGAAGGTCAGCCTCCCACTGTTGCTCAAGGGCATAGACACCTGGGAACAATAACAAATAGTGTCTCTGGCCCTGGCTCCTGTTGCCTGTCAAAGATGGGTGCATCCCAGAGGGGCAGGCTCTGTCTTTCCCTCCAGGCCATGAGCCCCTGAGGGCAGGGCTGGCTGGGAGGCTGCTCTGTGGAAGGTGATGCCGGAGTAGGAGGCTACATCCGCCGCCTTCAAATCCCGGCTGCACAAATGACCAGCTGTGTGCAGCCCGCTCTGTGGGGCCATGCTGAAGTTCCGCTGAGCTGCACCTGCAGGAGTGCTGTTAGTGTTCAGCACACACTGACCCCGAGAAGGTGCTTGGTAATGTTTGTGGAGTAAATGAAGCTGAATTGGAGGCCAAGTGCTTCGAGGCTGTGGGGGAGGCGGGATCTGGAGCTGAGGGCGTCCCTGCCATCTCGGGGGCAGGCCAGCTGGCCCTTGGTGGAGTTCCTCCCTCCCTCCCCCGACGTCTGCTGCTGGGTGATGATGGCTTCGTGTGCAGATGCAAAATGTCACCGTAATTAAAGCAACAAATCCAGGGCCAAGACTTTAAGGGGTGGCCTGAGTACACGGGGCTCCTGCAGGAGTAGGGGAGCATGATTGGAAGCTCTGCCTCACCCCCTCTGTCACATTCTCCCCCAAGTCTGTCTTCCGGAACTGAGCCCAGAGACTTTAAAGAACAGCCCACTTGGCCTAGTGGCTTTCTCCTTGGGGGCACGCGCCTCCAAGGAGGACGAGAGCTGAGCTCCCCAACCTCCGGGCCACTGGGGCTCCTCACAGGATGTATGTGGTCCCCAGAAACACAAGCATCCTTGTCTGTATGACCTGTGTGGCCCTCTTCAGGCGGCGGCCCCTGGTCTACATCACTTTCTCATTCTCCTCAGCGTGCCCGGCCTCCTGCTGTTCATTCACTCCGTTCTCTCGCTTTCCTAACCGTGCTGGACTCATCCTCACTGCCCACCGCTGAAGACTCTTCTCCCACCCCGCAGGCGGGAGGCCTCCAGTGGCTGTCTCTATATCCTCGGGCCCCACACAGTCTCTCCAGGCCCCAGGCTCCCCCCACCGATTTTACAGTGTGGTTCACTGTAATAGTTTGCTGGTCCTGTATATTTTAAATCATCTCTGGATAACTGATAATATCTATACAATGTGTTATACAAATCATTGTTATACTATATTTTTATTTGTATTTTTTATTGTTGTATGTTATCATTTATTTATTTTTTTCAAATCCTTTCCACCTTCCTGTGGCTGGATCCGCACATGCAGAACGCATTGTTAGAGAAGGCCAACTGCATGTAGCAGGTCCTCAAAGAAGAATGAATAAGTGAGTGAATGAGTGAATGCACAAAGAAACAAGGGAACACTTTGGTGACTACGGGAAGGACCGCATGAGTGGGAGTGGGTGAATGACGGAGGGAGCAGACATGGGAATGAATGAGTGGGTGACTGAGCAAATGAATGAGTCAGTAGATGAGTAAGTAAAGGCCAGGCATATTTGTTGGCGACAGTGGCAGAATGAACGAAAGAAGCCCAGCATCTCAAAGGGCAGGATATGGCCCCATCCTCTGCTGCAGTTTCAGGAGTAAAGTAAACAATGACAAAGCTTGGGTCAAGTGTGACTCACGGGATGCAACTAAAACAAGCAAATATCACTGTGAGCTGCAGGGTGCATTCCCAGCTCCGGCCATCAGAAAACCATGGCAACTGAGCCCTTCTCTCCTCTTAAGGCTCCAAAGCAGAAGGCTTACCCCAAGAAATGGGGAGAATTCCACGTTCCATGTATACGGGACATTTGGGATTTTCTTTCTGAAAATGTGGGTCCCGAGATGTGGCCCCTTCCTCTCACTTTTGCCCTTTTCCGTCAGTTTCTTTCTCCTCGAACTCTCCTAAGGCCTCTGAAGCATTAGTTTACATTTGAAAAATATATGTTGGGCTGTGTGACCTTGGAGAAATCACTCCACCTCTCTGAGCCTCGGTTTTCATGTGATCAAATAGAGATGATCCATTCGCGGCATAGCATTGATGAGATAATAAGCACATTTCTTTTTGCCAGAATTTAGATTTTATTTTGTGTTGTTTGGGTACAGTTTGGTGGGGTGGGGGGACAGGGGTAAGGAGGTGGCTGGATGCTGTAAGAATTTATCAGTGCCTGTCTCAGGCTGCTCCACCAGCCTGGGAGTTCCTGGTAGGTAGATTCTCTTATTCATCTTTGCTCCTTCCTTTATTTTCTCCATTTAAAACCATTTTCTGGGTGCTTGCTGAGGGGGCCATGTGCTATGTAGTGGGGCTGCTAAGGTTAATGGGACTCAGTACCTGCCCCCCTCTGCCCAGAAAGTGGGAGAGGGAGCCACCCAGGTGAGCAGGGAACATAAAGAGCTCTGGCTGAAATGGTGGAAGTCTATTCTAGGCACCAACAGGCCAAGATGGGGCAGAGTGGTGAATTACATCTGTTGGGTGGGAGAAGCCATGGAGAATTGAGTAGGGCATCCCCAAGGCCAAGTGGGTTAGTCTGTTCTCACGTCACTATAAAGAACTACCTGAGATGGGGTAATTTATAAAGAAAAGAGATTTAATTGGCTCACAGTTCTGCAGTCTGTACAGGAAGCATGATTGGGGAGGCCTTAGGAAACTTACAATCATGGCAGAAGGTGAAGGAGAAGGAGGCATGTCTTACATGGCCAGAACAGGAGGAAGAGAGTGAAGGGCAGGGGAGTGCTACACACTTTGAACCAATCAGATCTTATGAAAACTCATTCACTATCACAAGAACAGCAAGGGGGAAATCTGCCCCCATGATCCAATCACCTCACACCAGGCCCCTCCTCCAAAACTGGAGATTACAATTCTACATGAAATTTGGGTGGGGACACAGACCCAAACCATATCATTCCGCTCCTGGTCCCTCCCAAATCTCATGTACTTCTCACATTTCAAAATACAGTCATGCCTTCCCAACAGCCCCCCTGAAAATACTAACTCATTTCAGCATTAACTAAAAAATCTAAAGTCCAAAGTCTCATCTGAGACAAGGCAAGTCCCTTCTGCCTGTGAGCCTGTAAAATAAAAAACAAGTTAGTTATTTCCAAGATACAATGAGGGTATAGGCATTGGGCAAATATTCCCTTTCCAAAAGGGAAAAACTGACCAAAACAAAGGGGCTATAGGCCCCATGAAAGTCTGAAACCCAACATGGCAGTCATTACATCTTGCAGCTCTAAATAATCTCCTTTGACTCCATGTCTTACATCTAGGCCACACTAATGCAAGCCGGACTGATTTCATGGGCTGGCATTGAGTGCCTGAGGCTTTTCTAGGTGCATGGTATAGCTTTTGGTGGGCCTACCATTCTGGGTTCTGGAGGATGGTGGCCCTCTTCTCACAGCTCCATTGCCATTGCTTCAGTGGGTACTGTGTGCAGGGGCTCCAACCCCACATTTCCTTTCCACGTTGCCCTAGTAGAGGTTTTCCATGAGGGCTCTGCCCCTGCAGCAAGTTTCTGCCTAGAAATCCAGTCATTTCCATACATGCTCTGAAATCTAGGCAGAGGCTCCCAAGCCTCAACTCTTGTCCTCTGCACACATGCAGTCGTAACACCATGTGGAAGCCACCAAGGCTTATGGCTTGCACCCTCTGGAGCAGTGGCCTGAGACATATCTGGGGACCTTTTAGCCATGGTTAGAGCTGGAGCAGCTGGGATGCAGGGAACAATATCCCAATGTTGCACAGGCAGCAAGGTCCTGGGCCCAGTCCATAAAACCATTCTTCCCTCCCAGGCCTCTGGGTCTGTGATGGGAGGGCTGCCACAGAGTTCTCGGAAATGCTTTCAAGGCCTTTTTCCTGTTTTCTGGGCTATTAACACTCAACACCTCTTCACTTATGCAAATTTCTGCAGCTGGCTTGAATTTCTCCCCTGAAAGTGGGTTTTTCTTTTCTACCATAAGGCCAGGCTACAAATTTTCAAACTTTTACATTCTGCTTCCCTTTTAAATATAAATTTCAGTTTCAGGTAATTTCTTTGCTTATGCATATGAGTTTAGGTTTATGAAGCAGCCAGGTAATTTTTGAGTGCTTTGCTGCTTAGAAATTTAATCTACCAGATGCCCTAAATCATCTCTCTTGAGTTTAAAGTTCCACAGATCCCCAGAGCAGGGGCACAATGCCACCAGTCTCTTTGCTAAAGTGTAGCAAGAGTGACCTTTAGGCCTGTTCACAATAAGTTCCTTATCCCCATCTGAGACCTGCTCAGCCTGAACTTCACTGTCAGTATTACTATCAGCATTTTGGTCACAACCATTCAACAAGTCTCTAGGAAGTTTCAAACTTTCCCTCATCTTCCTGTCTTCTCCTGAGCCCTCCAAACTGTTCCAACCTCTGCCCATTCTCCAGTTTCAAAGTCATTTCCACATTTTCAGGTATATTTATAGCAATACCCCACTCCTGGTACCAATTTTCTGTATTAGTCAGCTCTCGCATTGCTATAAAGAACTACCTGAGACTGGGGATTTTATAGAGAAAATAGGTTTCATTGGTTCACAGTTCTGCAGGCGTATAGGAAGCATGGCCAAGGAGGCCTCAGGAAACTTACAATTACGGTAGAAGGTGAAGAGGAAGGAGACACATCTTACATGGCCAGAGCAGGAGGAAGACAATGAAGGAGGAGGTTCCACACACTTTTAAGCAACCAGAACTTGTGTGAAAACTCACTCACTATTATGAGAACAGCAAGAAAGAAGTCCACCCCCATCTACCACCAGACCCCTCCTCCAACTTTGGGGATTACAATTTGACATGAGATTTGGGCAGGGACGCAGACTCAAACCATATCACCAAGTAAGAAGTGCTGAAGTCCGCTAGAGGATGATGAAGAACATAGTGAATGACTGCAAAGGAATATGGAGACAGAACGAGATGGACTAAATGAGAAAATGGATTTGAAAGAATCTTACAAATTGATCATACCTTTGCAAATGTTGGAAAGTCATTGTTTCCGTGATTATTAGAGTGACAACTTCAGCAGAGATGGTACTGCTTACCCTTCATTGGGTGCCTGCAATGATCCAAGCAACACGTTGTTATCTGAGAGCTCAAAATAAATGCCCCTGTATCAACTGAGATGGACCCTGGGGTTAAGAAAACAAAAGTTACCTGTGAGCCAAGGGTTCAGAGACTGACTGGCATGGCAACTTTCCTTAATTCCTATGGCTACCCAAAAACCCCACTCTTGCTAAACTCCTAAGAATAGGAGCCATCAGGCAAATGATCAGACTCGTCCTAACTCTGCTTTACAACCCAGATCACTACAACTCCAACTGGACAGAGGACCAGGCTTACACACATTCTTTCCTGATAAGTGACTGCAGACCTGAAGCCGATGTCAGCAGCTTATAGAAGCTGTGCATAAACTCTCTTTGTGTCCTGTAGTTTACCTCTTAATGAAAAGAGCCAAATTCTACCATTTTAATGCTAAAACCTGGTCCCAAAGTGAAGATGGGATACATATCACATATATGCTTACCTGTTGTGCCTGCGCCCTAACCCCCTTATAAATATGTGTGACTTTCCCCCCAAACCTATTGAATCTCCATGACTTTATTGTGTAATCCAGGGCCTGTGAAGCATAAAACCTAACCTGCCCATCCTTTCTTTGAAGACAGAGCACCTTTGGTCCATGCTGGAGACTGTCTCTTCCTGGTTTGCTAACTGATATTGCCAATCCAACTTTCCTATTGTGTAGCCATCCTGGTGTTCTTTTGGACAATAACACTGATTGTATACGTCATTTCATTCTCCTCACAACAATCCTGTGAGCTCAGTGTTATTCTTGTTTTACACACAAAGAAAAGTTGGCTCAGAAAAATCAAGCAACTTGCACAGGTCAAGTCAGATTTCAATTCCAGGTCTAGCTGACTCCAAAGCTGTGCTTGGCACTGTTCTATTTTATGGGAGAAGTGCCAGGGGTCCAAGATGAGCTCTGCAAGAGAAGACTGCATCTGTTTGCTGTCCATCATCTGTAACTTGTAGCTGGAATGGTCATATGCTCCAGTTTGCCTCTGACAATCCCAATTTATGGCTACTGTTCTGGTATTATTGTTAAGAACATCTGGGCTTGGATAATACGTCATATTGTCACTCTGTGTACAGCCCAAAGAAAGGGTGCCACATTTGCCTGTGGGCACCTCAGCCTGGGATCTTCAGCCCCTGCTGCCTCTAGGACCACCCAGGCAGGTGAGGGAGCAGGGAGAGGGAAGCATGGACTCGAGTCAGACAGGTTTAGTTTCCTTTCTTGAAAATACTAAACGGATGCATCTTTTATTCTCCTTCAATTGTCCCCACCTGTCGAACCAATGGGTTTCCATGCCTTTCGGAGTCATCTTTACCTTTAAGTTAACTTTCTAGGAGTCTAGAGTTTTCATCAGGAGAAAGAAGGGATTTCTAAATTCTAACAGTCTCCACTACATGTAAGACAGTGCTGGTGGATTTGGACCCCACAGATGTGAAACTCAGGATATATCACGGAGGTGCTCAGCAGCAGGAGAGACGGGCAGGCTCCTCTAGCCCCACGTGGGAAAGGGCGGCACAGCAGTGATGAAGGAGCAGTCAAGACACCAGAGCCCCCAGGGAACTCTGTTCCCTGTAGCTTTTGCCAAAGTTGTGAGTGGGTCTAGAATTTCTTGCCTGTTCTTCAGGGCATCATAGGACCAGGCAGAGGGACCACTCGGTTACTTCAGCTGTGTGTGGGGCAAGACATGGGCTCTGTACTCAGATGCCACCTTGGGATCTACCCAAAAGTGACTGGGCTGACTGCCAAGATATGGCTTTAAACCAGAAGAAATGGAGATGTCTGTAATTGGCAAGTTTATCTTCCACTCCCTAGTTGGAGGGAAACCCAGGAGAAGGATGGAGGCAGTTATGAGAAATAAAACACACTACATTCTCACCCTTAAATCTGCATTGTCCTCTGTGCGTATTTTTTTTTTTAGTTGAATTTTTGCTCTTGTCCCCCAGGCTGGAGTGCAATGGTACAGTCTCAGCTCACTGCAACCTCTACCTCCCCGGTTCATGCAATTCTCCTGCCTCAGCCTCCCAAGTAGCTGGGATTACAGGCACGCACCACCATGCCTGGCTAATTTTTTTTGTATTTTTAATAGAGACGGGGTTTCGCCATATGGGTGAGGCTGGTCTTGAACTGCTGACCTCAGGTGATACACCTGCCTCTGCCTCCCAAAGTGCAGGGATTACGGGCGTGAGCCACCGCGCCCAACCTGTGTGCATTTTTGACTCTAGCTCCAGGATCTGTGCTAGTATTCTAGTGTCACTGAGAGCTGGGGGACCCCAGGTGTTCCTTGAGCCTGGTCTCCACACCTCTGACCTGGAGATCATGCCATCCCTAGTAGGACAGAGCTGGGCGCCTGCTCGTTGTCCCTGCCATGGGAGACTGCTGGTGCCAGCTGTTTCCACCTTTATAACTGGCCCTCCCCCACATTAGCGCCTTGGCAGCCCCCCAGCTTGGAAGAGGGCTTGTCTGCGCCCCACTTCCCTGCCACCCTCATATCCCTCACCCAGGGGGCCATGTGTTCAGGGGGCAGGGAGCTGAAGAATCGCCAGCCTCGCTCGCCCCGGCCTGTAGCCCCAGCTGGCCCGCCTGGTGGCCATCGCAATGGCAGACGCAGTTACTAACAATAGCTGAGTTGGCGGGACCCGTCCACCACAAAACCTCCCTCTGTGGCCTAGATTTTTATAGGAGACAGCAGACCTGAGGTTTCTGGCTCTGCGTAGGTCTTAATCAAATGTCATCAGGCCCAAGGCAAATTTGAAACATAAATCTTTCAAAGCAATTTATCTGTGGGTTGAAAATAATCACAGAGCATATTGGCCCCTGGGCAGAGGTGGCTGCTGGGCCGGTGGCTGGAAGAGGAGATGGTGTGATGAAGCCTCCGTTGAGTCTTGCTGACGGCCTCCAACCCACTCTCAGCTGCCTGATCTGAGAGAAGGCATGGAGATGTTTCAGACTCGAAACTGTCTTCCCTGCCTTGCCAGCACACACACACACACACACACACACACACACACACACACACACGAAGGTGACAAAATTTATTCCTGTATCCAGCAAACTCTGATTGAGTGTTTACTCTGTGGCTGGCTCGTTACGAAGCGATGGTGATGGAGAAGAATAAGGCAGCAGCCCTCTCTCAGGGGTTACAGGCTCAGAGGAACAAGGGATCCACCTGGGAGAGGGCGCAAGGGCCTGAGGGGGCTGACAGTGCTGGAGGGGGCAGGACGCGGCCAGGGAAGGCTTCGCAGAGGGATGGTGCTTGTCTGAGCTGGGAGAGGCACCCACCTTGTCTCCATGAGCGTGGACCTTGTGTCCTGCCTGCCTTGGCAGGAGGAAGGCTCATTGGAGGAGGAAGTTCTAAGGAGATGTTCATTTCCCAGCACTGGGCCCAAGGCTTGGAGCGCATGAAGGGCTCAGGAAGTGTTGTTGAATGAATGCATGTTAGGCAGCGCCATCTCTCCTAGGACCAGGAAAGCCGACCCACAGGGGCCCTGACTCTGGCTAAGGGAAGGATCGGGGGCCATGAGTGGACAAGCCAGAGAGGCTCAAGCCCACAGTGGGTGAGACTTGGCAGTTAGGGCTCAGATCGGGAAGGGGCTGGAATTTCAGAGGTCATTGGAAAGGGCTGAGAAGGACAATTCCTGGGCACCTACACCAGGACTGCTTGCAAAGTCTCTCTTTCGGGCTAGAAAATTTAGGGTTATACCTCGTTTGGGGAGTCTAGTCCCGTGGGTGACTCCAACCTACTAAGTTGTCTTACCTGACAAGCGTGGGGGGTCATCAGGTGGGGCTACCATAGGATCTGCCAGCAACATGTTGACCTTATAGTGTAGAGCAGTGAGCCAGGAGGGGGTGCAAGGTGAGCTCACATTCCTCACTGCCGTCTTCCCATGTTCCCAACACTGGCAACCTTAAGTTGCACAGGGACACATGCCTATAAAATAAGTCTAGCTCCAGCCCCGTGTCCTTTCGTGGGATAGAAATGTTTTACATTTCTTGGATTTGCAGCCTCCTTGGACATTCATTTTTTGGAATTGCTTCCTGGGATCCAGCCTTTATCACCCACTCTGCAGTTGGGCGAGTCCAAGGCTCATTGCATGGTCATCCATAAGGTTCGAGCGCACCCTAGTTAATCTGCCTTGGGTGCAGAGATTTCAAGATAAATAAGGCACAAGACCTGCCCCATGCCCTTAGAAAGGTGGGAGAGAATCACTGGATGTGTGGGATGCCTGCTCCATTCAAGGGAGGGTGTCGAGATGAAAAACAGATCCTTTACTCTCGGGATGCTCAGAACTAAGCCAAAATCTGGAGTTCTTGGGTTGGTGATAAACTTCTGTGACTTATGGGTGCAGGAGGGACTCTGGAAGTCTGGGTGCTCAAAGATTGAGCTTTCCAAGACACCTCCATGAATTATGACAACAAGACAGATCATTTGAAATAAAGACTGTCCTACAAATTGCCAGTTGCCTGACCGGTGACCCCACAAAGCTTCCTGCTACTAAACAAAGCCCCAGCGTGGAGCTGAGTACTTGGTCCTTTGAAATAACCTTCTCTGAGCTATTGGAAAAAACAGTCTGGTGCAAAGAACAAAGGCTTCGGGACCAGGCTGACCTTGATTCCCACTCTCACCATTCATTCTGTTACACTGGATGGATTGCTTACCTCCCTGAGCTGGGAAGTAATGCCTCCCTCCAGGACTGGTGTGGACTAGAGGTAACACAGGCTTCCTGTCCCGGCCAGAAGAGGTGCATAGTCACTGTGCCCCTTCCTCCTGGCCCCTTCCCTGCCCTCTCCCCTGCTGTCCTCCAGGACTCCACTGCCTGCTCTCCAGAAACACCTGTGGGCTCTGCTCATCTGACTGACAAGTTATGGGGAACAAAAGACTCCATCTAGCTGGAGGTGGCCCAAAGGACATTGGATTCCCTTCGGGCTGCCAACACCAGCCTCAGGTACCCCAAGCCCAAGGAGAACTGACAGGGACAAGCTGAAGAGGGCCCCACATGGATCTGGGGACCCAGCATCCCAGCTATGAGAGAGATCAGGCTTCCAGGCTAGGCTGGTGTGAGGGTGCAGAGGCAGGTCAGGCGCCCGGGCAGGGGCTCCTGGTTCAGACCTTGCACTTCTGTCTGAAAGAAAGCCAGCCCCCCAGGGTGCAGGGAGTGAGGTTGCTCAGTCCTGAGTGTAGCCGACGGGCAGCAGTGAGGGAGGGCTCCTCCCTCTGGGTACATCCTCTGAAAGTGCTGCCTTGTCAACATTTCTAAAGGTAATGTATTGACATGGATTTTTTTTATACTTTCATATATATGTTCTGGGATCCATGTGCAGAACATGCAGGTTTGTTACATAGGTATACACGTGCCATGGTGGTTTGCTGCACCCATCAACCCCCTTCATCTACATTAGGTATTTCTCCTAATGCTATCTCTCCCCTAGCTCCCCACTCCCGACAGGCCCTCGTATGTGATGTTCCCCTCCTTGTGTCCATGTGTTCTCATTGTTCAACTCCCACTTATGAGTGAGAACATGTGGTGTTTGGTTTTCTGTTCCTGCGTTAGTTTGCTGAGAATGATGGTTTCCAGCTTCATCCATGTCCCTGCAAATGACATGAGCTCATCCTTTTTTATGGCTGCATAGTATTCCGTGGTGTATATGTGCCACATTTTCTTTATCCAGTCTATCATTGATGGGCATTTGGGTTGGTTCCAAGCCTTTGCTATTGTGAACAGTGCCTCAATAAAAGATTTGATTCAAAAACATTTTAGGAAATAACACAGTGTGAAGCGGGAGGTTGAGAAGGGCAGAGAAGACAGCTGAAGGAATGGGCTTTCTTGCAGCTGGTGCACTGGGTCCCCCGCCACAGTCAGTCTCCTGATGAAAACAGCTCACACTCAGGGACACCAGGCACCTCTGTAAGTGACTGGCATAAACCCCATGGTCCTGACAGCAACCTCCTCAGGCAGGATTGCTACAGGGCAGGGAACCCTAAAGTGGAGCTTAGCCTGCTGGGTTCTTGGCTTTGCCCAGGAAAGAATTCAAGGGCAAGCCAGGGGTAGAAGGAAACAGCTTTATTGAAGAGGCAGTGTTACAGCCCCGTGACTGCTCCTGCAGAGCAGGGCTACCCCGTAGGCAGAGAGTAGCAGCTTGGGGAGTTTTGCAGTTATATTTGTACTCACTTTTACTTGCATGCATATTAAGGGGTTATGCAGAAATTGTTAGGGAAGGGGTAGTAATCATTGGATCATATTGCTATGGAAAGGGGCGGTAAAGCCCAGGTGTCGCCATGGCAACAGTGAATTGACATGGCACACTCGTGGGCATGTCTGATTGAAAGCTGCCTCTGCCCTGGTACCTGTTTTAGCTAGTCCTCAATCTGGTCCGGTGTCCTAGCCCTGCCTCTAGAGTTGAGTCCTGCCTCTTACCTCAGTATTATTTCCATAACCCTTGCTTTGCAGATGAGGAAACTGAGGCACAGAGAGTTTCCTACAGCCTACTGGAAGCACAGAAAGACTCACTTAAACCTTATAGCACTGACCCTGAAGCCCCCTGGGGTGCCCACCATGCCCTCTACCCTTCGGGGTTAGGATCTGTGGGTATGTGCCCTGCTGGTCTCTTGGCTGGGCAGGGCCAACTGGGCAGCCTTCCTCACAGCCACAGCCACAGCCGTGAGGCTTGGGCCAGGTGCTGGGCCTGAAAGCTCATTGAGCCTCACTGCTTTTCTTGCAAATGGGGGTGCCACGGAGGCCCAGAGAGCAAGGGGGTGGTCCCAGGTAAGAAGACAATCAGAGCAGAGTGTGCGCAGCCCCAGAACCTGGCCCATCTGCATCTCTTTCCTCTGAGCCCTGACCAGAGGCAACGTCCCGTGAGCAGACAACTGGCCTTTCTTACCTCAGGAACTTTGGAGACAGAGAAATATTTCTAAGCCTTTAAAAGAAAATTCTTAAATCCATATTTATGATTTGCAGTCGCAACTAAAAAAGAATAACACCAACTGTTAGATCAATGGAACTGATTTGGAGGAGGAAATATGTATATATTACAAAAAGCCAGTCATCTCCATTTGCTTCTGAGATTTTGACAAGGAAAGTATTTAATGACTGCACCGAACTCCTGTGACTGATCACATGGAGGCACGGCCCAGCAGCCTGAGTTCAGCTCTCAGCACTCAAATGAGCCAGGAAGAGCAGAACATGCTTCAGTACAAATGACAGAAGCCGGCCGTAGGCAGGCAGCTGGGAACCCCCACCTCCGACACATGTGTGTGTCATTTCTCTCCGCCGTGAGTGCAAAGGAGGAGCCCAGCCTGCCCCGGTGTCCTTCCTGCAGGTCCCTTGGTATGAGGAAGCAGGGGTACTGGGCACCTCGCTCAGAAAAAACTTCCTGAGCTTGTTCTTTCTGATCATAAGCATGACACATGCTTATTACACAAAATGAAAATAATTCATAAAGGTTCAAATAAAAATGTAAATCTAACCACACAGAGACAATGAATCATCGCTCTCGTGTTGGGGAACATCATTCCAGATTTTCCTGGGCACATATGGTTTTATGGGGAGCAGACAATACTCCTGGTCTGCAAGCCAAGAAGGGAAGGGACCCAGCTGAGCTGTGGTCTCCCATGGGAAGCGGGTGGCAGGGGGACCCCTGGCTGGGGGCTACTGGGTGCCCAGCCCCACACTACCTCCTCTGCAGCCACTGCCTCACTTGTTCTCACAACACCCTCTAGGGCATGGATTACTGTCCTCACCTTCATGTCAAGAAATTAACCCCAGATTCTTGGCAGAGTTGGGATTTAAGCCTGGACGGCAGACAGGGAAGCTGCCGTTAGAGGTTGGGAAGGTCCCTGGGGAGGAGTGGGCAGCGGGGGGCTGCTTTGCAGGCACGGAGAGGCCTAGCCAGCCCAGGAGGTCCTCTGCACTGACGCCCCTGTCACAGAACCGAGCCTCTCGGAACACTGCAGCTGCAAGATCAAACCTCAAATTGGGCAGAATAAGTCCTTAAAGATGGTTTTCTCTGGTGATTACACTGGCTGGTGAGCAAACCTTATTAGTAATTAGCTTGCCAAAGATAGCAGCCCCTCAGAGAGCAGAAGACACGGTAATTACTGCAGCCAGCCTTTCTAACTATTTCCAGCAGAAATCAACACCAAGCCCCTGGGACTGCTGGGGACAGTTTTAAATTCTGGAGCGGAGGCCCAGGACTCTGCTGCACATTCTCTGTGTGACCAAGCATGCCTCCCTCTTTGCCATGACCAAGCACATCCCTCTCTTTGAGACTCTTTTCTCTCATCCGTTCAACAGTGATAACAACTCGCCTTCATTACTGCACTTCATTCATAGCTATGTGGCTTCATGCTCATGTGAACTACTAGATGGTGGTGGTGGGGTTGGGCATAGAGGGGCAGCTTTGCTGACATGGAGACGTTAGAGGTGAACCACAGGGGACCCGTCAAGCAGAGGACGAAGGGAGTGCATCTGAGGACGGGGCCTAGTGCGGAGCCACATCAGCAGGGGCCATGCCCTGAAGGCCTGGGGCCTCACTCCTGGAGTATGAGCCTTGTCCTGACAGCTGCCAGGAGTTACTGGATTGTCTAAAGCAGGAATGGACAAGTCAGATAATTGCCGAAAAGGAAAACTCTGAAGATAGGGCACTAATGGCCTGGGAGAGGAGAAATGGACAACAGGAGACCAGTTAGGGGCCATGGCAGGGATTCAGGGGGGCTGTCAAGGGTGTGCAGCCCCCTACAGACCTGCCAGTGGTGACAAGAACAAGGGTGAGGCTGACTGTATCAAGGGCAGAAGGGGACATCATTCGCATGCGGCCTTTGAGGATGTGTTGGGGTGCCTGGTGTGGAGTTGGTGGGGAGGACACCGGGAGAGGAAACGAGGTGGGAACCGGGGAGGGCAAGGGATTGGGCTGCTCTGCTGAGAGGAGTGAGGTCTCTGGTCAACGGGCAATGCCAGCCCCCAAGAGTCTTCTTTGGGTTGTTGTGAGAAGGAAGAGGCTTGGGCATGGCATGGCTACAGGTAAGGGGCCATCCGGCACACTCAGAGCACACTGGGGCTGGGGTAGATGGTGGCACCTGTCTTGGCTGGAGGAGTTGGGAGGGCTGGGGAAGGGACGTGTGATCTCCTCTCCGATAAACCTGGACGAGATGCCAAGTATAACACAGAGGCTGGCGGCGGGGCCTCCTCCTGTTCCCGGTGGATCAACTCATTGTGGGACTTTGGGCAACTTTCATTGCTGTTTGGGTTCCGGCTTCCAGAGCTGGCTCTCAATGACCTCGAGGTCCATGACTCTGGCTCAGTGGAATGGCCCAGGCTTAGTGATAACTTCTGAGCCTGGAGGACCTGGGGCAGATGGATGGGCTGGGCAGGCTCTCTCTTAGTGCTTGCCTGAGTTCCTCCAGGAAGGTAGAAGTGCCCACACTCTGTAAGTGAGGAAACCAGGGTCCAGGCAGACATGCCCAAGGCTGCCCCATGGTGAGTGGCAGAGCTGGGCTTCCGCTCAGGCCTGCCTGGCCCCACTGCTCACACC
This sequence comes from Homo sapiens, assembly GCF_000001405.40. Taxonomy (NCBI): domain Eukaryota; kingdom Metazoa; phylum Chordata; class Mammalia; order Primates; family Hominidae; genus Homo; species Homo sapiens. The sequence goes on from NC_000002.12 coordinate 10,949,416, forward strand.
CTCCCTACACAGGAGCATCATGAGAACCAGTGCACCCACCTGGAAAGGAAGACCTTGCATTTGATTTGTTTAAAATGTAAAACTATATCATGTGATTTTCCAGGTGAAATAGATCTTTCAAGGACTCCTCCGCTACTTCTGCCTTGCCTAAGCTTATGTCCCTTCTATTAGAAGCAGAGATCAGCTTGTCAAGACCAGGGGAAAGTGATTTTAAAATTCCCAGATTGGCTCCTGCCTCAAATACACACAGCTTTTATTATGACCTAGCCAAAAAGAAAAAATGTAGTAAAAGTGCTAATAGATTACAACATGAAGTGACCAAGTCTATTCAAATGACCACTTTAGCCAGTGGGCTCAGAGATGGTGTCTGAAAATGGAATTGCAATGTAGAACCTTAAATATCTCATGAATCCCCCTAGTTTGTGCTTGGCTCATAAACACTGCACAAATAACATTGGCTGGATGGCTGGGTGGATGGATGGATGGATGGATGGATAAGTGAATGGATGAATGGATGGATAGGTATACGTTTGGGTGGCTGGGTGGCTGGGTGGATGGATGGATGGATGGGTAAAGGGATGGGTGGATGGATGGATAAGTGGAGAAATGGATGGGTGGGTGAGTGGGTGAATGTCTGTATGGATGGATAGATGAGTGTGGGTGGGTGGATGTATATATGGATGGATGGATGTTTGGGTAGATGGGTGAGTGGGTGGATGGATGGATGGATGGATGGTTGGATGGATGGATGAACACATAAAATGCCCTCCCTCTCTTCTTTCAACTATCTAAATTCAAGATCTAATATGGTTTGGTTCTGTGTCCCCACCCAAATCTCATCTTGAATTGTAATCCCCATGTGTCAGGAGAGGAACCTGGTGGGAGGTGATTGGATCATGGGGGTGGTTTCCCCCATGCTGTTCTCATGATAGTGAGTTCTCATGAGATCTGGTGGTTTAAATGTGTGTTCCTACTCACTCCCTCTTTCTCCTGCCATGTAGGATGTGCTTTGCTTCCTCTTCGTTTTCTGCCGTAATTTTAAGTTTCTTGAGGCCTCTCCAGCCATGCAGATCTGTAAGTCAATTAAATCTCTTTTCTTCATAAATTACTCAGTCTCTGGTAGTTGTTTTTTTTTTTTTTTGTTTGTTTTGTTTTTTTTTTTTTTTTGCAACAGAGTCTCGCTGTGTCACCCAGGCTGGAGTACAGTGGCGCGATCTCGGCTCACTGCAAGCTCTGCCTCCCAAGTTCACGCCATTCTCCTGCCTCAGCCTCGCAAGCAGCTGGGACTACAGGTGCCCGCCACCACGCCTGGCTAATTTTGTGTGTGTGTGTGTGTGTGTGTGTGTGTGTGTTTTTAGCAGAGACTGGGTTTCACCATGTTAGCCAGGATGGTCTTGATCTCCTGACTTTGTGATCCGCCCGCCTCGGCCTCCCAAAGTGCTAGGATTACAGGCTTAGGTAGTTCTTTATAGCAGTGTGAGAATGGACTAACACAACATCTAACCTCAGAGATCCATCCTCTTCCAGGAAACCCTTCCCGACTATTCTGTCCCACAAAACTGTCTCCCACATGAACAATCCTCTCTTCTATATCACCCCTCTCAGAGGAGCAGATTACCTATGGTTGCTCTTTGGAAAAGACCCCAACATAGTTGGAGTCTTGTTTTCTGTACTAGACCATGAGCTCCCAGAGGTTGAGGCCCTATCTGTGTCTCTGCCTCCCTACCGCACTTGGCCAGGGTCTCACATGGTGTCTGCTGGGTAAGTGAGGAGTGAGGGGTGGGCACTGCTGCCACCTGGACTGGGTTGGTGAAATGCCACCGCAGCAGGGGAGATGGGAACAAGGCAATGTGTCCCAGTCATACTGCACTCAGCCAGTCAGCTGCCATGGAATCTCCCTCCTCAGGAGCCTCCCTGTACTGGATACCAGGATAAAGAAACTTTATTTGCCAAGAAGCGGCATCTCAGTCTCTTCTAGCCTGGTTTCCTCAGGGCAATTCATTGTCTTTTGGGTAAGTGCTCAGACTTCCAGGCATCCCCCATCTCTGACTGCTCTTCCTCTGAGATGTGGGTTGTGGGTGTGATTGTGTGTGTGTCTGGGAGCGTGGAGGCTTGTGTGGTCCCCTGGACATGTGGATGGGTCCTTTGCTCTTCTTTGGTGTGGGTGCCCAGATTGCCCTTGCTCAGGCCCTGGCTTTGTGAGTGCCCACTTGACCCTTCAGGGTACCCAATGCTGGAGGAGATGTGGCCATGCATCCATTCTGCCCCCAGGCCTTGGGAATTTTTGGGTCCTCTGCAGTACTCACAGGTGTCAACACATCATCTGCCAGCCTGGACACCTCTCTCCTGAGAGCCACACTCTAGCAGCTGCACACCAAGAGGCGGGTGCATTCACTCCCAGGCCAGAGGCCACAGCCACCCAGGGATGTGGGTGCGAAGACTGTGATGTGTACAGGTTTCCTAGGCTCAGACATGGGAGGTGGCTTAGCCAAGACTACACAACCAGAGAGAAAGACCCAGAACCGACTCCAGTACCTGGGTTGTTTCTAGCTGCCAGAGTAATGCTTTTCCTGAGTCTATGAAGCCACCCGGGCTTAGGGCTTACCACACTGAACATCTGTTTGCAGCATCAGGCATGGAAACCACGCTGGGTCAATGCCAACTTTCGTGCTGTTTGGCTGGGCAGTAAGGACAGAATCCCCAGTTCCCACCCTCCAAGGTGCAGAATCTGGCCCAGAGGAACAAGCTGCCCACACAAAAGAATGAAAACAGACACGGCAGTAGCTGAGCTCAGGGTGGTGAGGGGAGGGGATAGGAGGACATGCTCAGTGTGGGATTGCATCTCCAGAAAGTGGGGTGCACAAGGCAGGTTTATACCTCCAGGAGCTGCAGCCAGCTTTTATGCTGGAAAAAACTCCCCTCCCCCTGCAGCAGCCATCCTGAGGAATCCACAGTTCCCGGAAGGGCTGAGCGCCCTTTCAGCTCCACATCTCTGAGGCCCAGGTACCTGTGCTGAAGCTCTGACCTGGAAGACGAAGCTGAAAAAGTGGCTGGAGCAGGCAGGCATAAGCTTGGTGGCAGGGAATTGTCCCTGCAGAATCCTGTCTTCCCAGGGAGCCTCAGCCTTCCCTCCTGGCTCAAGGAGGGGCTGATTTAACTACAGATTGCTTGCTTAAGAACCACCAGTTGCCTCTTGCTGGGACCAGAGACCTGAGACCTATGGTGGAACACATCCCCAAACCTCAGCATATGTGGAGGCCCAGAGAGGAGAAGTCACATTTCCAAGGTCACACAGCAGGATACTAGCCCAGATCTTTGCTTTTTCTCTAGCTTTTCTACAGCTTAGTGCGTTTGCTCAGATGCTCCAATGCTCCTTATTGGATTTTATTCCCAAAGGAATCTTATGAGGTAAACAGAGTGGAGAGAATGGGTGTGAAGCTATACTGCTGTGATCATTGATGATAATAAATGATAATGTCAGTAGTCAGAGCTAACTGGTGCCAAGGGTGGACCCTGTACCCTCACAATGTGGCTGTGGATGTGGATGTGGTTGTGGTTGTGGGTGTGGTTGCGGTTGTGGTTGTGGATTTTGGATGTGCTTTACATGCATTCTCTCATTTAGTTCCTATTAGCACCAACCTAATATAACAGCCCTGAAGATGTAGGTTCCAATTTGCCAGTGAGGAAGGAGGCACAGAAGTCACTACTACACTCCCTGCCATCATCTACATGATAATTCAGAGAGCCCAGGAAATCTGAAGCTCTCCTTCAATGATGTCTAGGGTCTGCCCCATGAGGAAGATTCTAGAAACTAAGGCAGCAGGGCTTCCAGTGGCCACTTTGAATGGCTGTTAAACACTGGTTAGTATTCCCAGCCCTCTGTAGCAGTCTGACTTCCAGGAGTGGGTAAAGAGGGGATAGGGACAGGGCAGATGTGACAGGGGCCAGCAGCAGGGAAGGTGTGGTTAAGAGGAGAAGCCTCAGGGCAGGAGAGAGTGAGCCCTATTCTCAGCATCTTAGATTTGATTGGTGGCACATCCAGGCTGAAGGGTCCAGCCAAACTCTGAAGCCAGGGGTTGGAGGACAGAAGAGTGAGAAGTTGTGTGCAAGCATGGGCCAAATAGTCACCAAGACCTGCCAGGTGCCCAGCACTATGCCAGTGAAGGGAGGAGAAAGAAGTTCAAGGAACCAGAACATATGATGCTTGCCCACTGGCATTTTCTATCAAAGAGAAAACATGTGTGTAGATGTGGATGTGGATGTGGATGTGGATGTGGATGTGGATGTGGATGTGGATGTGGTTGTGGATGTGGATGTGGATGTGGATGTGGTTGTGGATGTGGATGTGGTTGTGGTTGTGGATGTGGATGTGGATGTGGTTGTGGATGTGGATGTGGTTGTGGATGTGGATGTGGATGTGGTTGTGGATGTGGATGTGGTTGTGGATGTGGTTGTGGATGTGGATGTGGATGTGGTTGTGGATGTGGTTGTGGATGTGGATGTGGGTGTGGGTGTGGTTGTGGGTGTGGATGTGGATGTGGTTGTGGATGTGGATGTGGATGTGGATGTGGTTGTGGATGTGGATGTGGATGTGGATGTGGATGTGGATGTGGTTGTGGATGTGGATGTGGTTGTGGATGTGGTTGTGGATGTGGTTGTGGATGTGGATGTGGATGTGGTTGTGGATGTGGTTGTGGATGTGGATGTGGTTGTGGTTGTGGATGTGGATGTGGTTGTGGATGTGGATGTACCATGTTCCAAATGGTGCTTGTTATTTTCTGTACTCACTACCTGTAGCCCTCACAAGAATCTTGAAAGGCAGGAAACGTAAGATTGTTCCCATTTCACAGGCTCCATCTGGATAAGTAACTTGCCTAAGCCTACACAGCTGAAAGGGAGTGGGGCCAGGGTTCATAATCAAATCTGTTTCATCCAGAAGCCCCTACTTTCTCCCTTGCTCTTTGATGTCTGTGTCTTTATTAAATATCAAGACAAATAATGTTATGAAAAGCAGCATACAAGTTCAAAGAAGGGAGGGATGGTAGGGTAGGGTCTCCTCTGGTGGGGGTATCGGATTTCGTCAAGAGGTGGGGGCAAAGCTCTCAGATGGGGAACCAACAGTGGCAGGACTTTGAAGTGTGGCTGCCCAAGGTGGGTTGACAGGAAGAAGATCATCCCTGCAGCCTGCAGAGTGCAGAAACCTGCTGGGGCCCCACCCACATGTCTCCTGCAGGCTTTAGGGCCCAAGGGCCAAAGCCATCTGCCACCACCTGTACCTCTTTGTCCTGGGCTTTCTGTGCCCTCTGGGATGCATTTACCACTTGGAGGGGAGGTGAGAATTTCATGGGAGTTAAGCCCATCTGGGAGCAGTTCTCAATGAATGGCAAATGGCAGTTGGTGTGTGTACACCCCAGCTCCTCATGCTTGGATATCTCCAAAATTTACAGGGCTTCCCCAATGGGGTTAGGGTCCTGCCACCCAGTGTGGCAGCGTTTAACCAAAGAACCCAAATCCAGGCTCTCTCTGAGGTCACTGGAGTCAGGGCTGGCCACAGAAACCCTGGGCCAATGGGAACAGAGGGTGCAGTCCGGTGCAGGAAGGCTGGGTGATGCCCACCTCTCTCTGCCACACTGTCTCCTGCCCCCGGTGCCAACCAGGAGCTCTGCTTCCTGGCAAGTGAAGCCTTGCCTGGGCCCAGCCTTGGTGGAGCCTCACGTGGGCATCCCTCAAAGCCTCCAGGGCAGAGACAGCTGTGGCTTTCCTCCCTCTCTCTTGCCACCTGGAATTTCCAAAAGGATTCCTGCTACATGATGCATTCTCTCTCCCACCAAAAGGAGAGATGTACCGAGTTCCCAGCTCCAGCTGCAGGACTGCTTCACCTTCTCTCTGGGCTGAAGTCTTGCTGGAGAACCTGTTTGCAAGAGTCATCTGGCTCTGCCACAGCCTCCCTGCTGTGCCCCCTCCATTGCCCAGCAGGAGCCTTGGTTCAGCTCTCACAGCCCCACCCAGCCCCAGCCAGCTAGTAACCATGAACACATTACTTCCTGGGCCTCAGTTTCCCCAGAACTAATCCCTATCTGACCTCTCAGCTGTACAGCCGTGGCCAGCAGGACAGCAAACAGGGCTCTGGGGGACCTGGCCCTGCTTCCTCCTGCCCTGCACCTGGGCTCCAGGGACACTCTGTGCTCCCCAGCTCACCATGCTGTCATCCACGTGCTATCTCTGCTTGGATCGCGTCCACTCCTGCTTCTCACCAGGGAAATCTCAACTCATTGTTTGGAACCTGGGCTCTGTGTCTTCTGTGTGATCAGTTCTTGGCGAATGACCTCTCAGCCACTCCCTCCATCTATTCCTCCATGGTAGCGCTTACCTGTTGGCCTCTGTCTCCTCATTTGGGCGAGGACTTCCCAAGGGCACAGTCCGTGTCTGTCATTATCCCAGTGCTCCTAGGTGCAACCGCATACGGGTATCTAATCAACAGTGGTTGAACCAATGACTGGGTGTATGCCTGGGGGGGAAGGAGAGGTGATTATACCCCCTACCCCTATGCATAGTCTTTCTAAATGCATTTTAAAAATGCATTTAGAAAAATGCCTGCTCAACACCCTTATATTAACTGAGCTTTGGGGACTGGGGAAGAGGAGCTGCCCCCACCAGCGAGAAGCAGGGTGGGAAGTGACAGGAGGTTCAGGAGAAGGGCTGATGAGCGCGGTGGTTGGAATTCAAGCCAGCAAGTAACCACAAGACCCTCCTTGCAGGACAACCTCCTCCCCTGGGATGGAGCTTGGGCCATTTCAGTGGGGCACCGAGGAAAAGCAGGAGGCGTTGGTTCAACCAGGCTGCCACATCGCGCAAAAGCCGGGCCTTCTCAATACACCCTCCTTTTCCTCAGTGACACCCCCCCAACCCTTCTCTTTCTAGCTGGCACTCTCACACCAGCCCCTCCTCTCCCCAGACCCCTCTCTCCACTGGGGAAGTTTCCTTCTCTCCGCTTGCTCCAATCCGCAGGTCTCAGTGATGTCTGAGCCACCCCTGGGGACCAGACAGGCCTGGCCTCCCCCTCTCTCACTGACCCTCTCCCAGACCCCAACTCCAGCCACACAGCTCCAGCTCAGCTCTCGGGGCTCACCACCGCCTGCCTCTGTCCTTGCACATGGGCACTCTCTGCCTGCCACATCCCCTTCCTCCTCTTTCTGGGCATCTCCTCAGCAGCCGGGCCCCAGACACATTTTCTGCGTGGCTCCTACAGGGCACCTCTGGAGAAAGCTTTCCTGACAGCTGGTCACCTCCGCAGGCTGGTTCAGGTGCCCTCTGCCATTCTTCCGTACCCATCAGCCCCTCTACTTACCTGCACCACAGCATTTGGACCCAGATCTGGGCACAAGAGTGACCTGCCTGTGAGTTCTTGAAGGTGGGAGCCATGTACTATTTATCTCTGGCCATGGCTTGATACATGGTAGAAATTTAATAGGTGTTTGTCGATTAATCTAATAACTGAAAGAAAATATACTGGCTTCTACCAAGTTGAAATCCACAAGCCCCCCTTTTAAAAAATTATTTTTAATTTTTGTGGGTATATAGTAGGTGTTTGTATTTATGGAGTACATGAGATGTTTTGATATAGGCCTCCAATGCTTGATAATCATGTCATGGGAAATGGGGTATCCATCCTATCAAGCACTTATCCTTTGTGTTACAATCACTAGCCTCCCTCTTTCAAGAAGATCAGTTCTTTATTTGTAAGCTTTTTCTGTGGCCATCAATCACAGTGGGTTTAGAACATGAAAATGTGCAGCAGTGTGGCTGGAGGGGGTCTTAGGGGATTCACGATTGCTTAGGGCTCCTCTGCGTCTCCCTTGCTGAGACCCCCCCCATGCTCCCTACCCCAAGCACAGTGACCCCAGTGCACATGGTCTTGCTCCACCTCAGAGATGTGCCAAGACCACACTGCCCTTCAGCCTCCATCACTGCGAAGTCACAGGTAATAGCAGCAGCTAATTGTCAGGCCCATGGTGACACCGTGGACATTTCATAGAAGGAATGTGTCCTTGGCATGAGTTGCCAAGAAGATTGCAAAGTGGATGCAGAAACTTCCTGACTTCAGGGGAATGAACAGAGAAAAAATCATCAAGCAGATGGTCTCCCCAGTCCTCTCTCACTTCCCTGCCGGAATTCCACTTCCCTCTGTCATCAGGCAATGATACAGATTTTACAGATGACTTTCTTTCCTGCAAAGGAAAGTCAGTCCTGAGAAACAAACTACATGCTTAATAAGCCATTTCCCTCCTAAGAGGGCTCTGGTTCTGTCTTGGGACAAGAGGGGCCCATGTCCGTTTGTGGGGCCAGTGGGACTCCTGGCAGGAGGGGCCTCTGCTGTGGGTTGAATGTTTATACCCCCCTCAAATTCACATGTTGAAGCCTTAACCCCAATGGGATGGTATTTGGAGATGGGGCCTTTGGGAGGCAATTAGGTTTAGACAAAGTCATGAGCATGGACCCCTATGATGAGATTAGCCCCCTTATCAGAAGGGGAAGAGACTCTCCACCACGTGAGGACACTGGAAGGTGCTGCCTAAAAGCCAGGACCTTCATCAGACAACAGCTCTCCTGGCACCTTGATCTTGGACTTCCAGCCTCCAGAACTGAGAAATAAATGTTGTTTAAGCCACACCATCCATGATCTTTTGTTACAGCGATTTGAACTAAGAGATACCTTCCAAGACTTTACACAGAAGGCAGAGAATGGACTCACTCTCCACCCCTGCTGAGAGCCCTGGGTGGGCTGTGGATTTCAGAGTGAGCAGAACTAGGTTTGAATTTCAGCTCTGCTATTTACTTGAAGTGACATTTTGCTCAGCCTAATGTTTCCTCTTCATAAAAAGGGAATATTAACACTCATTTCTCAGGGTTGTTATGGAGACTGAACCCAAAAAGTTACCCAAAGCACAGGAGCTAAGCCCCATAGTCGATGTGCAGCAAACCACAGCTGTCTTGTCCTTCCATGCCCATCTGGGTATATGGAGATGTGAATTTTTTTCTCCACAGCTCTAAGGTGTGCTGTGGCTCACATCAGGGTGGGAAGGCAAGGAACAAGGGGATGATTGTTGAGGAGGGAGAATCAGCTAAATAAACCAAAGCTAATTTTTTTTGTTTTTTGAGACAAAGTCTCCCTCTGTCACCCAGGCTGGAGTGCAGTGGTGCAATCTCAGCTCACCGCAACTTCTGCCTCCCTGGTTCAAGCAACTCTTGTGCGTCAGCCAAGTAGCTGGGATTACAGCCATGTGCTGCCATACCCAGCTAATTTTTTTATTTTTAGTAGAGACGGGGTTTTGTCATGTTAGCCAGGCTTGTCATGAACTCCTGGCTTCAAGTGATCTGGCCTCAAGTGATCTGCCTGCCTCATCCTCCCAAAGTGCTGGGATTACAGGTGTAAGCCACTGCGCCTGGCCCCAAAGCTGATTTTTAAACAATAATGGAAAACCTGATGGGCCATCAGAGCAGCAGATACCTGGCAGTCAGGGGAGGAAAGGACATCTCACCCCTAATATGCCATTTTCATTTCAAATGAGCAGTGGAGCAAAACAAACAAAATAAACTCAAACTATAGCACTAAATATAGTCCAAAACATTAAGATTAAAATTAAATTTAAATCAAATTTAAAAAAAAACTAAATTAAGATTAAAATTAAAATTAAGATGAAACATTAAGTGCAAAAGAAATCTATAAAAGTACTAGAAGACAATGTTGTTTAATATTTATATTCTTGAGATGAAAAGAGACTGTTTAAGCATGATGCCAAAGTACAAACCATCAAAGACGCAATTGACAGATTTGATCATAAAAAGAGAACAGTTCTACTTTCCAAACAAGCCATAAACAGAACTAAAGGCAACTGACAACCTTACAAAATATATTTATAACATATATAGCTAGTAAGATGTTCAACAGCTACAATATATAAATAGCCATTAAAAATCAATAGAAAAGAAATATTACAGTAAAAGGGAATGGAATGATATCACACAGAAAACATATAATTGGTCAGTATACAAATAAATGTTCAACCACCTATTCAATCAAATAAGTGCTAAATGAAGTATCATTTTGCTCTGTTCTTCAGTTGGCAATGATTAAAAAGACAATAGTTGGGCTGGGCACAGTGGTTCACATCTGTAATCCCAGCACTTTCGGAGGCCAAGGCGGGAGGATCATGAGGTCAGGAGATCGAGACCATCCTGGCCAACATGGTGAAACCCTGTCTCTACAAAAAAATACAAAAATTAGCTGGGTGTGGTGGTGTGCGCCTGTAGTCCCAGCTACTCGGGAGAGGCAGGAGAATCGCTTGAACCCAGGAGGCGGAGGTCGCAGTGAGCCGAGTTCGTGCCACTGCATTCCAGCCTGGCAATGGAGCGAGACTCCGTCTCAAAAAAAAAAAAGACGATAGTTGGTTGGCAAGGACACAGATAAGTTGCCATTCTCGTACAGTACTCTTGGGTGTAAAAATTGATGTAACTTTTCTGGAGGCGTTTTGGTAACACATTCAAAAACTTTAATTTTTGCATCCCTTTGACCCAGTAATTCCACCTTCAGGAATTTATGCCAAGGAAATATTCATGAATACATGCAGAGATTTAGCTATAAAATCATTTATAGCAGCATTGTTCACAAAAGGAAAAAAGTATAAAAACATACTTTGAGGATTGATTCAATACAATTTTGAATATTACATAATCACTAAAATAACACAGAAGGAGAATTTTTAGTGACTAGAAATAAGTTTATTGTGTATTGTTAGCTGAGGGAAAAGATTATGAATTAGCGATGCATTCATTATAAGCCCTGATTTTTTAAAATATATATATATATACATAGAAACACTGTATATATGTTGACAACAGTCATCTCAAGGGAAAAACTTTTATTTGCTACTGTTTTGTTCTCAGCCTTTTCTATTTTTCTTTGCAATGAATATTTATTACTTTGCAACAAGACAAATTTTTAATTATTTTAAGAAATTTTTACTTCAAGAAAAGAAAGCTCCACGTTGGCCACTGCTGACTATATTGTCCTAAGGTTGCCTCTTAAATGTAGGTTTGAAAAGGGGATGGATGCAGAGCAAGTGTGAGTTTATGGTGGAAGATACCTCCTACAGAAGGTTCTAGAGCCAGAGCCTCCAGTATCCGCACCTCCACTCCGGAAACACTGAGGGAAACAGGGGAACGTACCTGAAAGGCCAAGTCCGGATGGTCCTCAGAGTCCCATCCCCTTGAGCGTCTCGGGCTCTCTGCCTTCCCTCACCAGCGTGGCTTCGGTGGCCACGGTCCGACGGGCCGTCATGGAAGTGTCTGGTGGCTGCAGGCAGGGCTGGGTGAGGGGAGGTGGGGGAGCTGGCGGGAGGGTTCCTGCGTGGAGCAGAGGGGAGGGCCGGTCCCAGGAGGGAAGCCTGGGGTGGAGTGAAGATCTGGGCTCTGTGCTCCACACCCTGCTGCCGCCCGGGGAGGGGCCGGCGTGGCTTCCTTCCCTTCCTTCCCCCACGCAGGGCCCACTCAGATCTCACGGTTCCTGAGCGATGGCCGCAGCCCACGGCAGCGCGGAGAGAGCCGAAGGTGAGAAGAGACTTGCTTGCATCCGGATGGAAGATGGGCCGGGGAGCTGCTGACTGAGCCCCGGGTCCAGGGTGGGAGTTACGGGGGCAAGGCCCCACCGTGCACCGGGGACACCAGCGCATTTCTCGACTCCGAAGCCCTGTGCGGAGTCTCCTGGAACCTAAGACAGAGGCGGCGCCTTTTCCTCCGGGGCTGAGGTTCCCCGCGGCAGTGAGGCCTTGGCCAACCGGGCTCGTTCTGCTCCTCCAGGGCTGCGACTCCCCTCGTCTCGGGCTCTCCTGGTGGAATCAGGGAGACCGGGCAGGGACAGGGGGCACAGGGAGCCGTGATGGCGCCGCCGGTGGGAAGGAAGGAAGACCAGAAGGCGGCTGGGGCCATCGGAGACTGCTCCCTCTGGCCTCGGCTGGCCCTTCTCACCTCACTTCTCCCTCCCCCGGCTGGGCCGAGGACGCCTCCCACTTGCACGACCTTGTTCTGCTGGTCTCCAGCTGCTGCCTCTGTCTGGAAGGCTCTTCACCACCTGTGGACACGCGCTTACTGTTGAAAGCCCAGTTCAGACGCCTCTCTTCCACTAAGGCCCTGGAGGCCCAGGGAGGACCCTCCGCCTTCCTCCGGGCCCCTTCCCACCTGCCTTGCTCGCGTGTGAGTGCTGCCCCCTCTACTCTGCATCACAGCTAGCTGTAAGCACACCTGTGTCCCCACCCAGCCGCCTCCCCTCCGCCTCCCAGGGCCCAGCACCCACTTCGAACACAGCAGGAGCTCACCTAGGGCTTATTTGGTTTCATCAACTGATTCAGCCCCCGTGCGTGAACAGCTAAGGTTTTATTCCCGTTTACTAAAGAGGTCATGGAGGGTCAGAGAAGTTAAATGACTTGTCCAATATCAAGAAGCTGTCACCTGAAGAGGTTGGATGGGCAATGGGGAAGGGACGCTCAAGGCCATCATTCCCAGGACCTTCCCTGTCGTCTTCCTGTGAACCCCGGCCACGCAAAGGGATCTCGCCCAGCCTTTCCAAAAGAGCCCCAGGCTTCGGACTACACGATTCCCCTCACAGCCACAGCTGACGAAGAGCTCCCAAGGTCCCAGCAATCTATGACACAGCTGCTGGGAAACTGCCCCCCCACACCTCCTCCAACCACGAAGCAGGCTGCATGCAGGTTCCCTCCCTCCAGAATGTGACCGTGGAACCCCCATCGAGAGAGGGAATCACAGCCTTGGTGGGAAGCGGAGAGAAACCAAGCAGAGTCAAGGCACGGGGTGGAGTTGGGACAAGCAAAAGCGGAAATTGTGATGGCAGCAGCCTGGGGACCACAGAAGGGCAGACCTGCACTGCAGCGTCACTGAGGAGCAGGGGATCCCGGCCCCTGCTGTAGACGCTGGGAGCGAGGTCCCAGCACCACTGCTGGTCCTGCCTCTGGGGTGCGACCTGTGTAGCCCCATAGGCCACCTCGCTTGGCTTAAGACTCTGCCATTGCCATCCTGAAACTCTTTACAGTTTTTGAACAAAGGACTCCACATTTTCATTAGCTGTGCTTCACAATTTATGATTTATGGCTATACCCCTATTAAAATTATGTTTTCAAAAATTATTACTGAGGCAAAATTCACATAACAAAATGTACCATTTGAACCATTTTAAAGTGTACACTTCAGTGCGTTTCAGTGCAGTCATAGATGTTGTGCCACCATGATCAATATCTGATTCTGGAATATTTTCATCAACCCATAAAGAAACTACCGTCCGTGAAGCAGTCACTCCCCATCCTCCCCTACCCCCACACCCCGACAACCATGAATCTCCTTCCTGTTCTATGGATCGACCTATTCTGGACATTTTATATAAGTGGAATTACACAACATGCGAGCTTTTGTGCCTGGCTTCTTTCACTTAGCATGGTGTGTTCGGGGTCCATGCGAGTTGCAGCATGTATCAATATCCATTCCTTTTCATAGCTGAATAAGATTCCATGGCATGGATAAACCACATATTGTTTAACCTTCCATCAGTCCATGAACATTTGCCTTGTTTCTATTTTTTTGGCTATTGTGAATAATGCTGCTGTGAACGCACAGATACAAGTGTGTGCTTGGACATATCTTTTCATCTCTTGGAAATTCACCGAGGAGTGGAATTGCTGGGTCATATGGTAGCTCTGTGTTCAACTTTTTCTTTCCAGAACAGGAATGGAAGTTTATTTATAAAGCTTTAGAACAGGAAAGAGGAAGATGCGCTTGGCAGGGATCCAAGTAGGCGCCAAGGCCCAAGAGAGAAAAGAAGAGAGAAAAAAGAGAGCTGTGTTCAACTTTGTGAGGAGCTGCCAGGCTGTTTTCCCCAGCAGCCGCACGCGTTACATTCCCACCAGCACTGTATGAGAGTTCCAATTCCCCACATCCTTGCCAACACCCATCTTCTGTCGTTTTGATTTTAGCTCTCCTAGTGGGTGTGCAGTGGTATCTTGTCGTGGTTTTGGTTTACATTTCCTAATGACTAATGATGTTGAGCATCTATTCACGTGCTTATTGGCCATTTGTGTCTTCTTTGGGAAAACATGCATTAAAGTTCTTTGCCTGTTTTTGAATTGGGTTATTTGTCTTTTCGTTGCTGACTTGCATCTCTGGGTTTTGGATTCCCCCATGAGGTTCCATCTCCCTTATTCCCCCATCCAGACCCTCACAATGGTCCACTCTCTCACCCTAAAAAGAACACAGATACAGACGTTTTACCATTTCTGCCTTCCTTCTTCTAACCCCCTAAATAGGTGCTAGTTCCTCTTCTGGGTTTTTAATTTAGGCAATCATTATTTCCCACCCAGATACTTCCCTTGGGGCAACGCTGCCCTGGCACACTGGATATTTGGGACTATTTTAAATATATCCATTAAACCTTAGCCAATTAGCATAATTCTGAGACTTCTTCCTCATTGGAATGAAAGGGAGACATTTGCCCCACGCAGCCAGGGACTCATTGAGAAACTCACCAGCAAGGGGCCATTCACAGGGCACTTCCCAGAGGAGGGAAAGTCATGGAAATGAACAGGACACCAGACACTAAGAGGTGATTCCCTTTCTTCTTAAACCTAACACAGTGCATTTTGTACTTTGAAGATTTCCAGCACTTCCAACAAGGAATAAAACAGACGGATTATAGTCCAGTTTACACTAAGTTCCTGGCAAACACGAAGAACATGTGATTTATTCTGACCAAGCGCAACAGGGAGTTTTTTTAGCAGGACTCCCTGAGACCTCGCAGAGGCTGAGAGACCATCCACTCCCCGCTCTGCTGGGTTGTAGCAACTCGGTCCATTCAGATGAAACACACACAATTCGTCATTAACTCATTCTTTCTGCATTTTTGCTCATATAAAAAAAGTCTCTTCCAGCTGTGGCAGATGCTGGAAAAGAAGAAATATAATCAACAAACTTCTGTTGCAGTTCAGGTCAGGACTAAACACCAAAGTGCCAGGGGAAATGGGTTTTGCGACCCAGCTCCCTCCCCGCTGGGTGGGGACCTCTGCTGTGCGTTCTGGAGGAGTTCCCAGAGTCCTAGAGGGATGAAGCTTCAGTTGCTCACAGTGGTGACTTGCTCGGTGACACCCCATGACCGGCTGTCCTCCCCTCCCTTCTCACTTCCTCTCACCCCTTCTGTTTCCTGGGATCACTTCCCAAATGATTTACCTGCCCCCATCCTTGTCTCAGGGTTTGCTTCTGGGGGGATGTCAAATTTAGACAGAGCCGAACCCGCCTCCCTAGGTTCCTCCCCACTGAGTCTGAAGGCCCCTCTGCATGTCAGAGGAAAGGGAACCTTTGAAGTATCAGGGACGGGCCTCTTGTTCTGGCTCTCCTGCAGTCTGGGCCCCAAAGGCTCCTTCAGCTGCCCCTTTCTTTTGGTGAATGGTTCCTGCCACTGTCCTCCAATAAACTCCAGGCCCTCCTCACTGTTTCTGTAATGTCACACTTGGGCCAGAACACAAGTTGGCACCCCCAGGGAGCCCAGCACAGAGTCTCCAGATACCTTGATCTTGACACTGAATTTAGATGACCTTAGAAAAGGGGAGGGGGGTAGGTAAAAGAAAAAAGCTACAAGTCTTATTGCTGGCTTATGTGGAGAGAGGAAGAGAAGAAAGGAATACCACTTCTGCCTTACTAGGGGCCAGGAGCTGTGCTAGGTGGACCCATATACGGGTTCCATGTAGCCCTGTGGACTCCCAACACTGTCTTCATACAGAGACAAGCCGTCTTCTGCACACGCCACGGCACTGTGGGCCCCGGTGTCTGCAGGACACACGCCTGTCCCTGTTCACTTCAGCCTTGCCTGTTTCCCACTCTGGCCGACCTGCTGCCCTCCCTGCACCAGGCATTGGGGTGAATGAGTTTTTGTTCCCCCTAGAAGTTCTATCTGGGGGAGTCAGACTGCTACAAAAATCACGCGGCCAGCCAGATGGTGACGAGGCTGAAATAGAAGCTCATAGACTGTGGGATCTACAAGCGGGAGAGGCTGACCGTGCCCAGGAGCTGGGTAAGGGCATCTGCCAAGGTATTTTGGAGGAGGTGAAGAAGGCGAGTAACAATAATAACTCATGTTTATACCAAGGCTGTTCTAAGCACGTGACACTTTTAAGATCATTTGAGCCTCGCCACAACCTCATGACGTAGGTACTAATATTCGCTGTGTTTACAGACAAGGAAACAAGCACAGCGATGGGACACCATTTGACCAAGTTCCCATGACTTGGAAGTGGCGGACCAAGGTGTCCACTCTGGCTGTCTGCTCCAGAACGGGGCTGAGCAGAAGGGCATTCTGGACTCTATGGATGATCTGAGCAAAGGCCAGGGGGCTGCAGAACACGCAGGAGAATCCAGGATGCAATGAGCGAGGTGAGCTGGGAGCTAAGACCAGAAACGTGCACCAGGCCCCAGTCAAATGGAGAAGGTCCCAGAGCGCTGAAGTGAGAGGTAAGGAAATCATCACCCATCACAGGGACAAGGCACCCCAGTTGAGAAGGTGTCTTGTCTGAGTTGTTGTGTGGCTGGACATGGAAATCAAAAAATGCTGAAAAATGACACAGCATCCATAACTAGGCTGCCCAGAGCTACCACGGTGACCACAGTCCATGCTCCCAAGTGCCCCCAGCTAGCAGGGGCTGCGCCCCACCTCTTCCTTGCCTTGAATGACCACTCTTACGATTGTCTCGGCTTCATTCTGATCCTCTCGTGCAGCCAGGAGGAAAGTCCTGTGGCTGCAGAAGGACGGCCCTGCCCCCATGTGTCTCTGCTCAGCCTGGGGCTGGTCAGCTGAGAGGAGGCCTGAGCAACCCCTGGTGGCCCTGCAGGTGGAGGCGGCAGCTGGGGACAGGGAGTGGTTAATTTAGTTTGGGTGAGACATGGCAGAAAGCCAGATTCTGGCCACAGGTCTGGTCTCCTGCCTTCCAACAACCCTCTTTCCTCCTGGAAAGGCTTCTCATTTCCAGACAGGCTCCAGCCTCCACTCTTGGGCTGCAATCTCCTTGTGTCCTTTGATGATCAACAATTTCCCATGGCAGTGTGGAAAGGAAGAGAGGTGAGGAGGTGGTGTCCTCTCAGGACATCTGCGTCCTGGAGACAGGAGGAGAGCTTTGAAGAGGCAAGCTCACCTTCATTCTCATTCTCTCATCAGCCCTGGGGTCGGGGGGAGCTGTCCTCCAGGGCTCAGCCAGGACCTCTTCAAATTCCTGCTCAGTCCCAATGACATTGATTATCATGTGGGGCTCCATTTGATCTGATTGTTCTCAGTTTATGGATGAGAGACCCTCCTCAGCAGAGCTGTATTGGGCACAGTCAGTGAGGTCTCTCCGTGTGGAAGCCTGTGGGGAGGTGACTTGCCCAAGTCTGCCCATCGCTGATGCTCACAGGAACAGGAGCGGCAGCTGCTCCTGCGTGGGATCTCTTGGACACGGGCCTGGACCCCGCATGCATGCACAACATCACGTACTCACAAGCAGGACAGTGACTTCCACCTGTTAAACTCACTCTGCAGTGTCTCGCTGAGTCCGCACGAGAACGCAAGGTAGATGGTGTTATAGTCAATTCTATAAAGAAACAATTTCTGAGGGATGGAACGCTTGCTTCACGATGGAGGACACAGGATACGGACCTCAAGGAGTGGGAAGCCCCGACCCTCCCCACCTCTACATGGGCATGTGAACGGTTCCCACAATGACCATCCAGTATTTTCACTGGCTCATTTTAGCAATTCCACATTTATTCATTCAGCAACTGTTTGTGTGACTATCTGTTGCTTTGGTGCACAGAGCTGGATGGGGTGAGCCAGTGTTCACACTGCAGGGCCAGGCCCCAAAGCACCTGCCTTTCTGAAATGAATTCTGGGTCTGCTGTAGCCTCGGGGGTACCTCTTCCAGAGTGGGGAGTGGACAAGGAGGAGTCTTACATCAAAGGGATGAAGGTGGCATTTCTGGGAGCAGGAGGTTTTTGGAGGTGGGGGCAGGATCTGAGATCACCCCACATGGGCTGTTTCCTATGTCACAGCTGCATGGGACCAGCCCTTTGAATAGATTCCCAGCTGGTCCTGTTCTAGATGACAGTCAATTGAAATGGAGTTAAAATATTAAAAAGGATGTGGCTGAAGCCTTGCCTGGCCCCTCCTCCTCCTTGCTCAGGACTGGAAGTTGGAATTTGAGGGGACGATTGTGGGGGCTGAACGTGGGGATGGCAAGTTCCCTTGCAGAGGTTCCATTTTCCTTCATCTGCTGTGTGACGGGCACCTGGCCTGCATTGTCACGTGTCATCCTCATAACTGGGTGGCATCCCATTTTGTGGAGGAAGTCACTGAAGCTCAGGGAAAGTAAAGAACTCAGCCAAGGTCACTCAGCTAAAGGAATGGCAGAGCCACGTTTCACACCCAAGCTTCTTGGACTCCAAGAAGGGAGCGTTGGGTAGCAGCACATCCGAGCATCATATAAACTTTTTAGAAAAGTAACTTGGGCAAGATTGGCCACTACTTGCTCACCCCCTCAACCATTTGGTATTTTTACAAGGAAATAAAACGCACCCTCCTAAGGATTCACAACTGCTCTAAGAATAACTAGGGTTTGCCGAGGCCCTGGCAATGTTCCTTTTGGTTTTCTCATTATGGCTTTCATCCATCTTTAATTTCATATTTAAACTTTTGGATACAGATGATGAGTTGTCAATGAGGCCCCCGTGGACACTTGCTCCTTGTCCACGCCTGGAAGAGGGGAGGAGAGGTGTGGCCGGCAATGCCAGACAGAGCCAGGGGAGTCATGCTGGCTGTGGCCTGTCCCTGGAGGATGAATCTGTCCTGCCAGGGCGTCTGGAGGACGCAGCTGAAGATGGCCCTCAGCACACTTCTGCACTGGGGTGCTGCCCGTGCACTTCCAACACCTGCCCTTCCTTGGCTCTGAGCTTCCTCCTCAAACCTCGCCGGTGGTCAGGCCATGAATTCTCCGATTCTGAGTGATCTCTGCTCCTTCCGAGTCAGTGGGAGCCTCCCTTCTCCTCCCTCTCTCCTTGCATCTGCAGGACCTGGGTTTGCGTCCACCCATGGGTGCGGCCCATGACCTTCAAACAAACCCAGATGGACTGATTAAACCTCATCTGCTTCTGAAATCAATCTTTCTGCAACGTGAGCCTGTGTGGCTAGCCTGCTCTGGGCCACAGTTGATGGAAACCCGACTTCGAGTAGCTTACAGGAAAGCAAGCTTGTCTCACTCAGGCAGGCACCACAGGGCCTCTGCACCCAGACTGCAGACACCAGGAGCGGGGCTCACCCCCAGGCTCTTCTCTCCCTCATCTTCGGCTCCCCGACTCACCTCTGCCTGCAGAGCACCATGGCCACTGACGTCCCAAGATTCCAGTTGGTTCTGCTTGGTCTGTTAAAGGGTTAATCTTTTTTTTTTTTTTTTGAGAGTAAAACATGACTCTCACAGAAATAGAAAACTAACCAGGTCTAAGATTTTATTTAACTAATTAAGTAATGAGAGAACAAGTAAGATCAAAAAACCAAGTTCAAAGGAGAATCAAAGGACGTGTGTGTGTGTGTGTGTGTGTGTGTGTGTCTTTGTGTGTGTGTGTGTGTGTGTGCAATCAGGAATGCTGAAATGAATTCGCTAATAGAGGCAGACTTCTTTCACAGGGAGTGGTAAACACTTGCAATTTGAATGGACACCAGTGTTCAAATTTCTATGAATTGAAATAAGATGCATCAACATCAGCTCTCCACGGCCAACTTGTATCTTTAAAAAGTTGAATAATAATCAAAGACAATAAAAGACACGGACTCCTACAGAATCGGATGATCCCAGGAGAGTCCTCTAGACGTCTAGCAGCCACTTTAAATATGTATCTATGTATGTATGTGTGTATGTATTTTTTGCCCACTTCAAAGTTCCGCAACTTGTCTTGGCAGGTGTTACTAGTCCATTCTCACACTGCTATGAAGAAATGCCCGAGACCAGGTAATTTATAAAGAAAAGAGGTTTAATTGACCCAGTTCTGCATAGCTGGGGAGGCCCCAGGAAACTTACAATCATGGTGGAAGGCACCTCTTCACAGGGTGGCAGGAGAGAGAATGAGTGCCGAGTAAAGGGGGAAGCCCCTTCTAAAACCATCAGGTCTTGTGAGAACTCACTCAATATCACAAGAACAGCGCGGGGGAACCGCCCCCATGATTCAATTATCTTCACCTGGTCCTGCCCTTGACACGTGGCGATTATTACAATCCAAGGGCAGATGTGGGTGGGGACACAGAGCCAAACCATATCAGCAGGTCACATAGCCTGGGACCAATTAACTATGGCCAGAGGGGCTGAGCTCTGTGAGTCACCCAACTTGGAAGAGGTGTACATCCCTAGACCCAGCAGTCTTTCCAGAAGACAGGAGCCCAGCTACAGGGAGCCCATCTGAGAATCCTGGGGTCTTTCCCAGAGAAGGTGAAATTGCTGTCATCAGGATGCCACCCCCATCTTGTCCCCATGTTGTCTGCTTGTGAGAGTTTACCCTGAAGTCTGCATCTCAATGTCCCGCTGCATTTTTCTTTCTATTTCCCACATTTCTTATTTTGAATGCAAAAACAAAACCTGCTTTTAAGCAGTTTACATTCACCCCTGAGTGTCTAATGTTTCTTCTGGATTTGTTATCTGTTTACCTAGCAGTTTCTAAGATCTTCATACCCACTGATTGTATATCATTCATTTGCTCAACAGATGTTGGCAAGTACAAGCCAGGCTCTGTATCTGTTGCTGGGTGTTTAGCTACAAACATCACGGACAAAATCCCTGCCTCATTGATTCTTCATTTGAGAAGACAGACAGCAAACAAACACATAAATAATATTATTTCTAATAGTGTCAAGTTCTAAGAAGAAAATAAGTGAGATAATTGGACCAAAGGTGATGGATGGGTTAGGGTGGGGTGGTCAGGGCAGGCCCTCCTGGGTGAGGGCACCAGCCCTGCAGAGCCCAAGGATCCGAGCTCCTGGGCAGAGAGCCATGCAGTATCAGCCAGACACACCCAAATACAGCCATCTCATCAACAGCCAAGCATACACAACATTAAATTCTGACATCTTTCACATTTTACCAAACATATAAGCATAAAAGCAATAGTGTCACACATATTTTTGTCGTTTTGCAGTTATAAAGGTACCTTGGTCAAGGTGGTAGAATGGCATGGATTGGATCTAATTGGTTGGCTTGGCACATAACCTTTAGGTGTGTAGACATACAGTGTGTGGATCTCCTTTTGTGCCCCTGCAGGACCCCTAGTCCAGGGAGAGCCATAGAGGGCCTCCGAGGCTGGCCCCACCCTCATTCCTCCCAGATGCTGGGCACTGAATGAGACCCTGCAGGAGGGGAGGGAAGCTCTGCCTGTTATTTTCCTATACCACACACAAGTCCAGCCCACGAGCCCTCACCCAGTTCTACAGGTCTTCAGGTGCCTTTAGAGCTATTGTAATCATCAGTCCCAGACAAGCCAGCCCTGACCCCCAAACAAATCCCCATTGTTGCTAAAGGCTATGACCGTTTTCTGCAGGGGGGACAGAGAGGGAGGTCTGGCTCTGATATGTTAGCTCCAAAGGGCAAGGTAAGATTGAAAAAGCTTCCAGTTCTCTGACAGGCAGGAGGAACAGGACCTCCCTTGGCACCCTCCCCTTCAAGCCCTGGGGTAAACTTTCTGGGATGCAGGGTGGGGTTGGGTGCTGGGGGCTGCAGGGACAGCCTTCCGTGCCAAGGAGAGCAGTGTCGCTGGAGACTCAGACAGGCATTTGAAAGGCCCAGCGAGAGCCCCTCACCGCTGCAGGGAGACCTCAGTCATGAGCCACTGTCAGTCCCTTCAAGCTTATAATTTGATACAACTGTTACTCCCTGGACAATTAGGCACCCAGTTGTTCCTTCATAACACTTGGATGATGGAACCTGATTCCTCCAGGGCTGGGCATCCTTTCCCTGCAAACCAAGTATCTAATTAGCACCTTCTCCTGGGAAGCAGACAAGTCATTAGCTGCCACACACCTTGGCACAAGCCACACATTCCCATCACGTGTGACAACGCTCTTCAGACATGAGCTGACTGCCCAGCGAGCCCGGCTGAGGGGACAGCACAGGTCCAGGGGACATAGGTGGCCCCCAGTGAGGAGAAACAAGGGCACGGAGGTGTCCAATAGGCCACGCAACAATGATGTTCTGGATGATGGGTCGATGGGCCACATGTCGCTCAGGGATGGCAGGGGTTGCCTCTGGCTGGGGCATGGGGGAGCTCAGGGAAGAGGGGACAGGGCGCTTGGGTGAAAGCAGCAGGGTTCTTCCTCGCTCATCCTCCCCTCTGTGCAAAATCACGTCTGTGCTTGGAGGCTGCTGACTGCAGCCTGTGTGTGAGCTGGGCCCTGCCTGGGGCCAGGCTCTGGCTTCCTGGCTCACAATGCGTTTAGTGGTCCATGAAGAACAGGCTGGACAATTGCTGCGCTGGTCTCTTCACGCTCCCAGGGAGTGCAGTGATGGCACGAGGCTACCAGGAAACCCGGGAGGAGCTCGTCTGATTGCTCCCTGCTCTAGCTTCTGCTCCCAGGAGGGGGCTGATGGCACATTTGGCTATAGGGTTAAAGGCACAGAGTTCAGACTTTCTTCAGTCACTGAGTTCCCCTTTCTACCATAAAACCGTTGCATATCTTTTTTAAGAAACCTAGTTATAGTTTGTTTAAAGCGTTTTGAAATATTCTGTTGTGCTAAATCATGCATTCTCAACATGAGTGATCGTGCTCCCCAGAGGGCAAAAATTGCTTCTTAGATTGAAAATACTTGACACTTTTTATGTATAAAGCCCAGATACACATACAGTACATCGGCAGACACACAGTCTATCTGTGGGGTTCAAGTTTCATGGGGGGCACAGGCAGGAAATGAAAGTCTAGAAAGGCTGTCCAGGGGGACACTGATGAAGGAAAGACTGAGAAACACCGCGCTCGACAGAAGGGAGCTTGAAAAGCCCTTCTTAAAAAGTCCATTTGGAAGGGAGCGCTACAGAGATTAGGAACAGCACATCTTGTATTCATGTTTCAATAACTCATCATACCCAAATGAGCACCTATTGTATACTGGGCCCTGCTCTAGGCGCTGGGATTAGGAACAGTGAATAAAATAGACAAAAGTCCCGAGCTCAAGGAGTTTCACTCCAGTGGGAGGCAACACGAGACAAGGTGAGTTCAGTCGCAGCGTGTTGCCTAGGCCGTTGGACTGCCATCGGGCAAGTCATGTACCCGGAGGAGGGAGGATGTGACACAGTTGGTAGGGGCAGTTAGAGTCGAGCAGCTGCGGAAGGCCTCACTGCAGAGGTGACACTGGAGTAAAGAGCTAATGGGAGTGAGGGAGCCCGACTGGGGAGGTCTTTGCTGGTGCAGGGGAAGCGGGGTGGAGGGGGAGGGATGGGAGAGGGGAGTGCAGAGGGAGAGGTGGGGGAGGGGTTGGGACATTCCAGGCAAAGGGAACAGCAAGTGTGAAGGCTCTGAGGCAGGAAGGCATGGCAATTTTGAGGAACAGTGAGGTGGCCAGTACAGGTCACACAGGGCAGGGAGGCCACAGGGAGGACTTTGGCTGTTACTTTGAGTGACATGGGAGCCACTGTAAGTTTGGGGCAGGAGAAGGACACGATCTAATGTGTTCTGAAAAGGCCTCTCTAGCTGCAGTGTTGAGAACCCACCTTAGGGGGCTGGGTGGAAGCACGGGCCTGCCTGGACGGCATGCAGTGGCTCAGCCCGGGATGGCCAGAGTCTGCACAGACATATGAAGGGACAGATGACAGGACTTGAGATGGATTGGATGTGGGGTGTCCACCTGGGGAAAAAGAGATACGGAGTGGCTGGAACCATGAATGACTGTCTAAGCCCGCTAGCTTCAGGAGCTGGGAGAGAAGTTGTTGGAAAGGAAAAAGTTCTCCTTTTTAGTCAAACATCACCACATCGGGAGGCACGCACGCATGGACTTTCTGGGGCTTCTGGGTCAAGATGTTTGACTGTGATTTTCAAAAATCCTTTGAAATGACAACAGGCTTTGCCTCCCAGAAACTCCTTAAAAGGATAGTAAAGAGGCTTAACAGGGAGTAAGTTAACACAGTGCTGAGAATTCACAGGGGCACAGCAGCAGCCCCCAGTCGTGGCTCATTGCTGGAAACCAGAAGGACATGTGCCGAAACTGACAGACATATCAGAGTGGAAGGAGTCCAGCTCAGAGCTGGCATGGGAGTGGAGTCTAGGAGTAAGAGCCAGTTTTCATGGCAGAAGCACCCAGACTTGGCAAGGGCAAAGGAGAAAGCAGGGCAGAGATGGCAGAGTGAGGAGACCCCAGGCCCCTCTATCCACAGGACAAGCACGTGTGCGCACACACCACCCCCATCTCCCACGCCCCCAGGCTGGGGCCAGGCAAATGCTTTCACAAAAGAGGCTGGTGCCCCCAGCAGTGACCTCCTCGGTGGTGCATTTCTTAGGGATGGAGACAAACCCGGTGCTTGGAACAACCGTCCCATATCTACAAGAGTGATCATTTTCATCCAGGGAGAAGCTGATAATGGCAGAGGATTCTACCCCAGCCACTCTTTGTTATTAATCAGCTTAGACCTTCATCAAACTATGAATGAAAACAAAACTCACAGGTCACCTGCAGAAAACAGTACAAAGGAGAAGGAACAATACGAACACGAACAACAAAAGATCCCAGAGAAAAAAGAAATAACTTAGGGAATGAAAGAAAACATTCAAAGTAATTACAATTAGTATCCTCAAAAAAAAAAAGAGAGCAAATATTTTCTCAGTAAAAGTAAGACAAACTGCTACCAAAAGGGAGAAATCAGAGAACAAGAAAGAGTTGGTTGAATTTTTTTTAAAAAAGCTATTACCAAAATAAAACAACAACAACAGAAAGGCAATAAGAAAAACCATGAAAAATCTCCCAGAGCGAGAGCAAAGATAAGGAGATGAAAAAATATATATATCTGTGTATTCATCTGTTCTTGCATTGCTATAAAGAAATACCTGAGACTGGGTAATTTATAAAGAAAAGAGGTTTAATTGGCTCACAGTTCTGCAGGCTGAACAGGAAGCATGGCAGCTTCTGCTTCTGGGGAGGCCTCAAGGAGCTTCCAATCAGGGCGGAAGGCAAAGTGGGAGCAGGCATCTTACATGACCAGAGCAGCAAGAGAGCAAGGGGGGAGGTGCCACACACTTTTAAACAACCACATCTCACCAGAACTCACTCACTATCACGAGAACAGCACCGAGAGGATGGTGCTAAACCATTCATGAAGGATCCACCCCCATGATCCAATCACCTCCCACTAGGCCCCACCTCCAACTCTGGGGATTACAGTTCGATATGAGATTTGGGCAGGACACAGGTCCAAATTATGTCACTATGAGAAGAGCTAAGCAACATAGAAGAGTTTTGGACAGACAGAACAATAGAGAAAGATTTCTTAATGCTGAAAGCATAATGAATAAAAATGAACACATGAATCAAACTGGTTATACCCTTATGATATCTAAGAGCATCAAATATATTTTCAAATTTTTATTTATTTATTTATTTTACTTTTTAAAATAGAGACGGGGTCTCACTCTGTTGCTCAGGCTGGTCTCAAGTTCCTGGGCTCAAACAATCCTCCTGCCTTGGCCTCCCAAAGTGCTGGGATTACAGCCACTGAACCCAGCTAAAATGTGAAAAATATAAAAAGAGAATCCTAAGAGCTAAAGAGAGAATAATTTTTTTAATAATCTTGCTTGTTGGTATTATTATTATTTTTATTCCTAGCTTTTTGACTTCAGACATCTCAGCAACAATGAGCACTACAAGGTAATGAAACAACGCCTTAAAAGTTCAGGCAGAAAACTAGTTTAATACTGGAATTCCAAACACAGCCAATCAACCAATTAGGTGGAGGAGAAGGGTGAAAGCATTTTTAGATATACAAAGACTTTACAATTTCCACTCACTTTTCTGAAATGATTACCAAAGTATGCACTCTGAAAAGATGAAAAAGGCACCCAGCCTTTGTGTTCTACTCACATATGATTAGGACCAGGTATGGGATGTCTACTTTCAGATCCTTAGGAAACCATAGAAGAACTGTAATTGCTACTTTAAAAATTTCAGAGAGAGGCCAGGCGCAGTGGCTCACATCTGTAATCCAATCCCAGCACTTTGGGAGGCTGAAGAGGGCAGATCACTTGAGGACAGGAGTTCTAGACCAGCCTGGCCAACATAGCGAAACCCCTGTCTCTACTAAAAATACAAAAAAGTAGCTGAGTGTGGTAGTACATGCCTGTAATCCCAGCTACAGGAAGCTGAGGCATGAGAATCCTTGAGCTTGAAAGGTGGAGGTTGCAGTGAGCAGAGATCACACCACTGCTCTCCAGCCTGGTGACACAGTGAGACTCTGTCTCAAGACAAAAAAAAATTGCAAAGAGAAGTTAGGGAAAGAGGTGGAGGTGAAAATAATCTAAATATTTTAGTCTTCATGTGTGGGCATTAATAAATATTGCTTCAAAATAATAAAGCAAAAGGAGACATCTAAACATATTAAGATAAAACAAAACAAAAACAGTCAAATGATTTCCACTTCTGAAATGCATACTATCGTGTACTGCTTGAAATTTTATTTCCGTGTATATTTATGCTTTTTAAAATAATAGGTCTTTTATAATCACTCTCTGGTTTTAGTCAAACCAAAATTTGCAAAATCTGAGGTAATGCTAAAAGACACAGAGAGAAAGAAATCCAATTTTTCCTTTGCATAAAGGGACTGAGAATTTAGGGTGAATGTTATAACCTGACAGGTAATATGCGTATAGTAGATACTTCATAGGATTGTTGTTGGATTTAAATAAAATATTTCATATGAAACTTTAAGCTCAATGTCTGACACACAGTTAAATACAGAATAAATGTTCATGGTTGATCTTACTGTTGTTAAAACTATAATACTATTCATGTGAATAATAATAATATATTGATTAAAGTGGGAAAGGGCCTTTTGATGTTAAGCCACACTGAAATGATGAATTGTATATATTCGTTTATTAGTTCAAGGAATAGACTACTTCAGTATATTTGTATACCCATGCAATGGAAAGTTACGAGGCCATTAAAAGTGATTTTGAAAGACGTTGTTTTAATGTCATGAGAGGATAACAAAACTGTGTTTTTGTTTTGTTAATATATTAAGTATGATAAGTGAGGGCTAATAAATATTTATTGAATGAATAGGTGACCAAATACACACACACACACACACACACACAAACACACACACACAAAGTATCTACCAAAATATTAATATTGCTTTTCACCAGATGGAAAGATATAGAGTGGTTTCAATTTTCTTCCCTTTGTAATCTGCATTTTCTATACAATCTGTAACTGTTTTTATTACTTTTGTTGTACAAAGCAAACAAAAAGAGGGAAGGGACAACAGAATGTTATTTAAAGATATAGCAGAAGTTCTAAAACCTTATTCCTATTATGACTTGTCATTTTATCAGTGTATTTTGGCAGAAAATGCATAACTCTCAAAGCAAGAGCAGCTCTGGGCTAAGTGACCTTTGTTAGGAAGCCCCACTTCCTCCCGTCATCCCCGGCGACAGCTACAGGAATCGTTGACCTGATGCCTCAGAGAAAATAATCAAGCTTTGAAGGGTTGGCCTCAAAACCTCAAACTGATGATGAAACAGTCCACAGCCCAGCCTTCCCTGCCGCCTGTCACCCAGTATCCCCGGAGGCTGGCGTGGGATGGGACAGAGAACCACAAAGACGACCCTGCTCCTCTGGCCAGCCGGCTGCTCTTTTGTGCACCTAATTTATCCATGGAGGCAAATCTGATCCTAACTTAAGGTGGAGAGAAATTCTTGAAAATATTAAATATGGGCCAAAGCATTTCTTTTCCTGCGATTGGCTGAAAAGCTTAGTTTAAGTAACTTTGTAATTATTTTCACAAAGCACAGCGATTCCCACACAAATCGCTTGTTTGCTGAAGACAGTCCATGCTTTTGTCATGAGTTATTAATATCTATCTTTTGAGAATTTGGGGTTTTAATTTTTGATCTTTTTGTGACATTATCACGCAGGTCATTTTGAAACAGAATCTGCTATTCCAATGTTCTTACAACTGTGAACTAAAAAAGAGGTGTACCATTTTTAAATTATATTTTTCTCTAAAAAGGAAGAGATTATCAATCATCTCCACAGGCAGATGAGAAGGGGAAAGCCGGGTTTCTAAGAGCTCTGCCTTCAAATCCTCCAGCCCGCCCTCCCCCAACCCGAGCGTGTTCCTGCCAGATAGGAAAGCTATTTTGAATGTGAATCAGAGCCAGTCTCATTACCCACCAATTTTCTATAATTTTCAAATAATATTTCATCGTTTTAATTTTTTTTAAATGTAACATGGCTGCCAAGACCGACCACATTGACTTGCCTGACATTTTTCAAAGGAAGAGCTAGAGTAAAAAGAAAATAAATGTTCTTTTTTTTCTAATGAAATTGAATTGAAAGCAAAAATAATGGAAGTGGCTTTGCACAGGAGAAAACCCAGGCGCTGGAAAGCCCTAGGAGACTTTTATCAGAACTTATGGAAAGGGAAAAGTTAAATGACAGGAAGGATGATAAGAATAATCGTGGCCCCTCCGCCAGAACTCTGCACCCGGCTGAGTCCCCGTGCTTCTCCCATATTCTCTCACTGAGTGCTCGCAGCGACTCTGTAACACACTCGCACCGTCCTTGTTATCGGGCCCCTTTTACAAATGAGGGATGAAGAGAACAGCTGTTTCTACCAGAAAGAAAATCCCAAATGGAAAAATAGGACACGTCTTTGCTCGGCCCCAGTTTCAGATTTCCATCCATTCTCCAATGCAGTCCTCCTGCACGTCCGCTCAACGCAGGCCGGGGCGCACTGTACTGAAATCGATTTAGATTTTCCCATCGCTGCTGCCCACCTCTGGCCCTGGAAATGTTCCTGTCCTGGGTGGGGTGGGGCAGCGGGGCCCAGGGAAAGCCCTGTGGGCTGAGCATATTCTAATTCCCAGGAAAAAGCTCCGACCACCCGTCAGCATGATGGGACTTGAGTAATGGGGTGTCAGAGCCAAAAGGGACCCCCAAGATGACCCGGTGGAACTCTCTGTCTCATTGAGAAAAACACGGAAGTTCAAGGAAAAAAAGTAACTTGCTAGAGTCACCAGAGAATCCAAGGCAGAGCCAAGAAGGGAGCCTTGGGGATGGGAGGGGCAGGAGGGAGGGTTGGGGCCTTATAGTCTGCATAGCCCACCTCAGCCTCTTGCCTACATAGGATTCAATACATGCTCAGTGACTGTTGTCTTCCAGGTGGTCCGTGGCCTGTCCAGGACCATTAACTCCCACCTTGGGCCACTGCCCCCTTCCCTCATGTACTCAAGAAAACTTAGAAAAAGATGGACTGGAGAGTTATTCCATATCACACAGCAAACGTGCCGAGACCAAAGAACTCCTAAATTCTGCCCCGACACCCACTTCATATGGCAAGGGGAATATTCCTTTGACACACACTTACTGAGCACCTGCTCTGGGCCAGACTGAGGGAGGTCATCAGACAGACGAGACTTCTGCTCTCCTGTGGTCCTTCACCTAGTAGAGAGGAGAGAGCTGGGCAGAGCTGTGCCCAGCACTGCCACCTGCATCACGAGGGCATTTTCCAGTAGAGGGAAGATAGTACAGTTGACCCAGGGACAAGGGGGTTGAGGGTTTGGCAAGACCTTAGTTCAGCCAACCGCCATGAGGGAAGAGGGTGCCAGTGAGGGAAGAGGGTGAAGATGGAGGTGGGGGTGACAGGTATAAAGGGAAGGGGCACATCTCTAAGAGGTCAAAGCACAGGTATGATCAGACTGAGGGCAAAGGGACCCAGAAGGTTAGAGGCCTGTGGTCAAGAAGTGGGTTTCAGGATTTTCAGGGTGGTCTGCATGTGGTGATACACTCCAGCACTGTCCAGCCCCCCGTACTAGTGACCTCTCCCTGCTGGGGTGCTGAGAACCCCAGGAGCCGCCATAGGAGAGGGAAAGCCAGCAAAGCGGTCGATGGCTCCTCTGATCAACCGGAGCCTCACTTTCATCACTGTATTTTTTCTGGCTGTGCTAATTTCTTTAAACCTCCTACAGAGGTTCTTCTCTCAGTAACCTGTTTTGATTTTTCCCTTCACTCAGCCTTTGGATTACCTTAAGGATGTTCGTTCCTTTTTTGGGCAAAACAATTACTGTGCAAACAGACTCATTTTGTCTTGCCAGTTACCTTGAAGTTATCACTTCCACTTAAATAGAATCTGAGCTAAAAATAGGTGTACCGAAGTGGGTTTCCACCTGTCTCATCTTGCTTCCCGACACCTGCGGTCCTCTCCTTTTCAACGCAAAATAAAGCTGTGTGCGACACATCAACACCCACCAGCAAACGCAGGTCCATTTAGGCGAATGGACATCAGCGAACAGACACTTTTATCTTGCCTGTCTCCCCTTCATTTTTCAGAAAGCTAGGGAACAGAAGTATCAGAAATGCCAAGCTACTTTTTTGGCTATAGCTCTGAAGAAAGAAGGCTCTGAAAAGTGGTCGGCCTGTAACATAAAGATGTGGGCTGGATGTGCTGCCTTTTGAAATGTCAGGGTTTTTGTTGAATAGGCATTGAGTTGGATTGGAAAGGTCAAAGCTGACAGACTCAACTCATACTCAGAAAATCAGCTCACAGCTCCTTTTCTTCTCATCACCTCCCAAGTGGTAGGTTGCTAACGTCACCCTGGCTTTCGGCACAGCAATTAATGGCTTATGAGCACAAGCCAAAACATAAAAAATAAACCAGATTAAGAAACTGCTCTGTAAAATGTAATAGCTGTTTCATGTCCTCCTCAAACCTAAAATGGTTCATGGTGACTAGAAGTCATGCCTTCATTAAAGAAAGTCTTCGTTTAGGCAAATAATCAGAGAAGGTATCAGGTCCTGCCAGGCCCCAAGCTCTTTTTCTTTTCCTCACAGATGAAATCACCTGATTCTTGATACAGGCTCAGTTTCAGCTCAGGCACTGGGGTCAACCAGCTGCTGTCTGATGGATCTAGAAGCATCAGATTCGGACCAAACACGTGACTGAAGATGGGGTCTGCTCCATTCAATACACACCAGCCAGGGGCCTGCTCTGGGCCCGGCATGGTGCTTGTTATCGGGGGCGCTTAGACTAAAATAATACAGCCTCTGCTTTCCAGAATGTCTTCATAGGCCAAGGGAAACAGGCAAATAATCAAATAACTGCAGTGCAGGGAGGTGCAGGCTTTGACAGGGTGGCACAGGGTGCTTGGGGAACAGAGAATAGGAATGAGTCTTCCTTTGACTTTGAACCAAATCTCAGGAAATGGGGCTCCTGCCAGTTCTCTCCCATGGGGGTTCTGTATTCCAGCCCAGAAGCCGGTCTTATTTTGTTCTGCACACCTGGCTGTTCTCACATCTAGGTGACTGGCAGGTGCTGCCAACCTTCCCACTTTCCCCCTATCTCCCGGTGCTCTGCTCTGGGCACCCCTGGCTCACACCCTTGGCTACACACTGGAATCACCTGGGGCTTTTAAAACTCTGCTGCCCAGGCCACACCTTAGACCAATTAAATCACAATTCCGAGGGGTGGACTCAGGCAACTAGTTTTTAAAGCCTTTGTGGTGATGCCAACTTGCAGCCGAGACTGAGAACCACTCACGACCTGAGTGTCATCGCTCTGACCAACCCACTGCCATAAATACCCCCCAGCTCCTGATCCTGGGTCCACTGCCAGCTTCTGCCCACCTGAGAAGCCACACCCACCACCAGGTCCTAGGGCTTCCCACGCTGGCCCATCACCATGCCAGAGGCTCCCAGCACCCATTCTGACAGCTGGAGGCATCAGCGAGATATTCACACTTGTCAAGAGCAGTGGAAGGAAGCTTCTATTACTGGTGCCTAATGAAAGTTTTTGGAGTCTGTCAAGCCTATTTGCTTTGAATTTCTGCACAGATTCAACACCAAGAAGAAGCCCATGAGGGTGAACAGATTTGTTACACCAACAGCACCCGCCCCATGCATTCCTAGAATTCTAGGTATCAGGGAATGCTCCAGCATCACGTCTCAGTGATGTGGAACCAGGCCGCATGAACCGAGAGCGAAGAATGCTGCTTCTTGTTCCCGAGTGCCTGTAAAGGGCTCCTGCTCTAGGGATTCCCATGCAGTATTTCAATTTTCATTCATCTTAGCCCCATTTTACATGTGGAAAAAAAACTGAGGCCCAAAGAGAATAAATGAATGGTGAAGTTCATCCAACTGGCAAGTGAAGAGACCAAGGTTTGAATCCAGGCAGGACATCAAAACTTGAGTTCCTCCTACGACATCTACTTAAAGCCAGCAGTGTCCACTTCAGTTCAAAGAGAAAAGACTCTCGTCCTCAAGTTAGAGGTAGGTCGCCGGGGCAACCCCGGTTCCCTGAGCACCTCCTGGGTGCCAGGCTCTGTCCCCAAGGTGCCTTAGACAGACCCTGGCCCTCTGGCAGTTTCCAAGTTGGAGAGAGGAGGCAGGCTTTCCCATGGACAATCGCAGCGAGGCATCTGTGTGCCAGCTTCGGAAACAGCATTCCCTCATCCTGAATGTATCCAGTGGTTTAGGCTTTCCAACTGGCCTCCTGTGGTTGACCGGACTCCAGACCTGCACGTGGGCCTCAGGCCTTGGGAGACCCAGCCAAGCAGACAGCCCAGGAGAACCCACAGGACCCAGGAGGCTTCCAGCAGAAGCGTCTGGTCAACCTCCTCCTTGGCCTTTCTGAGCAGGCGGCCTCAGTTCCCGCTCTGGAAGCTTCTACTCCCTCGTCTGCTTTTTCCATCTGGTGGTAAAATTTTGTTCTTTTTGTTGTTTTTCTTTTTTTTTTTTTTTTGGAGATGGAGTTTCACTCTTGTTGCCCAGGCTGGAGTGCAATGGCATGATCTCAGCTCACTGCAACCTCTGCCTCCTGGGTTCAAGCAATTCTCCTGCCTCAGCCTCCCGAATAGCTGGAAGTACAGGCATCCGCCACCACACCTGGCTAACTTTGTATTTTTTTAAGTAGCGATGGGGGTTCACCATGTTGGCCAGGCTGGTCTCAATCTCCTGACTTCATGATCCACCCGCCTCGGCCTCCCAAAGTGCTGGGATTACAGGCGTGAGCCACCGCACCTGGCCATTTTTGTTGTTTTTCTCATTGGAATAATGTACTTTTTTTTTTTTAAGCCAGTACCCAATTATGGACAAAATAATATGAAAGACAAATGTAGAGCCTTGTTTGCATTTCCCGGTAGATGCCGGGTGAGGTGCAGTGCAGTGATTATTTCACAGTCATTATTGGCCTTAGGAGATTTTTCAGCCAAATAATTATTTTGCCAATAAAGGACCAAATGCGTTGCTTTTATCTTCACACTTTAATGTCTTCTGACCAAAATGAAACCGCCCCAAACAACACTGGGGTTTTCAGAAAGGGCCACTGGAAGGGATCTATGGCTCAGGGGTACAAACATCTCAGAGACTTGGCTTGATTTCAAATCCCATGATTTCTCAACAGTGTGGGCTCCTCACACAGGAGTCCTCTTAAAAATAGGCCGATGCAGCCTGCACTGCGCTCCGGCTCCTGCACCCTCTGCACTTTGCAGCGGGGGCTCAGCCAACAGCCCCCAGCCTGCAGCCCTCTCCCACCTCCCTGCCCTGTCCCCCTGCCCTTCCGCTGAGCAGGCGCTGTGTTCTCGCCTCCCCGAGCTCCTCCATCCTGCTTCCCACTACGCTCTGCACGGATGCTCCACGCCAGCTGGTGGCTTAGATGTTTTCTCGTTTCAAGACAGGGAGACAGACGGAGTGATCTCTCGAGGACCCTTCCAGCTCTGTGAGTCTAGGAATCAGGGGAAATGACAGTGGCCTCTCTTCCGGGAGACGAATCCAGCTGGAGCCATCTGGTCCTGGCTCGGCACATCCCTCCCTCCCTCCACCCCAGGCTTCGGAGGAAGACGCAGAGCTCAGGCTGGGCGACTTCCCCCAACAGCTACTTTTCTGAGCTCTGCTCTTGGACCGAAAAAGTGTTGTGCTTTTTGGCTCTGCAACAGAGAAGCCCCCTTTGAAAGGCAGAGCGCGTCAGCCCTGGGAAGTTATCTGCTCAGCCTGGCGACATGAAGCGCTTCTCCAAGGCCACACTGTTCTGGTGGCTGACGGGAGGACAGACACACAGCCACACGGTCCCCAAGTCAGGGACAGCGCCAGGCATTCTGGAGGGGGAGAGGGGTCACAGGCTCTACTCATCCTGGCTGGCCAGCCCTGGAGATAACGCCCCCGGTGGGCTGGTGGCTGTGTCTAGGTGCCGCTGCTAGAGCGCCCTGGAAATCTCAAAGACCAGACAAGGACTCGGTTCTCACTGTTCTCCTGCCCAGCTGTTTGTTACAGAGAGCTAAGACTCGGGGTGGCAGCCATAGGGCTCACTGGAAGAAAGGGCTACAAGCTTATCCAGCCATGAGACAGTGACTCCCCTGCCCGGATACATGTGGTCAAAGACTGAGGAAGCCCTTGTCACTGGCCCCAAATCCCTCCATGACTTTTGCCCAACACCATGAAGGTGGAAGCCTCCAGCCCCATATTTGAGGCACCCCAACATCTGGCCTTCCTGTGTTTCTTTGTTTCCTACCCATACAGTGCCCTTGAAGCATTAGTCCAACTGTTTGCTTCTGAGAGGCAGGTTGGCCCCAGCACTGTTCCTTTATTTTTGTCTCAGGCTCACCTTCTTCCAAACATTCCCCAGAACACTCCTTCTCACCTGGAGTGTCCATGCCACCCCGTCCCCTCTGCGTGAGTGTTCATTTCACACGGCCTTCAAGGCCTAACCCAAAGACACCTGCCTCCTTCTCAGTGCCCAGTCCCCTCGGCTGGCAGGAACCCTGTGTCTGAACCCTGTCTCTTTACCTTTCTTTCCCTTGGAGACAAGGTGTTACAGTCATGTGTGTCTCCATCTTACGCACTGTAGACTGTTAGCTTGTGGAGGGCAGAATCAATGTCTAAATAGCCTGTGTATTTCGTGAATGACGTCAATGATGAGGGATTATTCACTGGGTAAGGTGGGAAGGAGTAAAGTCAAGTTTTCTGCAGGTTCCTTTCAAGATTCCAGCCTAAATTAAACTTTCAAATTCTGAAGCACCTCCAGGTTTTACCTCTAATCATGCATTTCCCAAAGTATTTTCTAGAGAACACTATGTCAAGAACTCCTGGAGTGTCTGAGAAATCCTGCAGATAAGAAACCCATTTATTTCATGTAGTCCAGCACTGCCCAAACTTGCCAGAGCACAAGGCTTATTTCAAGTAATGACCATTAACATCTGGAAGAGTTTAAAGAGAGTACACAGGGTAAAACTGCTCTAACGGAGAAGACTGGTGGAGATCCCTTCCAGAGTGTAGCAGACCTCCGTTTTTGAAAACAATCCTTTATTCATTGGAACCCCAGAGGAATAAGACCAGAGAATGGAGGCAGGAAGCTATTGGACAAAGCCACTGCAGCCCTTCATCTCTAAGGTCTTCCAGAACAGTGGGCAACCACCCCTGCCCACTCCCACTTTTTCTTCCTTTGGGATTGGGAGGCCTTTTAAAGAGATAGAGACCAAGAGGCTAAGGACCCAGAGTAAGAAATAGATTTACACCGCGACTCAGTACACATGTCTGAGGCCATGGAAATATCTGAATTAAAAGTTGCAGAAAGCAATACTTAGCCTTGCTACATGCAATATAGTCAACCTGATATGTTCAATCTAATTCCATTTCATTTTTTTCTTAAATCCTGGCTGTGATCCACTGAATGGAATTCATAAGCCTCTGATGCGTGTCAAAGCAGGCCTGTGTCTGAGGGACTGGAAGCAGCCAGCAGGGGACTGGATGGGGAGCGCCTTCTGAAGGGGCAGCTCCTTCTCACACTGACGGCTTCCTGTGAGGAAAGGCAGCCTGTCACCCACAGAGCCTCGGATTCTTCCAGAGAATCTGGAAAGCAGAATATGCATGTGAAAGGCCTTGGTTTTAAATGTCAGCAAATAATATTTTCATATATGTAGGCCGGGCATGGTGTCTCACGCCTGTAATCCCAGCACTTTGGGAGGCTGAGGCAGGCAGATCACGAGGTCAGGAGTTTGAGACCAGCCTGGCCAACATAGTGAAACCCCGTCTCTACTAAAAATACAAAAAAATCAGCCAGGTGTGGTGGTGGGTGCCTGCAATACTAGCTACTTGGGAGCTGAGGCAGGAGAATCTCTTGAACCTGAGAGGCAGAGGTTGCAGTGAGCCGAGATCACGCCGCTGTACTGCAGCCCAGGTCACAGTGCGAGACTATTTTCTGAGACTCCATCTCAAAAAATAAAAATTGAAATTAAAAATAAAATAAAATATGTAAAGTACCATGAAGGCAACTTCATAGACAAAGGCCGCGTCCAGAACAGAAGTGATGTTTTAGAGGCTGCAGAGCCCATGATGGGTGAGGGGAGCCAGGCGGGGACAGAAGCTGGGACTGTGGTGGGATGGCACATGGGCTGGACTGAGGTCAAGGCAATGAGACAGCTGGGGACTGGACAGACCCCACAGCCACCAAGGAGGCAGAATCCACACATCCTAAATACTGACGAGATGTGGGGTCCTAGGAGGAAGGGAGAAAAGCCACAGGGCAGTGGTGGGCTAGGAGCCCCAGGAGGAGAGGGCGTGGGCACTGGGGTTTGTCTCCAGCAGGGCCAGCTGGAAGGCACGCAGCAGATCACAAGGGGGCCTGGGCTGTGGGGAGATGACCCGCAACTCCCCCAGGTAGCACCGATGGTCATGGGAGAAGGATGTCTGCCCAGCCCATGCTTTTTGAGATTTCTGCCAAAAGAGGGAAGACAAGATTGGGAGTTGGCATCCACACTCACTGAGCCCTTGTCAGGGTCCAACATGAGCAGTTTCAAAGAATTGTCTTATCTACAGAGACCTTAATCTCATCACGCACTTGTCTGCCAGGATAATGAACTTTCCCCTTAGAGTTCTAGAAAATTCCTCAGGAAATGGAGAGAGTGACTACGTCAGGCAGCAAGCAAGTGGAGAAGGGAAAGGAGCTCACACTTACTGAGCAACCACAATGTTCCAGGACCAGTTGGAATGCAACTGGAACAAGAGGAAATGTGACCAAGAGTGGCTAACAATTAAGAGTCTCTCTTCCTTGTGTAACTTGGGGGTAGGTTATCCCAGGCCAATGGCTGCTCAACGAAGCCATGAGGGTTCCAGCCTCTGTATCTCTCTTTGTCCTCTACCATCCTTCCACTGAGACTATTGCCCTCCTACTCACAAGATAGCTGCTGCACTTCCAGACATCTGTTTTCCATGTAGGAAGAAGGCAGAGGGCAAAATCCCTTCTTCTTTCCAAGAGTGAAAGCCTTCCCAAGTAGATCTCCGCTTACGTCCTGTTGGCCACAACAGGGTCCTATGGCCACTCTATGGCAGGTGTCTAGAAAAATCAAGTATTTAGCTTTCCAGGCTCTATAGAAGAATAAAAAAGAAAAGAAAAAAGAAATAATAAAAAAAAGAAGAAAAGAAAAAAGACCCAGGAAGTTGGGAGGAGCTTGTGTGTGGCAGGACCACAGTGTCTGTTGCAGACCCTTGATAAAGAGACTGGGGGCTAAGCCAGGGGTTTTCACTTCATCCTATGTATTCCAGAGAGTAGAGGACGGACCATTGCTGATTATCAGCATGATCAACAAAATGTGCTGAAGTTGAGGGACCAGGGAGAGAGGCTTCCAAGATGACTCTTAGATTCCTGATTTGGGAAACTTTATGAATGATCTTAACACTGGCCTCACTTGGGGCTGAGGGGAACAAGCTGCAGAAGGAAACCAAGCACTCAGCTGTAGACATCTTGAGCCCAAGGGCCCCAGAAAACAGATGCAGGGTCCCAGCAGGCAGGTGAATCTGGAGCCCCACAGAAAAGTCTAGGAGGAACACGCTGGAGCCAGCTAATAACTCTCTTCTGATTGGTTGACAAGTCAGGAGCAATAAATCTTTTCCAAGTTTTCCAGTTAGAAATCAGTGATGCACCTACAGGGACCAATCAGGACACAGCAGCTCCTGGGAGTGGGGCTGACCAGCCCCTGCTCACCCCAGGCAGCCCTGTCCCTGCCTTCAGTTCCCTTCTTGGCCTGCTGTGGACACCTCTGATCTATGGTCTCGAAAGTGGAGGTCATACAGAGGTTGTACAAGACACCCCATTGAGGAGCAAAATGAAAATATTAAAATCTTAGTGTATTAATTGCCTACTGCTGTCATAATACATGCCCACAAACAAAATGGCTTAAAACAACAGAAATTTCTTGTCTCACCATTCTGGAGACTAGAAGTCCAAGATCAAGGTGTGAGCAGGCCATGCTCTCACTGAAGGCTCTAGGGGAGGGCCTTCCATGCCTCTCTCCTAGTTTCTGGGGCCGCCAGCCATTCTTGGTGCCTTGACTTGTAGCTGCATCACTCTGGTCTCTGCCTCTGGTGTCACCTGGCATTCTCCCTGCGTGTCTCAGTCTCTTATTATCAGGATGCGAGTCATATTGGACTAAGGGTCCACCCTCCTCCAGGGCAACCTCATCTTAAGGAATTATACCTCCAAAGATCCTGTTTCCAAATAAGGTCACATTCTGAGCTTCAAGAGAGGACATGAATTTTGGGGGCACACTTTCCAAATTAGTACATTCATATTTTATTTTTACTTAATCTATTTTTAACTTCTATTTTTGTACAGAATGTGTTACTAAAGTAGTCCTGGAATATGTACGTTTCAATACATAACTACTGCATATATTGGCAATGCATACTCAATTTTTACTGACAGCAGTAACAACTGGAGAGGGTGAAGACCATTTGTCCCTGTGACAATCGTCCACATGAAGAAACTAAGGTGGCTCTTGGGTCAGACCAAACTGATCGGGGAATCTGGAGGCAGGGGATGAACCAGATAATTTCCAGCCCTTCTTGGTAGCTCTTCGTAAAGAGAAAAAAAAATAAAGCTCTGATTCTTCCCATGGTTCAAGGAGCTGCATCCCTCCAGACCCACTGCAGAAACAAGGAATCTTTTGGGCATCAAAAAACTGCTTGATATTTTGCTAAATGCTAGGGAGGCATCGTCTGGCCAATGCATCTGTTGATATGTTCTGTTATTTGAAAGCAAACAAGAGAACTAAAACAAAACCCAGAAAGCCATCTTGTTGATGGGCATCCTTCAGAGGCATCTCCAGGCTCACATGTTGATCGACACACATCTGCCTCTTTGCAGCTGCAGTGCTTCAGGAGAAAGGTTAATTCTAACAAAATTGAGAGGTTGTGCTCCCAGAACCCACACAGAGCTGGGTGGGCCCTTCTCCCCTTCTGACCTCCCCTCTGGGAAAAGTGCTCTCTCACCAAATCCCCCCCTCACTTTCATATTATCAGATGGGTTGCCTTGGGTACAGCAGACACTGTGGTGGCAGGGTGGGTGTGGGTCAAGGCACAGCTCCGGCTGCAGAGGGAATAAAGGCAGGCCTGGCCCAAACTAGGAGACAAATCTTACATATTTCGTTTCCAGAACATCTTGCCCAGAGGTGAGGTTGAACTTTTCTGTTTCAGGCCCTGTCCTCTCTCCCTTAAGAGAGACATCTTCCTCTCTCCTCACAGAGCCTTCCTTCCTGCTGAAGGCCCAGTCCTGGTAAGTGCAGCTGGCTTAAGCTCCTTGGTCCATCTGTCCAGCCCAGAAGTCTCCTGGCTCTCAGGGGAGCAAGCCTCCAGGCTCAACTAAGCTGTGTCTCCCTGCCCGTCGCTGCCCGGGGTCCTTCTCCTTTGTTTCCTGAGATCTCTTCTTGCTATACTGTACCAGTCAACTTGGCAGCACACTGTATTTTATGAATATGAGAAAAAAATTCCAATAAAGGCTTTTAAAAAAGAAGTGATGGCCACACTTCTGTATTTGTGGGGCGGAGCAGGGTTCCTATGGGAGGCAGATCACTCCTGCTGGAGAAAACATCTGACACCTGGGTTGGAACAGGCAGGGATATGGTTTGGCTTTGTGTCCCCACCCAAATCTCATCTCAAATGTAATCCCCATGTGTTAAGGGAGGAACCTGGTGGGAAGTGACTGGATCATGGGGACGGTTTCCCCCGTGCTGTTCTCATGATAGTGAGTGAGTTCTCACGAGAGCTGATGGTTTTAAAAGTGTCTGGCAGTTCCCCCTTCATGCTCTGTTTTTCCTGCCGCCATGTAAGACATGCTTTGCTTCCCCTTCACCTTCAGCCATGAGCGTAAGTGTCCTGAGGCCTCCACAGCCATGTGGAACTGTGAGTCAATTAAACCTTTCTTCTTTATAAATTACCCAGTCTCAGATAGTATCTTTACAGCAGTGTGAAAACAGGCTGATACAGGCAGCACCTGGGAGGAGCCCCATGCCTGAGGAGGAAGGTAGGGAGCAGAGCACTAAATCATTCTGCAGGATAAAGTATCAGGAATTTGGGGATCTCCACTGTTGGCTTCTTAGTGACCAGGGAAGAGGGTCAAGGTCTGAATAAGCAATTTGCAGGGAAAGAGAGGCCTAGAAACATAGATGAGAAGCCAGAGTCTAAGGGGGGACCCAGACCAGTGAGAAGTTCCCCTTATGAGGGGAGACCCACCCCTTTGTAGAGACAGAGATAGTTAATATTCTACTTGAGGTTCTAAATACCACCCTTCCCCCCATCTTGAGTGGCATCTTGTTTAAACAGATGGTAGCACTGACACGGTGAAGGAGAGAGGGTGCTATTCATCTCCTGGGCAGGGGGTGAAGGCAGAGAGGGCCCAGCAGCCCCAGGAGGCAGGTGGGCAAATTGAAGACTGAGAATTTAGTGGGAGCAGGAATGTGAAAGAAGAGATGACCCAGGAATCCTTGGACACTGGGAGAAGGCCCTGGGCTGGATAAGGGTTTGGGCCATTTTATTTGAATGTTTCATATAGAAAAACCCCATATGGATGGAGGCCTTGAGCAGATCTGAGTTCCTAAACATAGTCATTTCCCCAAGGCTGAAGCTGCATCCCACCGGACTCTTACTGAGTGTCATGGGTCCTGAATTAAGCTCAGCCAGCCACGTGTGCGAGAGGGACCTGCAGACACTGGCAGGGTGAAGCTGGGGCTCAGCCTCTCACAGGCTGTGCAACAGGAGCATGGGCTAGACCCACTCCTCCAACCCTGCCTGTGCCTCCAGGGTCAGGACCAGCTGGGA
This sequence comes from Homo sapiens, assembly GCF_000001405.40. Lineage (NCBI taxonomy): Eukaryota > Metazoa > Chordata > Mammalia > Primates > Hominidae > Homo > Homo sapiens. The sequence goes on from NC_000002.12 coordinate 10,990,809, forward strand.
GGGAAGAGGGCAGAGCCAGTCCAAGTTCCTTCCTACTCAGTGAGGCTCTCTCCTTCTCCGTCTGCCCAGGCATGCCCTCTGCTACCCACTGGCTTCCCCAGTGATGACACTGTCACTCCTCATCCCACCACAGCCACTGTGTTCTTCTCCTCCCAAAAGAAGAGGAAGCACCTTGTTATAGCCTCCCTGGGGGCAGAAGGCTGGGCACCCTGGTCCTTGGCCTTTGCCAGTGTGGGAAAAGGCAGGCCAGTGGTTTTCTGTAGCGTTTGGCTGGAAAAGAGTGATTGTTTTCCTGAAGTTTCTGTCTTGATGGGCTGCCCTGGTCCTTCAGCTGGAGGGAGCAGGCTTTTGTTCAGGGTTTTATCATCTGTGCCCATTGGGATTTTCAGCTCTTCTGCTCAAAATCTGGGATACATGAGGCATCAAGAAAACCCAGGGAACTCACCTTCGTGTCGTTCCTTGGGTTCTGAAATTTCTAAACAGTATGCCTTCTTTCCACCTTCCAGAGTCTCCTTATGTTTGTTTTTTATATGACGTCCAGGATTTTTAGCTCACTTAGTGACTTAGTGGGAAGAATAGGGAAAAATGTGTCTACTCCATCTTTCTGGAAGCAAGACTTCATTTGCCGTTCTTCATGGTAATACTTTTGAAGAAAGGTTTTATCTCTTAAAACTAATTTGCTCTACAGCCAGAATATTTTTACTTCAAAGATCTGTGTAGTTAACAAGATTCACTGAGCCAGACAGTCCTGACTGCCCTACTTTTTTCTTATCTTCATTTATTTTATTTAAAAAGTCCCTCTACGTTACAATCCTGAAGTCTGAACTTTATAATGAACTTTGATTTGTAAAGTATATATTTTTAAACCTCAAAAGTCAGTTAATAATGAGCAAGCTTCTGTTTTTCTGAAGAGGTGGAAGAGGAGGAGGAGGAGGAAGAAGAAGAAAACGGGGAAGAGAAAGAAGAGGAGGAGGAGGAGCCCTAGACTTCTGGGAGGGCTACTGGAACAGCTTTTGGGTTGCCTTTTGCCCCCAACTTCCCTGTTCCTTTGGGAATGACCTCTGTCCAAACAGCAATGTCATTTTGTAGATGCAGCCTAGTCAGTTTCCTGGGAGGAGAGGAAAGTCCTGCATCCTTTCCCAAAGCCTGTTACTATGACATGCTGCTGGGGAGCTGTGGGAATGAGCTGACAGGGAGGAAAGTGAAATCGGGGCTCTGTAGGAAGGAAGCACTGAGGAGCTTCCTGCAGGGAGGGAATGGATGGATGCTCAGGTGTCCAGGAGTCAGTGCTGCAGACTGACCGGAGAAAGGCCCCAGAAAGCCCAGGTTAGTTCCCGAGGCTTTGCAGCCCGGGAAGACTGAGAGCAGCTTCCCACAGTGCAGCGGCATGGCTCCACCATCTTCCAGAATGGCTGCCTGAGAAGCTCCAGAACAGACACCGAGGCTGCTATGCCCAGAAGGCAATTCCCAGCGCACACCGTCTTCCAGAATGGCTGCCTGAGAAGCTCCAGAACAGACACCAAGGCTGCTATGCCCAGAATGAAATTCCCAGTGGAGGCATCATTCATCATCCCTAGGGGACTTCCATGGGGAGAAGTGCCCCCAGATGCCCTGTGTAGAGGCCACACTGTCCACCTATATTGGACCTTTGTGGCCCACTGAGAAGGTGGCCCATCCTCGGGATCAGCATCCCACTACCTTCAGGGAAGGTTCCACCTTTTCTGCCCAGAGTGTTTCAGAGGACAACAAGGCCTCAAGCCACATCCCACCAAATCCCAAATCTGCCCACTAGGGAAGTCAGGGGACACAGTGCCCAGCGCGGGGGCATGCTGCAGGGAGTAAGGTACTACAGTCAGTCGTAGACTCAAAAACGAAATTTTAGCACAATTGAAAATTATCCTTGGTGGCGGGATTTCAGATTTCTTATATTTTGATATACCATTTGAACATTTCAGTATCCTATCCCCGCCTATGTTACAAATGGCCATGTTCTCTACCTCTCCTCTCCCATCTTGGACAGGTGGCCCACCCCCTGGGGGATGCATGGTCTGGCAGCTCCAGTCCCTGCCAGCCAAGCAGGGCACAGGGGGTGGGCATCCACCTGCCAGCTGCAGTGTTCTCCTTTCAGGCAGTGGCACGGACAGGAAGAACCAGCAGGACATCAACATACACCTAGTGACCCATCCAGAGGGGCCTCAGGGTGCCACAGACCTGCAGGACCCAAATCTCACTCCAGCAGGTGCCTAAGTCCTCCAATTACTCCCTGACAACCTCCCTCCTTTGGGACAAAAATCTGTCCCCTGTTAGTTCCAGAGCTTCCTGCCAGGGGCCACCAGCGAGCCAAGAAGTGGCCCCGCTCCTCATGGCTGCCTGGTGACTTGTACATTTCATGCGTTGTTTTGTTTCTTGCAGTCAAGTGGTGAGTGGAGGGAGGCGCCTCAGGAGCCCCACTGCCAGGGAGCAGGCGGGGAGGCTGGCCTTAGTCATTCTCCCTGCTTCGTTGGTCTCCAACTTTGCTCTTGGCCCATCTTGCATTGGGAGTCATAAGAGTGTAAACACTGTGCAATTTTCCTCTCTTCATTTTATTGGAATTCCTGAAGTCACAGACTTCACACATTCTCGTTGTATTTATAGCCCTGGAACATTCACGACCTCCAATACAAGAGATTTCCTCTCTGAACAATACTGCCTGCTCAGCCATTCATATAAACAGAGAAAGACAAAAGTATCTTCATTTAAAACCACAATAAAATACCAGCAAAACAAATCACCTCTGAAAATAGCTGAGGCAGTGTCATGGTGGACAGAAACCCACACGCTTTCCCTCAATAAATGCAATTTGGTCAGCTGATTCTTCAGGTGCACACAGGTGGGTCCCCTGGAAAATGCACACTTTTGGGCACAGGAAGCTGGCTCGGTGTGGCAAGAGGCTCAGGCTCAGACAGGAGCAGAGACGCAGAGTCTCACGCGTGTTCCAGGGCTGCAAACAGTGAGTGCTGGGTGGCAGAAGGCACTGCTTGGTTGGGACCCTCAATGTCCAGTTGGATTTTTGGGGTTCCCTTGGCTTCCCTGTGTTTCTGCTAAACTCCTTTCTTTGTGGTGAGAGTCCCAAGCTTAGCCTGTCTCAGAGTCCACAGAGGAGAGAAGCCTTATGAAGGGAGTGCGTGGGGTGCAGGATTTCATGTCCTCCTGTCTCTCCTGTTTCTCAGGGTGCGGACAGCCCCAGGAGGCATGCCCAGTCCCTGCCCTGCACCAGTGCTATGACTACGTCTCATGGGTTCACAAAATGTGGGTTTTTCGGCATCACCTGAACTCGGCTGGGTGAGATTTTTAATTTTTTTTTTTTTTTTGAGACAGAGTCTTGCTCTGTCGCCCAGGCTGGAATGCAGTGGCACCATCTCAGCTCACTGCAAGCTCTGCCTTCCGGGTTCACGCCATTCTCTCGCCTCAGCCTCCCAAGTAGCTGGGATTACAGGCATGCGCCACCACACATGGCTAATTTTTTTGTATTTTCAGTAGAGACGGGGTTTCACTGTGTTAGCCAGGATGGTCTCGATCTCCTGATCTCGTGATCCACCCGCCTCGGCCTCCCAAAGTGCTGGGATTACAGGCGTGAGCCACAATGCCCGGCCCGGGTGAGATTAATTTTTAAAGGGCTTTAAACTTGCACTCTGCTTACTAAACCCAGTGTGATTAGGATTCTAACCCGGTTCTCTCTTCAAGTATCTGCTCGGCGGGCTCCCTTGCTTCCTGAAGGTCTTTGTTTAAACATCACTGTCACTGTAGCACAACCTTCCTGACTTTTCTATTCAGATTTCTGTCCCCCTCGCCCATATCCCCTGCTTTCCCAACCCCCTCCCCAGCTTCATATTTCTCCATAGCACATATCACCATATGAGAAAAAAAAACTCTCTATTCTTTATTTTTTACTTACTTATGTGTCTACTGCCTGTCTCTCCCCTCTAGAGAGAAAGCTCAATGAGAACAGAAATTTTGTCTGTTTTGTTCACTCTTTTGATTGAGTCTGTCCCTAGAGTTTCCCTTAACAGGGGTCTAGCATGTTCAGCTAGGGGTGGTTGCTCACCAGCCTTGTTCCTGGCTAAACCTCAAACCTCCTCTTCTACAAAAGCCCTGGGAACATTTTCACTGGTCTCTAAATCACTTGAAGCCAAACTTTTCCTTGGCAGTGAGTTTATTTTTACCTTACGGATACTGAGAGTCAAGGGACTGATCATGTTATCCTGTTTCCCCATTCCCATCAGCTGCTAGGAAGCTCAGAGACAGGATGTTGCTGATCTCTAGAAGGTGCTTAGCATTTAGAGGCTTGTGTTTTGTATGATAATATAACTTCTGGCTTCAGCTCAGCTTCCTATACTCATTTTACCTTTTGTATATTGTTCTTATAACAACTTCATATCTGTATCTTAAAGTATTACCTGCCTCTTTGTAAATTTTCTCCTTTTCTGGAAAGAGGTAGATGATGGATGGATGGATAAAAGGAAAAATGGGTAGTTGAAAGGAAGGAAGGAAGGAAGGGAGATTGGCGAGAGAGTGAGGGAGGGGAGAGTCCTCCTATGCTAGAGTCTTGATCTGCCATTACCTGTGGCGTTGTGCTACAGGACCTGGTGTGCTCCCCCAGAAGGTGGGGACCCACTATCCTCCTGAGAGGCCACTGCCATGAGGCTGTGCATGTGGCATGGAACTCAGAGCCTACCTCCGGAGACCTCTCATAGGACAGCTCGTCCTGTTTCCACAGGGTCTCTCTTCTCCTGAGTCCCTGCTGAGTCCCCGGTGCCTCGGCATGCTGCACTGCGCTCATCTTCCTCTTCATCTTGGTCTTCTCTGTTTCATTTATAGCGAGGGGGACATTCTTTTCCTATGCAGACAGGAAGAAGAAAAGGAGGTCCAACAATGAGCTGCCATATAGGAGAGGTGAAACAGAAAGCCAGACCAAACATCTGTGATTCTAGGCATCGTCATGGGATTGCAGCAATCTCGGCCCTCTGGGATTCCATCAAGAAACCAAAATCAAGCAAAGAGGACTTGAGGGGACTGGAACAAAGCCCACGACTTCACCACAGAGAAAAGACACTCCGAATTAGCTCTTACTTCAGCACAGTTCTGACAAGCGTGGCCTCGTGGCTTTCAAGTTCACATTCACAACTTCCCGACCTTTCTTCCTTGCACTGGTGAAGCCCATTTTCTCTGGACCCTGTCCCACTAACATTCTGCATCTCACAATCATTCAGCACCAACCCCCTACTTTTCAGAACTAGCCAGTATGGTTTCTTTTTTTTTTTTTTTTTTTTTATTATACTCTAAGTTTTAGGGTACATGTGCACATTGTGCAGGTTAGTTACATATGTATACATGTGCCATGCTGGTGCGCTGCACCCACTAATGTGTCATCTAGCATTAGGTATATCTCCCAATGCTATCCCTCCCCCCTCCCCCGACCCCACCACAGTCCCCAGAGTGTGATATTCCCCTTCCTGTGTCCATGTGATCTCATTGTTCAATTCCCACCTATGAGTGAGAATATGCGGTGTTTGGTTTTTTGTTCTTGCGATAGTTTACTGAGAATGATGGTTTCCAATTTCATCCATGTCCCTACAAAGGATATGAACTCATCATTTTTTATGGCTGCATAGTATTCCATGGTGTATATGTGCCACATTTTCTTAATCCAGTCTATCATTGTTGGACATTTGGGTTGGTTCCAAGTCTTTGCTATTGTGAATAGTGCCGCAATAAACATACGTGTGCATGTGTCTTTATAGCAGCATGATTTATACTCATTTGGGTATATTCCCAGTAATGGGATGGCTGGGTCAAATGGTATTTCTAGTTCTAGATCCCTGAGGAATCGCCACACTGACTTCCACAATGGTTGAACTAGTTTACAGTCCCACCAACAGTGTAAAAGTGTTCCTATTTCTCCGCATCCTCTCCAGCACCTGTTGTTTCCTGACTTTTTAATGATTGCCATTCTAACTGGTGTGAGATGATATCTCATAGTGGTTTTGATTTGCATTTCTCTGATGGCCAGTGATGATGAGCATTTCTTCATGTGTTTTTTGGCTGCATAAATGTCTTCTTTTGAGAAGTGTCTGTTCATGTCCTTCACCCACTTTTTGATGGGGTTGTTTGTTTTTTTCTTGTAAATTTGTTTGAGTTCATTGTAGATTCTGGATATTAGCCCTTTGTCAGATGAGTAGGTTGCGAAAATTTTCTCCCATGTTGTAGGTTGCCTGTTCACTCTGATGGTAGTTTCTTTTGCTGTGCAGAAGCTCTTTAGTTTAATTAGATCCCATTTGTCAATTTTGTCTTTTGTTGCCATTGCTTTTGGTGTTTTGGACATGAAGTCCTTGCCCACGCCTATGTCCTGAATGGTAATGCCTAGGTTTTCTTCTAGGGTTTTTATGGTTTTAGTTTAACGTTTAAATCTTTAATCCATCTTGAATTGATTTTTGTATAAGGTGTAAGGAAGGGATCCGGTTTCAGCTTTCTACATATGGCTAGCCAGTTTTCCCAGCACCATTTATTAAATAGGGAATCCTTTCCCCATTGCTTGTTTTTCTCAGGTTTGTCAAAGATCAGATAGTTGTAGATATGCGGCATTATTTCTGAGGGCTCTGTTCTGTTCCATTAATCTATATCTCTGTTTTGGTACCAGTACCATGCTGTTTTGGTTACTGTAGCCTTGTAGTATAGTTTGAAGTCAGGTAGTGTGATGCCTCCAGCTTTGTTCTTTTGGCTTAGGATTGACTTGGCAATGCGGGCTCTTTTTTGGTTCCATATGAACTTTAAAGTAGTTTTTTCCAATTCTGTGAAGAAAGTCATTGGTAGCTTGATGGGGATGGCATTGAATCTGTAAATTACCTTGGGCAGTATGGCCATTTTCACGATATTGATTCTTCCTACCCATGAGCATGGAATGTTCTTCCATTTGTTTGTGTCCTCTTTTATTTCCTTGAGCAGTGGTTTGTAGTTCTCCTTGAAGAGGTCCTTCACATCCCTTGTAAGTTGGATTCCTAGGTATTTTATTCTCTTTGAAGCAATTGTGAATGGGAGTTCACCCATGATTTGGCTCTCTGTTTGTCTGTTGTTGGTGTATAAGAATGCTTGTGATTTTTGTACATTGATTTTGTATCCTGAGACTTTGCTGAAGTTGCTTATCAGCTTAAGGAGATTTTGGGCTGAGACGATGGGGTTTTCTAGATAAACAATCATGTCGTCTGCAAACAGGGACAATTTGACTTCCTCTTTTCCTAATTGAATACCCTTTATTTCCTTCTCCTGCCTGATTGCCCTGGCCAGAACTTCCAACACTATGTTGAATAGGAGCGGTGAGAGAGGGCATCCCTGTCTTGTGCCAGTTTTCAAAGGGAATGCTTCCAGTTTTTGCCCATTCAGTATGATATTGGCTGTGGGTTTGTCATAGATAGCTCTTATTATTTTGAAATACGTCCCATCAATACCTAATTTATTGAGAGTTTTTAGCATGAAGGGTTGTTGAATTTTGTCAAAGGCTTTTTCTGCATCTATTGAGATAATCATGTGGTTTTTGCCTTTGGCTCTGTTTATATGCTGGATTACATTTATTGATTTGCGTATATTGAACCAGCCTTGCATCCCAGGGATGAAGCCCACTTGATCATGGTGGATAAGCTTTTTGATGTGCTGCTGGATTCGGTTTGCCAGTATTTTATTGAGGATTTTTGCATCAATGTTCATCAAGGATATTGGTCTAAAATTCTCTTTTTTGGTTGTGTCTCTGCCCGGCTTTGGTATCAGAATGATGCTGGCCTCATAAAATGAGTTAGGGAGGATTCCCTCTTTTTCTATTGATTGGAATAGTTTCAGAAGGAATGGTACCAGTTCCTCCTTGTACCTCTGGTAGAATTCGGCTGTGAATCCATCTGGTCCTGGACTCTTTTTGGTTGGTAAACTATTGATTATTGCCACAATTTCAGAGCCTGTTATTGGTCTATTCAGAGATTCAACTTCTTCCTGGTTTAGTCTTGGGAGAGTGTATGTGTCGAGGAATGTATCCATTTCTTCTAGATTTTCTAGTTTATTTGCGTAGAGGTGTTTGTAGTATTCTCTGATGGTAGTTTGTATTTCTGTGGGATCGGTGGTGATATCCCCTTTATCATTTTTTATTGTGTCTATTTGATTCTTCTCTCTTTTTTTCTTTATTAGTCTTGCTAGCGGTCTATCAATTTTGTTGATCCTTTCAAAAAACCAGCTCCTGGATTCATTGATTTTTTGAAGGGTTTTTTGTGTCTCTATTTCCTTCAGTTCTGCTCTGATTTTAGTTATTTCTTGCCTTCTGCTAGCTTTTGAATGTGTTTGCTCTTGCTTTTCTAGTTCTTTTAATTGTGATGTTAGGGTGTCAATTTTGGATCTTTCCTGCTTTCTCTTGTAGGCATTTAGTGCTATAAATTTCCCTCTACACACTGCTTTGAATGCGTCCCAGAGATTCTGGTATGTGGTGTCTTTGTTCTCGTTGGTTTCAAAGAACATCTTTATTTCTGCCTTCATTTCGTTATGTACCCAGTAGTCATTCAGGAGCAGGTTGTTCAGTTTCCATGTAGTTGAGCGGCTTTGAGTGAGAGTCTTAATCCTGAGTTCTAGTTTGATTGCACTGTGGTCTGAGAGATAGTTTGTTATAATTTCTGTTCTTTTACATTTGCTGAGGAGAGCTTTACTTCCAACTATGTGGTCAATTTTGGAATAGGTGTGGTGTGGTGCTGAAAAAAATGTATATTCTGTTGATTTGGGGTGGAGAGTTCTGTAGATGTCTATTAGGTCTGCTTGGTGCAGAGCTGAGTTCAATTCCTGGGTATCCTTGTTGACTTTCTGTCTCGTTGATCTGTCTAATGTTGACAGTGGGGTGTTAAAGTCTCCCATTATTAATGTGTGGGAGTCTAAGTCTCTTTGTAGGTCACTGAGGACTTGCTTTATGAATCTGGGTGCTCCTGTATTGGGTGCATAAATATTTAGGAAAGTTAGCTCCTCTTGTTGAATTGATCCTTTTACCATTATGTAATGGCCTTCTTTGTCTCTTTTGATCTTTGTTGGTTTAAAGTCTGTTTTATCAGAGACTAGGATTGCAACCCCTGCCTTTTTTTGTTTTCCATTGGCTTGGTAGATCTTCCTCCATCCTTTTATTTTGAGCCTATGTGTGTCTCTGCACGTGAGATGGGTTTCCTGAATACAGCACACTGATGGGTCTTGACTCTTTATCCAACTTGCCAGTCTGTGTCTTTTAATTGCAGAATTTAGTCCATTTATATTTAAAGTTAATATTGTTATGTGTGAATTTGATCCTGTCATTATGATGTTAGCTGGTGATTTTGCTCATTAGTTGATGCAGTTTCTTCCTAGTCTCGATGGTCTTTACATTTTGGCATGATTTTGCAGTGGCTGGTACCGGTTGTTCCTTTCCATGTTTAGCGCTTCCTTCAGGAGCTCTTTTAGGGCAGGCCTGGTGGTGACAAAATCTCTCAGCATTTGCTTGTCTATAAAGTATTTTATTTCTCCTTCACTTATGAAGCTTAGTTTGGCTGGATATGAAATTCTGGGTTGAAAATTCTTTTCTTTAAGAATGTTGAATATTGGCCCCCACTCTCTTCTGTCTTGTAGGGTTTCTGCCGAGAGATCCGCTGTTAGTCTGATGGGCTTTCCTTTGAGGGTAACCCGACCTTTCTCTCTGGCTGCCCTTAACATTTTTTCCTTCATTTCAACTTTGGTGAATCTGACAATTATGTGTCTTGGAGTTGCTCTTCTCGAGGAGTATCTTTGTGGCGTTCTCTGTATTTCCTGAATCTGAACGTTGGCCTGCCTTGCTAGATTGGGGAAGTTCTCCTGGATAATATCCTGCAGAGTGTTTTCCAACTTGGTTCCATTCTCCACATCACTTTCAGGTACACCAATCAGACGTAGATTTGGTCTTTTCACATAGTCCCATATTTCTTGGAGGCTTTGCTCATTTCTTTTTATTCTTTTTTCTCTAAACTTCCCTTCTCGCTTCATTTCATTCATTTCATCTTCCATTGCTGATACCCTTTCTTCCAGTCGATCGCATCGGCTCCTGAGGCTTCTGCATTCTTCACGTAGTTCTCGAGCCTTGGTTTTCAGCTCCATCAGCTCCTTTAAGCACTTCTCTGTATTGGTTATTCTAGTTATACATTCTTCTAAATTTTTTTCAAAGTTTTCAACTTCTTTGCCTTTGGTTTGAATGTCCTCCCGTAGCTCAGAGTAATTTGATCGTCTGAAGCCTTCTTCTCTCAGCTCGTCAAAATCATTCTCCATCCAGCTTTGTTCTGTTGCTGGTGAGGAACTGCGTTCCTTTGGAGGAGGAGAGGCGCTCTGCGTTTTAGAGTTTCCAGTTTTTCTGTTCTGTTTTTTCCCCATCTTTGTGGTTTTATCTACTTTTGGTCTTTGATGATGGTGATGTACGGATGGGTTTTCGGTGTAGATGTCCTTTCTGGTTGTTAGTTTTCCTTCTAACAGACAGGACCCTCAGCTGCAGGTCTGTTGGAATACCCTGCCATGTGAGGTGTCAGTGTGCCCCTGCTGGGGGGTGCCTCTCAGTTAGGCTGCTCAGGGGTCAGGGGTCAGGGACCCACTTGAGGAGGCAGTCTGCCTGTTCTCAGATCTCCAGCTGCGTGCTGGGAGAACCACTGCTCTCTTCAAAGCTGTCAGACAGGGACACTTAAGTCTGCAGAGGTTACTGCTGTCTTTTTGTTTGTCTGTGCCCTGCCCCCAGAGGTGGAGCCTACAGAGGCAGGCAGGCCTCCTTGAGCTGTGGTGGGCTCCACCCAGTTCGAGCTTCCTGGCTGCTTTGTTTACCTAAGCAAGCCTGGGCAATGGCGGGCGCCCCTCCCCCAGCCTCGTTGCCGCCTTGCAGTTTGATCTCAGACTGCTGTGCTAGCAATCAGCGAGATTCCGTGGGCGTAGGACCCTCCGAGCCAGGTGCGGGATATAATCTCGTGGTGCGCCATTTCTTAAGCCGGTCTGAAAAGCGCAATATTCGGGTGGGAGTGACCCGATTTTCCAGGTGCGTCCGTCACCCCTTTCTTTGACTTGGAAAGGGAACTCCCTGACCCCTTGCGCTTCCCAGGTGAGGCAATGCCTCGCCCTGCTTCGGCTCGCGCACGGTGCGCACACACACTGGCCTGCGCCCACTGTCTGGCACTCCCTAGTGAGATGAACCCGGTACCTCAGATGGAAATGCAGAAATCACCCGTCTTCTGCGTTGCTCACGCTGGGAGCTGTAGACCGGAGCTGTTCCTATTCGGCCATCTTGGCTCCTCCTCCCCAGTATGGTTTCTTATGTGTTATTCATGTCCTCCCACCGGTCTGTAAACCAAATGGCAAAATAACATAATTTCCCTCCTGTTTGTAAGTTTCCCATTTCTTTTAAGCTTATTGATAGCTCTTGTTCTTTCTTTTGTAGTTTTATATAAAAGTTAAAAAAATACAAATATCTCTTTCATGCCATTATTATCAGGAAAAGTTGTGAGACTTCAAAGGCTTTAGGCCAAAAGAAAGAAAAGAAGCTGAATCCATCCTTAACTTTTGGAATAATCAGTTCCCAGTTAATGTGCTCAAGAATTTCCTGATTAAATGTGAACAGAGAGCACCAGCACCCACCCAGAGGACTCCTCGCATTAGAGCCGCCCCATCCTCAGCATCATCCATCATCCCACCCTCACAGAGCTCATCTCAGAGACCAGGGGCAGTGGCAAGATCCCGGGCAGAGGTCCTGAGCCCCAATGAGCTTGGTGTGTTCCAGCACAGAGGGAAGACTCCTGTGCAGAAAGGGAGTGAGGAAGGGGAGAGTGGGAAGAGGTGAGGAGGAGAGGAGGGAAGGGGCTGGTCTCACAGGGACACAAGAGCCCAGTTTGGGGTTCAGCAAAGCAGATGCATGGTTTGGAGCACAGGATAATAACCACTGTGGCAGCTGTGCAGAGAATGGGTCAGGAAGAGGGTGATGAGGCTCTTGCAGTGACCTGGGGAGAGATCAAGGCAGTCTTTAGCTGGTTATTTGATTACTTAAGGTGGGCTCATGGCAGTAGATATGGGAAATGTCATCTTCTCAAGAAGGAACTGACGGGATGCTGATGGGCTGGGCAGATGAGTAGAGGGAAAGCGAAATGAAGGGCACTGCCGAGGTCTCTGCCCGGCACTCTGCGTGGACATTGATGCCATCTGCAAAGGCAGGGGAGACTGGGAGAGACACGATGTGGGAGCTGCCAGGTAGGCTGCAGGGCACACAACATCTGAACCTCAGGAGAGTGGGGCAATCATCCCCATTGCATCAGACCATTGTGGCAGGCACCCCTAGAGCCAGCTAAATACCTAGTCTCATCATTTTACTTACTAAAAGAGCCTTGACCAGGGACGTCCAGGTGACATGGTATTCACTGTGGATTGAATTATGTTCTCCAAGAATGCAGGTTATATAGGGACCTGTGACTATGACCAGGTACCCAGGTACCTGTGACTCTGACCTCCTTTGGAAATAGGGTCGCTACAGTTGTGATTAGGTAAGATAGGGTCCTCCTGGAATAGAGTGGGCCCTGATCCAATATGACTTGTGTCTTTCTAGAAAAGAGAAGAGACACAGAAACTGGAATAGGATGAAGGCCATGTGAAGACAAAGGCAGAGATTGGAGTGATGGATCCACTAGCCAAGGAACCCCAAGGATGGCCGCCCACCACCAGAACCTGGAGAGGCAGGAAGGATCCTCCCCAGAGCTTCAGAGGGACCAGGGCACTGCTGACATCTTGACTTTAGACTTCTGGCCTCCAGAACTGTGAGAGAATCCATTTCTGGTGTTTAAAGCTACCCAGTTTGTGGTGCTTTGTTTTTGGAAACCAATACAGTGTCAAACAATGAAATATAAGCTCATATCCATGCAGGCATCCCTTCCCTTATTGAAAGGGCAGCTCTCAGACCCTTGTGCTCCCCTTTCTACCTGCCTGGGACATGTACAAACAGCAGCAAGTGTGGGGGCCACCAAAGCCAACAGCCCAAACACAGCAGGGCAGAAACACAGGACACAGCCTCCAAAATGTTTACCCTGCATAAGAGCCAAACAGTACGATCTCCAAATTTACACAGCCTGACATTTCTGTCAGACATCAAGGTAACAAGTTAGAGTTGCTGGCATCTCTTCCCAAAGAAATGAAAGAGGACATCACTTGAAATCAATAAGAATAAACCAGGATGCTTGTTATTATTTTAAAGAAAGCCATGCCGTAAAATCACAATAGACCAATTAAAGTCACTATCAGGAAACAGAAGAATAATCAGCACAGAGAAAATAAAATCCAGATTACAGTGAAGTGGATGATTCTGGGGGAAAAAAAAAGAACCAAGGCTGGGCACAGAGAAGGTTCAGAGAGTCTGTGATAAAATTTGCAATCAGAGTCTGCACCAACACAGTGTCTCATAAAACTTTTAAACCAAGTGAAAAGACTGAATATTCAGCAATCACCAAGCAGGAAAGACATGTTACAGTGACAGGTATGACTCATAGCTGCTTTTGATTTCTCCAATGCTCTCACTTCCCAAAGACAAAAGAATCACATCTATAGGCCTCAGCTCTGCAGAAAGGATATGCTCTGAGAATTAGTTACTCAACAAGTTGTCATCCCCATCTGAGGCTACACAAAGGCGCTTTCAGATCCACAGAATGTCCTTGTATGGCTTGTGAATCCATATCTCAGAGCCCGTAATAGACTCTGTTGCGTACAAGAACCTAATACACACTAAAATAAGCAGCACCAAACACTAGGGAAAAAAAAGTTATTCATTAAATTAAGTTAGGTTGATTTCATAGGGATTTGGAAATTCATTTAGAGTCACATTTACATTATGCTCCAGAATAGACTCCAGATGCTTGAAGGAGTTAAATCGTTTTAAATATGTGAAATTAGAGGGGAACTGGTTAAAATTAAATCTGAGTATTTACCTCAACTTCTAAGAGAGGCAAGCTTCTTCAAAATGGAATCAACAGAAGAAATTTCAGTGAAAAAGAGCATTTGGCTATTTCGCTGAAAATTAAAATCAGCAAAACCCAACAAACCTAAAATTTAAAATCATAAGAAACTATAATGTGTTAGGCACATATCAAGCGTCAGGTGTGGCACTAGGCACTTCCATGACCTCCCATTTCATCTTTGAGGCAGCCCCAGGAGGAGGCACCGTGACCCTATTGCACTCGTGAGGGAGAGGGGGCTGTGAGCCTCCCAGAGCCAGGTTTCCCCTGGGTCAGTCAGACACCGAACCCTAGTCCATCCTGTGTGAACAGAAGAGGCAGGAACTAGGGGGAGATGCATTTAACATTTGTGAAAGCTTATTACAATAAATTAGAGGATCACCAAGATATTCCAATCATGAGGAGGTAAAGGGTCCACACGTGACAATTCCTGTAGCACAGGTGCCATAAGCAGCCGGACAGAGGGGGCTTCCTGAGAGCCCCCAACCCAACATGCCTGGGGAGGGGTCTCTGGGAGGTCTGACCACTCTCAGGGCCACAGAACTCAAAAGAGAGCTGAGAGAGGCTCAGGAGACACCCCAAAAGGCCACAGTGCCCCCTGAGATGAGGCCTGGCCCCTGGGCAGGCAAGACAGTGTCCGGCAGACACCACCTGGGTGACCTGAGTGAAGCATGTGGATCTATCTTCAAAATAAGAGCTGTTGGGAGGGTTAAACGAAGCCACGGATGACAAGTGCCCAGCACCTGGTAGGTGCTCCAGGGCTCTGTCCCGGTTCCCAGCCCTCCTGGCACCTCCTTTGTGTGGAGCTGGAGGAGACCAAGGCATGCACGCAAGGAGCTTGTGACAAAGCTGTTGAAGCAGTGATGGAGGAAAGGGGACAGGGATATGATCTAGTGATCAGGAAGCTGCGTCTACTTCTAGGCTGCAGGTGTGAAGGGGGTTGTGGGGTGGGGGTGCTGTGTAGTGATAAGAAGGCCATCAGTACCCCGGCTGGAGGCAACAGCCCACGCATGCACACCTGCGCCCACCTTCTAGTCTGGTGCAGGGGTCTCCCTCGGCTACTCTAGCTAGAACCTGGCCAGCAAGGGAGCAGGGGTATATGTGGCTTCTAGGCTTCTAGCCTCAGCAGTGTGTGGTAGGCAAATAAGGACTCCTCTAAAGATATCTACATCCTAATCCCCAGAACCTGTGGATAGGCTGGGTCACACTGCAAGAGGGAATGAAGGCTGCAGATAGAATGAAGCTTTCTAATCACCTGACTTTAAAGTAGGGAGATTATGCTGGATTATCTGTATGAATCCTATATCCTTGAAAGTGGATGAGGAAATCAGAAGAGAGCCATCAGAGAGCAACACGAGAACTCATCCAACACCATCGGCCTTGAGGCTGGAGGAAGGGAGATGAGCAAGTGCGTCCAGAAGCTGCAAACGGTGAGGCTCCCACTCTCCCCTGCAGCCTCCAGGGAGGGATGCGCGTTGATTTGAGCCCAGTGAGATGTGTGCTGGATTTCTACTCTACAGAACTGTAAGCTAGTCACTTTGTGTTGTTCCAAGCCACTACGTCTGTGGTAGGGTTAGGGTTAGAGTTGGGGTTTGGGTTATCACAGCAGCCACAGAAAAGAGGGGTCACCAAAAGAGAGGCTGCCTGCGATGGGAAAGCCATGGACCCAGGACCCTGCATTACTGGAGCCAGGTCTCTCTGTTCTAGGGGCCCGGAGACTCAGAGAGGTGGTAGTATTAGCTCTGCTTTATCAATTAAGAAACTGAAGGGCAGAGAGGTCAAAAAAACCTGCCTCAAGCTACACAGCATTCTGCGGCAGTTCTGGGATTCGAGCCCAGGCAGCCTGACTGTGGGGCTGTATTCTCATCCACTCCCTAACACTGCCTGTTGCACGATATGCTGGGTGTTGTGTAACTTATATAGCAAAATACTAGAAACAATCTTATTGTCTAACACTAGGATTAAGTATTAATAAATCATCATAAGGCATCAACTCATTGGGTTTTATGAAGGCTTTCAAATAAATATGAGCACCACGGGAAAATATTGACAACGTGAAATGAAAACAGCAGAATGCAGAATCATGCTTACCTTACGATTACATGATGACAATATGGCAAGGCCTGAAGCAGGATCATGAGGAAACAGAGACCTCTATGAGGGTGGTAGGAGCAAGCAGCCTGCGTGTCCTGTGATCCCCTGCAAATGAAGGTGGCACCATAGTTAGCAGCATGGGATGCTCAGAGAACAGAGGGAATGTGTTGCCGGACAGACGGACTGGCTCCACCAGATACCACCTATGTTCTGTAACTTCTCAGAGCCACTGTGTGTCATGTACAACGGGAGTCATAACACCACCAGGTTCATAGAGCTGTGGTAAGCGTCAAATGAGACCATGTTTGCAAAGATGTGGTGGTTCTATAAACCTCAGCTCCCCCCGTGTCTCCCTGGCTTTTAAGGTTTTTTGTTGTCGTTGTAAACATTATAACATTTTTAAAAACTAGTCCTCCAAGGTTTATTTTGGAGGATTTCTGAGACTAACTCAGGGGGAAGCAGTGATGAAGAGGCCTCAACGGTCATGATGCCCATGGACCCGTCTTCAGTTGTGTTGAGAAGGAGAGGCTGCAGGTGTTTAAAACGCACAGTGCTGATGCATTTGACACAGTGCGCTCCTGAGGCCATCGCCATGGTCTCAATAACAAATGCCCGGGTGCGGGGAGCGGGGAGGGATAGCATTGGGAGATATACCTAATGCTAGATGACGAGTCGGTGGGTGCAGCGCACCAGCATGGCACGTGTATACATATGTAACTAACCTGCACATTGTGCACATGTACCCTAAAACTTAAAGTATAATAATAATAAATAAATAAATAAATAAATAAATAAATAAATAAATAAAAAATGCCCATCATCCTGATAGTGTCCTGGGCCCTTGTCACCCCCCCTTTTCACCCTCTGCCCAATTCCCAGGCAACCCTCATCTGCTTTCAGTCAAACCGGTGGCTTCTAATCAGCAATGTTCATTTGTCGTCAGGGATGGTCACTGTCAGAGTTTATACCTTTTTTTGTAATGAAATAGGAATGAAAGCATGTCATTAAGCACTGATGGGACAAGGCAATTTAGCTACCACTGGGTTGCATATTCATAGCTGAGCCCTAATTAAATAACTGTCAAAACAACTCCTTTTCAATATCTCCTCCGGTGTGATGTGTACGCAGATAACCAGCAGACGGGTGAGCAGCTCGCAACTCTCCCAGCTGTCCCTTGACAGGTATTAGACATCCAGGTGGAGCCTGTCTGCTTTTACCCATGACCCCAACACTGGGTAGTGCTATCCCTGCTGGCAGGTGCAGGCACCCTGATTTCTGATTTCCACCTCTCTCCTTCCTCTTCCCTGGCCTTTCCTTCCTCCTTCTGCTGCAGCTCCCCTGCTGTGGAACATTCGAGAGCCATCATGCATTCAGCATGTCTCACTCTATTTAAATAGGGATGGGAAAGAGCAGCTCTCTTTTTGGCTTGTTTTGTCCTAGTCTGACCCTTCTAAGATCAGAGACGGTCCAACTCCAGGGGGCTTGAGGCCGTGTCTCTGGGTATTGTTGCTGTGGCTGGAGCGATGTGCAGAGAGGCCTTTCCAGGAGCCCCCCTACCCAGTTTATCTGAAGCCAGGTGGGGTGAGAGGTGGGTGTGCGTGCGGACTCTGACCCTGGTTTTGAGCCTCACATTAATCTTAACTACGCCTCACTATTGGGAATAGTGCCGCAATAAACATATGTGTTCATGTGTCTTTATAGCAGCATGATTTAGAATCCTTTGGGTATATACCCAGTAATAGGATGGCTGGGTCAAATGGTATTTCTAGTTGTAGATTCTTGAGGAATCGCATTAAGAGATATACCTAATGTAAATGACAAGTTAATGGGTGCAGCACACCAACATGGCACAGGTATACATATGTAACAAACCTGCACGTTGTGCATATGTACCCTAGAACTTAAAGTATAATAATAATAATAAAAAAGCCTAACTACACCTCTTTCTTCCTTCTTTCTCAGAAATCCATGTGGTCCCTAAAACAGGTCTTACTCCATTTTTTAAACCAAAAACTATGAAGTCCCAGACAGGTTATGCACATGGCCAATGACACAGCTGTTAAGATCCCACGTTGGCTGACTCTTGTTCCCAGGTTTTCCAAAAGCCAAAATGTCCCAGTAACAGCTGACACTTAGATGCCATTTACTTTGTAGGCCCCTCTTGAGTTTCATGAAACCCAAGGAGCGACTAGACGATCCCATGGGGGGCTACTAGATTCTTGTCTTATATAGAAGCACAAGCACAGAGGAAGGTTACCTCTTCTGTCCCTCTGACATGAATGTTCTTGAGCTGGGCCTGGGTCCAGGTGACTGGAGATGTTGCTATGTGTTAAGAACGCATTAATTTCAGTGGCAAAAACCACAATTACTTTTGCATCAACCTAATAAATGTTACGCACTCTAAACCTTATTGTATATATTATTGTAATAAATAATTGAATTAATTAACATTTATAAATAACATTTAAATATATTAACACTTAATATTAATATCCACTGTTAATATTTGATACAATCAATGTTTTAAATTAATCATTAAATCTCTAATGAATAGATATTTATATTTGCTGAGCAATAACTTGATCATTGGTGAAGCTGGTGGTGGGTACACGATAGCTTATTTTACTATTCTCCCAATGTTTAAATATATTTGAAATTTTCCAGAGTAGGGAGTTGAGAAAAAATTAATGTGACAAGCCTTTCTTCCTTCCCCAAGGACACGTAAAAGTCTTAGAGCTTGTGGCTGCACCATCTTTTCTCCCTGGTGTGTTGTAGAAGGACTTGGAGGCCCCGGACAGATGTCCAGATGGTGGGTTCAAGTTCTGCTTAGTTTTCACACCCACACACATATTCACTCACTCCATTTCTATGGTGAAGTTCAACTTGTTGGTTTCCATTTTTAGGCCCTACATTTTTCTTATTTGGTCGGCTTAGAGGGACAGAGAAGGAAAGAGCATTTCTCATCCCGGAAGCTTGAGGGAGGTGAGGAGCCTTATTCAGCCCACCTCGTCTGGGAAGCCTTCTGGGAGGACCTGAAATCTGAGGAGGGCTTTGAGCTGTTTTCTGCAGAGACAGGAGGCTGTTCCCAGAATCCGTAGGCAGAGCCTGTGCAGGCACAGATGCTGCAGCAGAAGGAGGAGGCCAAGGGGACACAGGCCCGAGCCCCGCCCTTTGCTGCGTGAGACTATGGCAGATGCATCCATTCACATAACATCCACCCAAGCCAACGCCAGATGCTGGGACACAGGGAAAACCAAGGACTTGATCCTGTGCTCACAGACTCCAGAGCTCTGGGGCAGGCAGCATCATAAACAGCTAGACTAGCATGATGGCATTAGGAAAGCAGGAAGCCCAGGGAGGTGTGTGAGGACTGCAGGAGGCAGGCCACGTGCCGGAGGGGCAGACATCCTGAGAGACCAGAGGGGGTGAGACCAAGGGTCAGGGGTGGTGGGACGGTGGATTCCAGGAAGCGGGTGAAGAAGAAATGAAAGATTGGAGGTGAGAGAGCTCAATGTGTTTCGGCTTTAGTTCGACTGCAGTGTGGAGTAGTGGTGGGCAGGGTGGGGAAAAGGATCAAGAGATGAGGCTGGACAGTTACAGGGGCTCATGATAGTATAGCCCATTTGAGAACACACAGATACACTCTGTTTTTATCCTGGCAGCATAGAGGAAAAATAATGGAAGGGGCTAGATTGCAGACCAAGGAGGCCAGTTGGGCAACTGTTGTAGAATGAAGAAGGAGACGAGGCCATGGCCCCAGGAAGCATGGGCAGTCACCAGTGTGCACAGGCACTGTCAAAGCCCTGGAGGTGGCTGACAGTTCCCACTCTGGGACAACTCTGACGCCATTGGCCTGGTACCGAGAGGAATCATGCTGAATCCTGCTCTCAAGAAAGTCACAGCTGGACTATTCACAATAGCAAAGACAAGGAATCAACCACACAAATGGCTGTCAAGGGTAGACTGGATAAAGAGAACGTGGTACATATACACCATGGAATACTACGCAGTCATCAAAGAACAAGATCATGTCCTTTGCAAGAACGTGGATGGAGCTGGAGGCCATTATCCTTAGCAAACTAACACAGGAACAGAAATCCTAACACTGCATGTTCTCACTTATAAATGGGAGCTAACTAGTGAGAACACGTGGACGCATAGTGTGGAACAACACACACTGGGGCCTATCGGAGGGTGGAGGGTGAGGAGGGAGAGGATCAGGAAAAATAACTAATGGGTACCAGCCTTAGTACCTAGGTGATGAAATCATCTGTACAACGAACCCCCATAACACAAGTTTACCTATATAACAAACCTGCACATGTACCCCTGAACTTAAAATAAAAGTCTAAAAAGTGAGAAAGTCACAGCTGGGTGATAAAGCTTCACTGGCATTGCAGGACAGCTCTCCTGGGCCTTGGACTAACCCAGTTCTCCCCCTCTCTCACTTGTAGTGCCTGAGAATAACCAGAACGTGCTGGAGTACATCATGTTCTGGTTAGATAACGGGGGACTAACCAGAACAGACTGACTCTGTCCGAATCACCCCTGGAGACAGGAAATTCTTCAACACTTTAGCCCGGCAAGTCATGCTCTCCAGGGTATAAAACCCAAGGCCAGCTTCGGGCACTTGAAGACAAGACTCCATCCACCCAGGCAGCTTTCCCGAGCCTCAGGGGAGCAACTCCTCATGAATCCCAGGCTTCTGTTGTCTTTTGCTGCCTATCTATAAGAAATAAATCCACTTCATTTAACCTGCTGCATGTGTGGGAGTTTCTATCTCACAAAACTCAGACAAGTCGGTAACCAGTGCACAGTGACCCTCCTTCACAGAGGTTAAAGGGAGAAGGTTCATCAATGATGATTCTGAAAACTAATGGTTCCAAGAGAAGTTAGGGGCTAAGACCAACAAGAACTTACGGCAGGCCAGACATGGTGGGCGGCTCATGCCTGTAATCCCAGCACTTTGGGAGGCCGAGGCAGGCAGATCATCTGATGCCAGGAGTTCAAGACCAGCCTGGCCAACATAGTGAAACCCCGTCTCTACTAAAAATACAAAAATTAGCCAGGCATGGTGGTGCGTGCCTCTAATCCCAGCCACTTGGGAGGCTAAGGTGGAAGAATCAACTTGAAGCCAAGAGGCAGAGGTTGCAGTGAGCCAAGATTGCACCACTGCACTCCAGCCTGGGCAACAGAGTGGGACTCTGTCTCAAACAAAACAAAACAAAAAGAGAGAGAAAGAGAAAACTTCCCACATGCTGCTGGGGGGTTAGGGGATGTTAGATGCTCCCCAGCTGTGCTCCATGCAAAACCCCACCTTGCCCACTTATCACACCGTGTAGCCATCTTGTATTCGCTGGTCTGTCTGTGCCCTCTGCTAGCCTGGGCTTGCCAGAGGGCAGGGAGAGTGCCTGAATCTCCATCATCCAGCACAGCCCTGGGCATAGCGCATGTTCGTTTAGCCTAACTCTCTTCTGGCTGCTCACCCCAAAGAGCTCACGTGGGTCATTCTACCCATGCTGAGACTGGGAGAGGAGACTGTAGGCACAGGTCATATTTCAAGTATGAAAAAATGTTTCTTTATTGGCTCCCTAGGGTTTAGTCCTGCACTCAAACCTCAAGTGCTTCATTGTTTCAAATTTCTTCTAGGATTAAGCTGGTTCATTAAATCTGGTATTATGATCCCAGGACACAATAAACCACGAACATGAAATGACCACTGAGAAGCTTATGACTTTATCAATCTATCAGACACCCTCCAAACCTCCAGGCCTTTGCCTGTGCGGTCCGTTCCGCCAGGACAGCCTTCCGCCCCCAGCCCCTGTGGGTGGCTGGAACATTCCTAGTCATTGATACAGTTTCGTTTGTTTGTTTGTTTGTTTGTTTGTTTTGGTTTTGGATTTTGTTTTGGTTTTGGTTTTTGAGACAGAGTCTTGCTCTGTTGCCCAGGCTGGAGTGCAATGACAGGATCTTTGCTGACTACAACCTCTGCCTCCCAGATTCAAGTGATTTTCCTACCTCAGCCTCCTAAGTAGCTGAGATTACAGGTGCACACCACCACACCCGGCTAATTTTGTATTTTTAGTAGAGACAAGGTTTCATCATGTTGGCCAGGATGAACTCAAATGCCTGATCTCAGGTGATCCACCCGCCTCAGCCTCCCAAAGTGCTGGGATTACAGGCGTGAGCCACCGCACCTGGCCACTCATTGATATACTTTGGATGTATGTCTTTGCCCAAATCTCACGTTGAAATGTCATCTCCAGTGTTGGAGGTGGGGCCTAGTGGGAGGTGATTGGATCATGGGGGCAGATTTCTTATAGATGGTTTAGGACCTTCCCCCTTGGTACTGTCCTTGTGATAGGGAGTGAGTTCTTGGGAGCTCTGGTCGTTTAAGTGTGTGGCTCCTCCCCGCCTCATTCTCTCGCTCCTGCCATCCTGTGAACTGCTTGCTCCTGCTTCACCTTCCGCCATGAGTAAAAGCTCCCTGAGGCCGCCCCAGAAGGAGATGCCACCACACTTCCTGCACAGCCTGCAGAACCATGAGCCAATTAAACCTCTTTTCTTATAAATTACCCAGTCTCAGGTATTTCTTTATAGCAATGTGAACGAGAATGGCCTTATAGACTCATCCTCCAGATGAAACATCTCTGACCCCAAGGCAGCCTCAGATGCTCCTCCACCTTTGCTCCCTTCTGTGGGTTGTGGGCCAGCACCGGGCTTGAGAGTGTGGTCTTCCTATCAGACCACCTGGATGCGAAGCCTGGCTCTGCTACTTCCTACCTGTGTGACCTTGGGCAGGCTACATAACCTCTCTGTACCTTCATTTTCTTCTATACCAAATGGGCATAATACTAGAACTGATTTCATAGGATTCTTGAGAGGAGTTCATGATAGGACACATGCAAAGCACCTGGAATGGTGCCTGGGAAACATAGTGTTCAGTGAACGTCAACTGTGATCACTTATACACACCATTGCACCGTAGGCTCCTAGAGGGCAGAAATTCCATATTATCACTGAACGCTTTCCAAGGAGCGTGCTGAATGATTACATAAGAGAAAGAGAAGGAAGGGAACAGACAGGAATGATCAAATCTGGCATCTCAGATACAAAATTGTGCCTAAAGCAACAAGGCAATTTCAGTACTTTAAATGTAGAATAAATGTCAGAAACAATAACAGGCATTGGCCTTGACCTTGATTGAGCCTACTGATGAGTTACGGTCATGGTCTGTTGTGGAACACTTGGGACTGGAACCAAGCAGAGTCTGAATCCATCACTGGCAAGCAGAAGAAGCCTGGTGGGTGGAAGGCATGTGGATCTCACAGGTGGGGCTTTGGGTTCCTGCTCCTTTACTTATGAATTGAGTCGACTGGGGCAAGTTACAGAAACTCTCTTGGCCTCAGTTTCCTCCCAGGGATGATCCACCTACTCCTGTGTTTCAAAAGAACCATACTGATTCCCATAAGTAAGTGTCTAGGTATTCGGGAAGAAACGAGGTGCTCAATACATGCTCCACCTCCATACATAGCTCCCAAAACTCTATTTACTCTTCAAAATTGGAAAGTTTTTAAAAATTCATGAAACCTAATAGGTGTGCTCTGGAACAATCCTCAGTTCCCAGACATCAGTGAAACTTACACTCAACTTACATCAGCTCAAGTGACAGCTGATGACCTGTGGCCAACCCCACTCCAAACCCCAGGAACCTGTGACAACAGCACTTGGAAGGTGACTGCGAGGTACTCATTGCACTTCCAAAAGGAGGCTTCATGGCCAGGAATGGAAGATTGCTGTATCCAACCTCAAATGCAGAGCAGGGCAGCATGGCTGTGGTAAACTAATTATCAGTGCCAGAACTGAAAAATAAGAGAATTTACCCAAGTTCGGTTTGTTTTCCCCAACCTGAAAATAAACTAGTCTCCATGGAGCAAACATCTCATAAATTAAACATGTGGAATTTTCCTTCTCTTCAGTTCAAAGATTTAGCAAATATCTTATTAACAAGGGTGCTCAAAATGATTTTTAAAATAATCAAATAGAAGTCTAAATTATTGCTTTACATTATTTTTTCCAAGTGTTGGAGGACGCCAGATGGCTTGTAGGAATAAGGGATTCTGCAACCACCCTTTTATTCTTGTAAAAAAAAATAAGTGAATTATGAGTGGCCATGAATATTCTGGCTCAGGAACTCAAGCTTTCTAACAGTAATTACTGGCAGAGGGATAGAAAAATCAATTGAACGGAACAGAGAACCCAGAAGCAGGCCTATAGATTATATACTTAGCATATGACAAAGATGATATTCCAAATCACTAGGAAAAAGACAGACTAATCAACAAACGGTATTGCTACAATGGGCTATCCATTTAGAAAAAAATGAAGATGGCTCCCTACCTCCCAGGTAAATTCTGGGTGCATTAAATATCTAAACATATGTCTTTAAACATGGTGAAAAAGACTATGATCTTTAAAAGTAAAATAAGCCAAAGTAGCCATTTAGGGGTTCAAAATGAGGCCTCTCCGATGTCCAAGCCTGTGTCTCTCTAATGTTCTGAAGGGGATTTTCTTCCGTGGGCTTTCACATCTTTTGATGACAAGGTACGACATTTTGGTTCTTACATCAATGTCCCTTCTCACCACCACCCCCTACTCTAAGCCAAATAGCAAGATGGAAGAGCGAAAATAGAAATTACTAAGACCTTTGGCAAGAAACCAAGCTCCAGCCCCTACTTTCCTATATAGTCAATTTCAGTGCTTCTTAGGGACGTTTCAAATCCTTCTGGATGAGAGGAAATAGGAGGAAGAAAAACAAGGTTGTATCAAAATGAGAAAACATCTGAGATGTGCCTGCTAGATTGAGGCTTATGATAAATGCTACTTAAAGAGAAATAATGAAAACCAGGTAAATGACAAAGGCTTCCAGGAGGGATGACGACAGCTCAGGAAGATGAGGGGGAAATGAAACAAGCACAGAGGAAAGGAAGCTTTGCAGAGAGACAGAAGGTGGAGAGGGAAGGAAGGAAGCCTTTGTGTGTTTTTTTCATCTCAGAGAGAGAGAAAAAAAAAATCAACACCTAAAAACATACCCAACAGATAAAGACTCAGAATAGAACAAGAAAGATGAGCTTCAAAAGGAAATTTGTTTGTATGAATGAACAAGCGTTTAATGGGCTTCAATGCTTCAGATTTGCCCACTGAGCCTTTATGCCTCTCCACAGCTCTGCAATACTGCCCTCATTCTTATTCTTTTTATTTATGTATTTATTTCTTTTTATTTATTTAATTATTTTGACACAAGGTCTCACCCTGTTGCCCAGGCTGGAATGCAGTGATGCAATCTTGGCTCACTGCAGCCTCAACCTCCCAGGCTCAAGTGATTCTCCCACCTCAGCCTCCTGAGAGGCTGGAACTATAGGCACACACCACTGAGCCTGGCTAAGTTTTGCATTTTTTGTAGAGACAGGGTCTTACTGTATTGCTCAGGCTGGTCTCAAACTCCTGAGCTCAAGCATTCTCCCACCTCAGCCTCCCAAAGTGCTGGGATTACAGGTGTGAGCCACCACACCCTTATTCTTTACAGAGGGAGAGAAGAAGCCTCTGAAAGGTTAGGAGAGCTGCTCAAGGTCACACAGTTACTAACCAAAGTTGCTGGGACACAGACCTGAGCTTCTGACTTCATAGATGGGACCACTGCTATCACTTTACAGCTGCAGAGTTTAAAATTAAAAGTGAGGAAAAGGTGAAGTCAGGAATTGGAGAGTAGAACTAAATAATGTGGTTCCCTCGGAGGAGCAAGAGGGACTCCAAGGATCTATAGCCCTCCATGGAGGAAAAGCCGAAACCTAATTCTGGGAATTCAGTACTTCAAAGCAAATATTACGTATATTTGCTGGCACGGTTTCTATTTTTAAAAGCAAACTTTTATGCCAGAAAACTTGTAATTAAAGCCCTTACAAGCAGTATCCATGACTGCATTCCAGTTGCCCAGGGAAATGCCCACCTCCCAGCTCAGCCCAGGCAGCAGGCTCTGAGGGGCTCCCCCACCCAGAGCCGTGGAGACAGGATTTCAATGAAGATAAAGAGCCTCAACATTTATTTTTAAGGGATTTTAAAGTGGCATTCCCAAGACCAAATGCTGCTGCTTTTTAACTGTGTTGTCCCAAATCCATCTTCAGAAGGCAAGGAGACCCTGCAGAACGGCTCGCTCACAAGCACTGGAGGGCTGGGGGTTTGTCTGATTCAGCCCAGTTCTCTGTCTACACTGCTGGCACCCTGTAGTTTCAGACCAAACAGCAAGGGCTTGAGTGGAGAGCAGTTTTCAAAATCAGAGAAGAGCTCAGTCAGATGACTGAATTTTAAGCTGAGCCCAAAGATCAACACAATTCTTTTCTGTCGGGATCAGACCCCACCTTCTAAGCAGGGTTCTGCTCAAGGAATCCTGCAGGTCTCTGGATGGAGCAGCTGGGGAATACTGGGAAGAACACTGGATTTGGAATCAGACTAACTGGGGTGCAAACTCCAGCCTCCGATTTGCTAGCACCATGCTCACATATGTGAATACCTTCCTGTCTGAGACTCAGTTTCTTTCCTGGTAAAATAATGCAATTTATAAATTACCCTGAAACTGGGTAATTTATAAAGAAAATGAATTTATTTATCCCAGTTGGGATAGAGAGAGCTATGAAAAGCAAAAGTTACATAATAGGTGCTCAATAAGCATTAATCCCTGTGGGGTAGGTGACAGAGTCTGAACCTCTGCATTTAAATTCTGTTTTGCCCCTTGCCCAGGGGCAAATTAAATTCTGTGTGGCCCTGGCCAAGATTCTGACCTCTCTGGACCTTAGTGCTCATCTATGTAAGAACGGGGCCAATAGTCTCCAGCTCACAGGGCTCCTGGGGAGGTGAGAGGAGAGCATGAACAAGACCTGCATGGTGGGGCTTCCATGTTTCTGCTTTCCAATGTGCAACATCCAACCCACCTATTGAGAAAGGAATTGACGCGGAATGGCTTACTTTTGTGTTGGTCTGTTCTCTCACTGCTAATTGGCTCACAATTCCACAGACTGCACAGGAAGCATGCTGGGGAGGCCTCAGGAAACTTACAATCACGGTGGAAGATGAAGAGGAAGCAAGCACGTCTTACCATGGCAGAGAAGGGAGAGAGCACGAAGGAGGAAGCACTACACATTTTGAAACAACCAGATGTCGTAAGAACTCACTCGCTATCATAAGAATAGCAAGAGGGAAGTCCACCTCCATGATCCAATCACCTCCCACCAGGTCCCTTCTCCAACACTGAGGATTACAATTTGACATGAGATTTGGGTGGGGACAGAGAGCCTGCTTTCCATGGCTCGCCTCTCTGGGGTAGAAGAGGGAGGACCAGAGAGGTTTCCTTATGTGAGGGCCTGTGGTTCCTCTGGCCCAACCTGAATGTGCAGAAGTGCTCTCTGTGTTGCTATCGCTCTTGCTATTTGCATGCCTGGGATCCCATGAAGATCTTAAGGGGCTTTCTCCCTGCTCCTCCCAAAATAGTTCCTATGGCTCCAGCTCAGTCTCTTTAACCCCAGGGATGGTCCTGCAAGCAGAGTCAGGCACCAGCCGTACAGCTCAGGCCTAGACACCTTCCTCTGGGTTTTTTGAAAGCACCTTGGCTCAAGTAACCTTGCCCAGTGGTGGAGATCCAGGCCACGCCACCGTCTCCCCGCCATACCCTGCCATCTCTTTGCTTCTCTTTTCTCCTGCTCACAGTGTCAGATCAGATCAGCCAGCCACCATCTGAACAGATGCCCCCAGAAGGCAGAATGCAGTCTCCCCTGCCTGCAGGCATCCCTGGAATTTACAAATGATGCTTGTAGAGACCCCTTCCCTTGGTTTTGGGGAGGAAAACCTGTCAGTTCTCAGAAAGAGCAGGTGACTTCTTGCTGTGTGGAAAATCTCAGGGGGCATACAGTCCAGGCTTCAGGTCTGCCAGGAGCAATCCTGCTCATGGCTGTCAGCTCCTCCACCACCTGGCTCGGGAAAAAAAGGGCAGAGGGTTGACCAGAAAAGGCTGAATCATGCATCTGGTGGCTATGGAGCACCGTCACATAGCAGTCCCCTCTCC
This sequence comes from Homo sapiens, assembly GCF_000001405.40. NCBI lineage: Eukaryota > Metazoa > Chordata > Mammalia > Primates > Hominidae > Homo > Homo sapiens. Next base: position 11,019,033 of record NC_000002.12, read on the forward strand.
AGCCACATGGGCCTCTCTGTCTTCTTCATTCCCCAGACTGGCTGGGCTGGGCAAGGAATCCCATCTTCACAGACCCACCTCCTTTTTCTTCTTCCTCACGGATTTTTAACCTCTGTTCCCCAGCATTCATTTTTTTTTCCTTCATTCATTCCACAAATATCAAGGGAGTGCTTATGCTGGATCAAGTTTTCTGTTGGGTCTTGAGAATATGGTGAGCAATAAATCATGCATCTGCCCTCAAGCCCAGTGGAGGAAACAGATAGATGGTAGAACAAACCAGCAAATGGCAGGTCTGCCCCCCTCATTAGAGGGAGAAAAGAAAAATAGTAGAATTTAATCAGAATGAGCACATCAGAGATGGGACCCATTTCACCAGGTATCAAAGAGACAAGCCATCAACAACTATGCTATTCCTCTGGGATGGCAGCCAGGCCAGCCAGGCAGGAAAGAGCCTAAAACTCTATCATTGGGGTCTATTGTTACAAAAAGGGGCAAACCCAGAGCCAAAGGGAGACACAGCCCTTCCTTGTTCTGAGGTTAGACCATGGTGCCTCCAAGAAATATGAATGTGTGCCCTTGGTAAGGTGTGCTCACTTCTAGCTGACTTTATTAAGCAAGTCAGCTACCACCTTCTTTAAGGAAGAAATGGAACCAGAACGGGAACACTCACATTTCCTTCTGCCCATGGACCTAGAGCCAACCACCCCAGCCTGCCATGCCTGAGCATCTAGGTGGAGAAGAGCTGGAGGTGAAAGAGACAGGTCAGGCATTGGGGGAGCACCTGCTGGTGAAGGGTTGTCTCAAGGCAGCACAGGGTACAGTCAGGTCACCAGCACAGCAGTGGTCCTGCTTCAGCCTTGCCATGCCCTCTAGGCTTTGCCTCCTCTCCTTTGGAAAGAAGAGTGTGCCTCACCTTGTAATCCAGTGGTACTGACCTGGTACAAGCTGATGGGGCAGGGGCCAGCGTGTGCTTGGGATGGGGCTGTCATCCTTGCAAACCTCAGCAGAGGACAGACTGATTGATGGAGCATGTTTCCGCTGTCTTAGCCATTTTCTCTTGCTTATAACAGAATGCCTGAAATTGGGTAATTTATAAAGAAAAGTAACTTATTTCTTACAGTTCTAGAGGCTGCAATGTCCAAGGTCAAGAGGCTGCCTCTGGCAAAGGCCTTCTTGCTGGTGGGGACTCTGCAGAGTCCTGAGGCAATGCAGGGCATCACATGGTGAAGGGGCTGAGTGTCCCAGCTCAGGTCTCTCTCCTTTTCTTATAAAGCCACCAGTTCCCCTCTCATGATAACCCATTGCAAAAGAAAAATAAAATCCTAAGTCCCTCAACTGATGGAACAAACCCCCTCTCAGCCAAGGGGACTGAAGGAAATCTTAAAAAGAACTGAGCTCCCGGACATGACAGGACAGGAGGTTAGACCCGCCCCTTTCTACTCCTTCGCTAACCACCTTTCTTTCCTTAGGGATAAACAGAAACCAACACTTTTGAAAGACTTGCTCTGCTGCTGATATCCACCAGCCTCCTGATACCCACCCTCCATTCTGCAGTTTTAACACAGCACCAGACCAGCATTCCTTTTTGATAAGAGACCACTGGCCATGGAATGGTTCTGTTCAGTCTGCAGAGCTGCGCACAGAGGGTCTTCGTGCCCCTGCTTCACCTTTTGACGTATAGGGCCTAACTGTAACACATTTAAAGGTTTCTCCCTCTCCATCACAAAGGGAACATGGGACGTGTGTAACATACATGCTGGCTTACTATGCATGTGCCCATCTCCCTCTTGTGAATATTCATAGCTCCTCCTATAGCCTGCTGAATAGGTACACTTAGCCCACCCCTTCAGCACAAATTCCTGTCTCGTAACCTCCTCCCTAAAGGGATTGCTTTTCTGTTCAGCTGGAGGCTCCACTTTCTGCTTGCAGGTCGTGGTACCCTTCTTTAGAAATAAAGCCCTCCTTTCTAAATTTATAGATTTTGTGATACCCTCCTTTAGAAATAAAGCCCTCCTTTCTAAATTTATAGATTTTGTGACTTTTTCAGTTCACATCATGATTCCATCAATCCACGAATGGGTTAATCCATTCATGAGGGCAGAGCCTTATGATCCAATCACCTCTCAAAGGTTCCACCTCTCAACACTGAAGATCAAATTTCAACACAAGTTTTAGCAGGGACAAATATTCAAACCACAGCATCCACCGTCCCCAGCCCTCTGTGGATAGTGGTGTGGGGTCATCTTTGTTAGAGGCAGCCACGGAGGACTCTTCCCTAGGGACAAAAAGACTCCAAATCAAAATTGTCCCCCACCAATTTATAGCGTCTCATCCTATGGGATGGAAACTGGAATTGGCAGGGGAAACACCAGGGTCATAAAATCAACTCAGTGAAATAAACCTTTGTGTGTGTGCTCAGACAGAAGTCTATCCAGGGACCTACAGGGAGTCATATTTCCCTGAAGGAATTCCTAAGAATTCTTCCTCAGAGGATGTGGCCTACAGCTAGCTGAATCTAGAAAGCTCAGCAGAAAGAGAAGAACATTCCCAACAAAAAGGATACCTTAAGTCACCCATGTATTCATTCACTCAACAAACACCCGAGTGCCTACAAGGGACACTGTGATGGGTCGGTGTTGGCTTCTATTCTCCAGAAACTCATGGCCTAGTGGGGAGGGATGGGTAATCAGAGCTATCCGGGATGATGGCATGTTCATCTGTTTTGCATTGCTATGAAGGAGTAGTCGAGGCTGGGTAATTTATAAAGCAAAGAGATTTATTTGGCTCATGGTTCTGCGGGCTGTACGAGAGGAGTGGCAATAGCATCTACTTCTGGGGAAGCCCTCAGGAAGCTTTTAATCATGGTGGAAGGCAAAGGGGGAGCAGAGGTGAGAAAGGGAGACAAAGAGAGAGAGGAGGGGTGCAACACTCTTTTCAACAGTCAGCTCTCGTGTGAACTAACAGAGTGACAAATCATTCATCACCAAGAGGATGGCACCAAGCCATTCATGAGGGGTCTGCCCTGATGATCCTAATACCTCCCACCAGGCCTCACCTCCAATGCTGGGGATCACATTTCAACATGAGGTTTGGTGGGGACAAATATCCAAACCATATCACAGAGGAAGCAGTTTACAATGGCGGCTGTTCATGGTGCCGCGAGGAAGTCAAGGGATCGAGCCCCTCCACCTGCCTGCTCAAGGAATCGAGTACCTTCACCTGCCAGGAGGGGGCTGCACGGGCTTCACATAGAAGGGTGAAAAGAACCCCTGCACACAGGGATGAAGAGCAAAGACAGTCTTGAATGCCAAACTGAAGATTTTGAAGTTGGGAGCCACATGCTCAGACCTGCATGCTAGAGAGCTCTCAGGCAACTACCTGGAAGGTGAAATGAGGAGAAACAAGATTAGTTGGGAGACTGTTGTAACAGACTGAATGAGGGGAGGCGAAGGCATGAACTTCTTCCAAAGGAGCTCAAAGAAAATTCAGGATGGGGGCAAATGCAAGAGCAGTGGTGTCACCAAACCAAACTGTGTCCATTTGCACCCATACAACAGAAAGCCAAACACGAAAGCACTGGCTTTTTGCAGTGAGAAAGGCTTATTGTGAGTCGACTGAAAAGAAGACAGGAGGAAACACTCAAATCTGTCTCCACAAGCTGGGGTTTGGGTTGGATTTTATAAGCATAGGGTAATGAGGTGTGATCTGATTGGATCTTACAATAATGTGATGCCTGGAGGCGTGATCTGACTGGATCATGCGATGGGGTGATGCCAGGGCTCAATCTGATTGGATCCTGGATCTTGCTGTGTGGCATCTGCTTCTTAATTCAGTCCCTGCTCCTAGGTCCGAGCACTTAGTTCTGCCCGTGGGTGCATGCTTGGTTCATCTGGGCATGCTCAGGTTATGTGACCTTCAACCTGGGTGTCCATGGCAACTGCAAAACATCACAACTTCGTTACATAAAGGTTGAACCAAATTGGTCTGATGCGGTGATGGTGGCTGCCCTGCCATGCCCCGGCCCACCTGGAGGGTGAGGAGTGGTGATTCACAGAGGACTGCTCAGCAGGTGCCCAGGGTTTGCCACTGGGTCACTCATCCGGTCTTCATGGTAACCTGGTCAGGTGAGCAAGCGGGGTGAATGTCCCCACGTGGACAGAGGCTGAAGCACCAAGATAAGTGACTCACTGAAACCACATGGCAAGCCAACAACAGAGCCAGGACTCACTGCCCAGAGCCCCTCTGCATCCACCCCTCTGCCCTGCTGAGCCATCTCTGCTACAGAGTGCTAGAAGGTGGCATGCACCCCTAGGGGACATGAGGTCTCAGAATCAATGAAGACATTTCTCCTCCCAGGAAATGGTATCCATGCATTTAAATTAGTATCTTTATAATCAGCTTAAGGGCATTTTATTTTAATGTAGCAGCTGAGAGGCAAAATCAGGTCCCACTTTAAGTGCTACTAAAATCTGCTGTGTGGGCAGCTCTCCGATGTGGAAATGAAGCACCCTTAACAGCCACCCACATAACAGCCTAATTTTCACTCAAGAGTCGCTATTGAAAAAAAAAAAAGTGACTCAAAACCACCAGCAACTTTGAATTTAACTTCTGAAAACCTTCAGCTGGTGGAATGGGGGAGATCGTCCAAGAAGGCAGACTGAAGACCCCAGGGCCGGTGGGACTGGCCCCAGCTGCAGGCCTGGCTGAGGTCTTGCATGGGGGTTCTGCGGTCCAAGCTACACCTCAGTCACCATCACAGGGACGAGGGGCGTGCGAGGCCAGCCCTGGGCCCACGTCGACACCTGCCCCCGGAACCGCAGTTGTAAACGCACCACTCTGGCGGGCAGCCTGGCGGGTCCTAGAGGAGGCGAAGTCGGCTACGATGCTGTTCACAGACCCAGGAGAAAGCCGATTCCTTCTCTACCTCCACTGCAGCTCTCTCTCTCTGCTGGCTCATGGCCTCCTGCCGGGTCACTGGGACAGTTTGTCACGGCCTCCCTGCCTCCAGCTGTCACTACCAGGCTCCTCTTCCCTGGGATGCTGCAGTCCCTGAAGCAGAAGTTGGGCCTCGCGGTTTCCCTGAGCATCGTCCGTGTGAAGACTCCCGGGCCCTCTGGACCCGGCCTTCTCCCTGCTTGGCCCCGCCCCAGGTGCAGCTGGCCTCTTTGGGATGGCTTCACATGGCCTAAGCGCTGTAAACACACTTTGAGAGTAAAAAAAAAAAAAAAAAAAAGTGTGTGCAGAGGTAATCTGCTGTTATTTAGAGAAACAAAGCAAACAACCATGATGGATCAGAGAGAGCCTTTCCCAAGGCTTTGCAGACGGGTGGCTGCACATGGGCCATGAAACATGCTCGCACGTGCCAGTGGCCTGCACGTGACCCTGAACTCGGCACCGCCCTCCGACAGCGGGAGACATGCACACAGAACGACAGAAGTAGAAGCAACTTCTGACCCCGGGCTTTTAGCATGCTTTGTTGGTAAGGGACATTCTGACGCTTCCTTTGGGATCAGAGAGCCGTCTCGAGGGGCTCCACTTTAACACCTGGTGTGTTGCTGTGCTCTCCCTTGGCCGCCCCATCCCCACAGCTCCACATTTCAAGAGGCCAGATTTTGAAGGAGACCAGCTGCTTTTTATTTTGTAAGATCCATAGGATGTTTGGGTGTGTGACAGAAAGAGAGAGACAGAGACAGGAAGAGGGAGAGAGAACCATATTCACATATGGTTTTTAAAAATCAAACAATCAGGAGTGATATTTAAAAAATTCAATGTCTCCCACTGTCCCCACCCTCCAGTCTGGTCCCGAGGTTCTTCTGTCCCACCATGACGGGAATAACACAGGCATGCCTCTGTTTTGTCGGTTACCTCCCCACTCAAAGATGAATCATTTCGCTCACAGCGTCTCCTACCTTCCTTATCTTCCTTCCAGAATTGTTTAGTTATAACAACAGTTTTTGTTTCATTAATTTAATATCTTTAAAAATATACAGAAACCTCCACCTCTTGTTCCACCAATGATACCGGCGCATTTTCTAATGTCCTATTATGTAAGGTGAAGAAAATTATGTTCCCGCACCGCACCTCCTCCTCCGTCTCCCCAGCCCCCACCCACCCTGGCTTTTCATTTGTCAGTTCTTAGCCTACTCAGTTTTGTTCTGTATCTATCACGGACTCCCATTAATTAAACCCTGAATTAATGATTGAATTGCCTATTGGTTAATTCTAAAAACTAAAGCCAATAGAGGTTATAATGCTATCATTAGACAAGTACTGTTTTCTGCAAAGTAGTGCGATTTGCTTTGTAGAGAAGAAAACATAATTCCATGTTTCCATTACTAGGTCCTTCCCCCAAACAAGATGGTGACACTGTGGTGGGAAGGGTCCCTCATCCCGTATCTCACCTTCACTGTCACCTCACACTTGTGTGGCCTCCATCATTGTCTTCTGACAAGGAATCAAGGAAATCTAAAACGTGGGTTGCATCTGATACTTAAAATTATTAATACGCCGCAGCAGCCAACTGCTATGGGCTTGTTCCGTGTCGATGCCTGCAATCAGCTGGACTCAAAGCCCACATCTTGATGTTGGGGATTCTGTCTTGTCTGGTGCAGTGTCAGGAGCAGTTTTGTGTCAGCAGGTGACCCACCCGCCACAACACTTCCTGCTGCCTCCCTTCTGACCTTCCTGGTGGGAGATTCCTGAGCAGGCTGTCAACATAAAATGTGTCCTAAAATCCCCCTTTTATTTTCTCTTTTAATGCACTGAGTTAGTAGAAGAATGTTGACTGTCACGAACGCAGTAAAGTGAAGTGTGGAGGAATTCACATCCATCAATGAGGATCCTCGTGTGTCACTTGTCCATGAGGGCTTCAAGCCCCACTAAACGATTCTGGAAGGAGAAGATTCCGTGCACACAGGTCAAATGGATTCTGTCAGTGCTCAATGTCACGTCTCATCTTAGGTCCGCATATTTGAACCAGGATCTTTTACTTGTCGGGGTTCAGTCCCAGAGAACAAAACCCACTCTGGCTAGTTTAAGCAGAAAGGAATTTGAGATGTGAAATTATGGGCTTACGAAACTGCTGGGAGGGTTGGAGGCCCAGGCTCAAGGCCTAGCTTCCAGAAATGACTCTCAAAGCCAGCCCACCAAGGAAGCTGCCCAGGGAGGAGGGGAACAACTAGGCAAACAAGAACCAGGAAGCCACTGCCTCAACTCTGAGTCTCCAAGCCGTACTGTCTTGCCTTCGATCTGGGGGTCAGAATCCACTGCCCTCCCTCCATGGGCTGTGGGATCTCACTGTCTCATGTACCATCTATGCCAGCACCACAGGTGGCCCGTACCCAGCCTCTTAACACCCATGAACTAGAGGCCAGCTAGCGGGCCATCTGCCTGCCCCTGCTGCAGACAAGCCAACACCTCTCTATGCTGGCAGCTGGATCCAGCCTCCCGCAGACTCCTCCCATCCACATCGGCAGGTCACGGGCATCAGCCCGGCAGGAGCTAGGCCACAGGATGATCCCAGGCTGTGAGGGAGCCTGGGAAACATTCATAGCCTTTGGCTTTCCCACCTGCAACGTACACTTAGGCAGTGGCTCCCAAACTTGAACAGGCAGATCTGGGGTGGGGCTTGGAAATGAGCATTTCTAACCATTTCCAAGGCGATGCTGCGTAGCTGGTCCAAGGACCACACCGCGAGAGCCACTGCGCTCCAGGGCACAGCAGGGCGGATGGAGCTGGGGAGGCTCACCTGCAGCAGCCGCCACAACGACCTTGTGCAGATTTTGTTTCCTTGGTTTTCCATTAATAATTCCTTTTTCATTATTGAAAGAAAAATAGATGTTTTCATTAACACAGCAATCAAATCTTCCTGTTAGTTATCAGAGTTTGTTGAACAGAAACTACTTTTATTCTTTAACTTCTTACTTTCTTTCCTGCTTTCTAGACCTCCTGCAAGGCTGTAATCCTGACATTTATTTCCCCTACACACCTGAATTAGTTCCACAGTTACCTGGGCCTCAAGCCTTTGTCTTTAATAGGTTTCTTTTCATTCTGCTAGAGTACGTCCTTCAGTTGTGTGTGTATATGCATGTGTGTTTCTTTTAAGGTGTTGGAAATAAACATTTTTACTACTCCCATGTAGGAAAATATCTTTATTGTCCCTTAATCTTCATGACAGTTTGGCTGAATACAAAATTCTGGTTTCAAAATTATTTCCAATGAAAGTCCAAGGTGCGTCTACTGGGCTACAATCAAGGCGACAGCAGGGCTGTGCTCCTGGAGGCTCTGGGGAGAAGCTGTCTCCTTGCCCTTTCCAGCTTCTGGAGGCCGCCTGCTTTCCTTGGCCTCTTCTACCTTCCAGGCTAGCCCTGGCATCACCCGAACCTCCCCTCCTTCTTCACGTCCCCTTCTCTGACCAGCTCTTCTGCTGCCTTCCCTCAGAAAGGCTGGCGTGATGATATTGGGCTCACCTGGATAGTACAGGATACCCCTCCCCATCTCAAATTTCTTTTCTTTTCTTTTCTTTTCTTTTCTTTTTTTTTTTTTTTTTGACACAGAGTCTCGCTCTGTCACCCAGGCTGGAGTGCAGGGGTGTGATCTCAGCTCACTGCAAGCTCCACCTCCCGGGTTCACCCCATTCTCTGCCTCAGCCTCCCAAGTAACTGGGACTATAGGTGCCCGCCACCACGCCCGGCTAACTTTTTGTATTTTTAGTAGAGACAGGGTTTCACCGTGTTAACCAGGATGATTTCGATCTCGTGATCTGCCCGCCTCGGCCTCCCAAAGTGCTGGGATTACCGGCATGAGCCACCGCGCCCGGCCCGCATCTCAAATTTCTTAATCTCATCTTCTCAGTCCCTTTTGCTATGGAAGGTAACATATCCACTGGCTCCAGGGATTAGGAAATGGACCTCTCTAGGGGGGTCAGGGGAAGAGGCTGTGTTATTCTGCCCACCATGGTCACCAAACAGAGTTTTATTTATTTATTTATTTATTTTTATTATTTTTTTTGAGACAGAGTCTTGCTCTGTCGCCCAGGCTGGAGTGCAGTGGCATGATATCAGCTCACTGCAACTTCCACCTCCCAGGTTCAAGTGATTCTCCTGCTTCAGCCTCCTGAGTAGGTGGGATTACAGGCGCCCACCACCATGCCCAGCTAATTTTTATACTTTTAGTAGAGATGGGGTTTCACCATGTTGGCCAGGCTGGTCTTGAACTCTTGACCTCAGCTGATCCACCCGCTTCAGGCTCCCAAAGTGCTGAGATTACAGATGTGAGCCACCGCTCCTGGCCCAAACAAGAGTTTTAAAAAGAAGATAGAGAAATATGGCTTTATAACTCTCAGGTCCCTCATCCATAGACACACACACAGAGAGCTTGAAAGGGTTAGAGGTTGCAGAAGGGAGGAGGCTGTTTCTGGAGTGTTCTTGGTGTGCGGGGAGTCCTTCCTCCTGGAGGGGCTCCACCCCTTCACCTAAAGCAAAGAGAGATAATAAACTCAGAGGGTTTGTTTTCTGCAGTCTAGGGGAGCCCACCTGGAAAATCAGGAGGTCAAGCACCACCTGCTGGGAGAGCAGAGCAAGGTGAGTTCCCTGCACCAGCGGCCTTCACTCCCAAAGTCGACGCAGGTGGAGGATGCCTGAGGGCATCCTTGGACCCACTGGGGCTTGTGCCAGAGAGAGCATGTGGATTGTCATTGGTCCTGTCTGTGAGATCCTCTGGAGGGGTGGACAGGTGCTGGGATCTAAGGAAGGTTTGGGAGATCAGCAGGGAGAAGCCATGCTCACCCTCATAAAGGGAATTACAGGAAGAGATCCCTAATAGGGAGGCAGGGGACACCTCCAGCAAACACACCAACATCGCCAGAAAGAGGCATCTTTAAACACCTGACCAAACCAAACTAAAACTGGATCCATGCAGCCAGGTGAGGGCCCTCCTAACTTCTTGGGTCTTCTCCCTCCCCCTGCTCCATTCCCAAAATGTGAGAAACTGCAATTAGCAGGAAGTAGGGAAAGAGAAGCAACGGTCATGCCTCTCTCTCCCACCTGGGGTCACCTGTGCAGACCTCAGCCCAAAAAAGGAGAAGCTAGGCAAATGAGTGACTGGCTGGTGGCCACTTATCTCGACAAGAATAAGAAAAACCATAAGATTTGCCCTAAGTTTCACTCAGAGACAGGCAAAAACAAACAAACAAAAAACAACAACGACAACAGCAACAACAAACCAGCCCTGTGTCATGAATTCAAGGGGGTCACGTGAGGCTTTTCTGATTCCATCCCTGCTGCTCAGCTGAACAGGGACATCGTAGGTATTGCCTCATTATCTCCCAGCATCTGGTGTTTCTGTGGAGACGCCTGATACCAGTCTGGATTCCCATTCCTTTGAAGGTGTAAACATTTGCATGTTTTTCTCTCTGAAGCTTTGAAGCTCTTCCCTTTTTCCTTGATGTTCACATTTTCACGCAGTTGTATCTGACTGAGTCTGGGTCATTTGTTTCTTCCTTCTGTTCTGCAGAACCAGAGGGCGGTGTTAAAGAGCACAGGGTGGAAGGGCTCCACGAGTACTAAGTGAAGGCCAAGGCCCTGACTGCTGGTTTAAGAACCAGTCCATGCAGCCGGGCTTGGTGGCTCATTCCTGTAATCCCAGCACTTTGGGAGGCTGAGGCAGGTGGATCACTTGAGGTCAGGAGTTTGAGACCAACCTGGTCAACATGGTGAAACCCCGTCTCCACTAAAAATACAAAAATTAGCCAAGTGTGGTGGCGTGCGCCTGTAATCTCAGCTATTAGGGAAGGTGAGGCAGGAGGATCGCTTGAACCCTGGAGATGGAGGTTGCAGTGAGCCCAAATCGCACCACTGCACTCCAGCCTGTTTGATGGAGTAAGACTCTGTCTCAAACAAACAACAACAAAAAAGAACCATTCCATGTATCAGCACCTGCCAGGCATCGTGTGCCTACCTGAGTCCCATGCCCCCGTCTGCCTCCCGACAGGTGACCACTGTCCTGAATTCTGTTTATCATCCTTCGCTATTCTTTAGAGTTTGACAATATGCGTGTTTCTACACATTGATTAATTTGCATGTTTTTGAACTTTACAAAAACGATGTCATGCTGTGTATTCTTCTGTGAGTGACATATTCTGCTCCAAATTAGGCCGGATTCATCTGTGTTGGTGCCTGCAGCTTGGTTAGTTCATTTGCACTGTGTGCAGCATTGCGTCGTATAAATTATGTCACAATTCATTTATTCGTTTTCTTGCCAGTGAACTTTTGGGTTTTTTCCAGTGATTCTTTACATTACATTCAATTTCACTGTGGATATTCTTATACATTTCCTAGCATTCAAGGGTTTTTATACAAGAGTTTTTCTTTGAAGTAGAATTGCTGAATCTTTGAGTTCATGCATCTTCAATCTATTTATTAAATAATGTCAATTTTTTTCCAAAGTGATTGTACCATTTTGAGCCCCCACCAGCAATATAAAGGAATTGTTCCATGTCTTTGATACCACTTTATTATATTGTATTTTAATTTCTTGTCAATGGGTGGGGAATACTAAACAATATCCTACAATGGTTTGAGTTTACATTCCTTTATTTGCTAATATGGTTCAGTTGCTTTTCACATATTAATCGGGTATCTGTGCTTCTTCTGCAAAGTGCTTTCTTTTGTATTTTTTTCTATTGGGGAGCTTTTTCTTATCTTATTAGAAATTTTAATATATTCTAGATCTTTCGTCAGTCATGTGTTGATAATACCTTCTGCTAATTCATGTCTTATTTGAATTTTGTTATAGAGCTTGGATGAACAATATTTTTTTAATGCTGCAAATGTATTAATCTTTTCCGTTAGGGGTTGCTTTAACTAATTCTTTTCTACCCCGAGACCATGAAGATATTCTCCTATATCATATTCTCTAAGTTTTGACTTTAATAATTAAGTCTTTAATCCATTTGAGATTTATTTTTACATTAAGAGATAAAGTAAAGATCCGATTTCAGTGTTTGTCCTGTAGTTAATCAATTACTCTTCATTAAAGAGTCTGTCCTTCTTCCACGACCTTCATTGCCAGCTGAGTCAGTAGCCCGTTTCTACACACCTGCAAATCATTGGAGAGTTCCTCCAATTCTATTCTCTGTGCTTGCCTGCCTGTTTCTGATCCCACACAAAACTGCCCCCTCTGTGTGATGTGCTTCTAGATTCAGAGGGCAACCCCCACCCCCATCCTCCTCCAAAGAGTTTTAGGCTGGTCTTGGTCTATTATTCTTCCATATAAATTTTAGAATAAGCTCATTGAGTTTAGTGAAAAATCCTACTGAAGTTTTAAAGTTGGAATTCCATTAAATCTATGAATCATTTTTGGAAGAATTAACATCTTTTTTATATTGGGTCTTTATTTTATTTTATTTATTTTATTGAGACAGAGATTTGCTCTGTCATTTAGGCTGCAGTGCAGTGGCATGATCATAGTTCACAGCAGCCTCGAATTCCTGGGCTCAAGTGATTCTCTTGCCTCAGCCTCTGATGGAGTAGCTAGGAATACAGGTGTGTATCACTACACTCAGCTAACCTTTTTTTTTTAATAGAGACCAGAGACTGGCTATGTTGCCCAGGCTGGTCTGGAACTCCTGACCTCAAGCTGGCTTCCCTCCTTGGCCTCTTAAAGCACTGGGATTCCAGGCATGAGCCACTGTGCTTAGTCAATATTGGGTCTTTCTATCCATGACCATGACTTATCTCTGGGTTTTCCTGAATATCACTCAGTAAATTTTACCATTTTTTCCACGAAAATCTTACACATTTGTATTATTTCTGGGTAGCTGGGTTTATTTTTGATTGTTTTGTAGCTATCATAAAAGGTATTTTGTTTTAAATGACATTTTATAACTGATGCATGGTGTGTGAAAATGTAATTTTTTAATTAAAAAATCTAGTATCTTGCTGAACTCTCCCATTAATTCTAATAGTCTATCTAATCTCCTGGACTTTCTACATAACAGTCATCTCATCTGCAAAGAAAATGACAGTTTCGTTTCTTCTTTTCAAATCTTTAAAACTTCCATTTCCTATTCTTATTTCTCTGACTAGAAATTATTGTAATACATTAAATTTCACCCTGAGAGTGGGTATCCTTGGGTTTTTTTTTCTGTGTTCTAACAGGAATTATTTTAATTCTTCCCCATTAAGTAAGATGATATCTGTAAGGTTTTTATTTTTTTACAGATATTCTTCTAATTCTTATGTGCTGAGTTTCCTCTCCTTTTTAAAAAAATCACAACTGGATGTTAAATTGTATCAAATGCTTTTAATGCATTGGATAATTATCTATTGGTATCACTGTATTCTACTCTGCTAATGTGCTGGATTACATTAATAGAATTTCTTTTGGGGCAGGAGAAATTAAGGGCTTTAAAAAAAGTAAGATATATCTTGTAATCAAAATCTGCCTCTTAAATCTCAGGTGTGAATGGCTGACTGGATTGCTTTCCCACCTAGAAGGCAAACATATCAAGGCACAATAGTCATGTGATATGGACAAAAACCACAGACACCCGATGGCACCACTTCCCTTTTGGAGCAAAAGCTGTTGCTCAAAATGTGTGAGTCTGAGAGGAAATTCAGACATCCCAATCCCATCTCGTATGTTGCTTGGAGGAAAATATCTCAGGTGCTTAATACATTTTTGTCAAATTAGCCAGCTAATATTTAAATAATAAGTGTTGATTTCTTTGTTCTCTTGGAGTAACAACAATAAATATTTCTACCCCTTGGCAAAAAGGCCTGATATAGTCAAGAATCTGAAGTCTCATCACGACATCAGCAGAAATGGACAGTAAGGACCTCCAAACTTCCACTTCCCCATTAAAGTGACCTGAACACTGGCAAAAAATGCTCAAATCAATTTTTTAAAACTCTGGAAACTAACCAAAGGCTCACAGCAATGTTAAAGTGTTTATTAAAGAGAAGCAGCTGAATTTCAGTAAAAGCAGTGAACTTTGTGGGGTTGAACTTCTCTTACTGGCATTCCCCTCTTGCAGCAGCCTGGAAAACCAAAATCTCCACAATCCCAGTGAAAACCAACAGCCTAGCAGCCACTGGAAAGGGCAAAATAGGTTTGGGCTTCCCGAAAGCCTCATTACAGAGACTTTTCATTGTTTGACCTGTCTGCAGCTCTGGAAAGCCTTACTAGCAGGGCTTGTCTTTATATGACTTGACTTGGCATTCACTGAGCATGAATAGCCTTTTCTCCAGGGACATTTGTTGAAGACAATCAGTGGCAGTTGTTTAACATTACAGCTGCCTGCAATCATGCTACCAGTTGGGACAAACAAGAAGCTGACCAAAAAACATAAAAGGAAAAGCTGAAGTATCCAGAGTGGGCTTTGGAAAGTTCTGGCATGTTCCTAGGAACCTGGAAGGCCTTGTACATGTGTGACAGTGTTGCATGCCTGGGATAGATCTGAAAATGCCCTAAGTTCTCACCTCTGGGTGACCTTGAAGATCAGTATCATCAGAAAGAGAAGGCTAAGAGTTATCAGTTGCCTGGATGAATGTTGAAGGTATGAACATATGGTCAACAGAATTAGCCATGAAAACCACAAGGAGATGCCACTTCACACTCACCAGGATGGCTGTTATCAGAAATGTTGGCAAGGATGTGGAGAAAGTGGAGCCCTTGTACATTGTGGTATAAAATGGTGCAGCCACTTTCAAAAACAGTTTAGCATTCCCTCAAAAATGCCAACATAGATAGATTTACCATATTACTCAGTAATTCCATTCCTAGTTATATACTCAAGAACACTGAAAATACATGTCTGTGCAAAAATTGTACACAAATGTTCACAGCAACTTTATTCATAAAAGGCAAAAAGTAGAAATCAGATTCCATCAATTGATGAGTAAATAAAATGTGTTATATCCATAGAATAGAAAATAATTTAGCCATAAAAGGGAATAAAGTACAGATTCATGCTACAACTTGGGTCAACCTTGAAACATTATGCTACATGAAAAAAGCCAGGCACAAAAGGTCAGATATTGTATGATTCCATTTCCATGAAATGTCTGGAATTGACGAATATGGAGAGACAGAAGGTAGATTAGTTGTTGCCAAAGGCTAGGGCAAAAAGCAAATGGAAAATAATTGCCCTTGATTGAAGGGTTCCTTTTTTTTCTTCAGTCTTTCATGTTCAGCTTATTTTCAATTTTTTTAAAATTTCAATTGCTTTTGGGGTATCAGTGGCTTTTGGTTACATGGATGAATTGTCTGAGATTTTAATGCACCCCTCACCTGAGTAATGTACATTGTATTCAATATGTAGTTTTTATCTCTCGCCCCCCAACCACCCTCCCCCTCTGAGTCTCCATAGTCCATTATATGACTGTATACCTTTGTGTACCCATAGCTTAGCTCCCACCTGTAAGTAAGAATATATGGTATTTGGTTTTCCATTCCTGAGTTATTTCACTTAGAGTAATGGCCTCCAGCTCTATTCAAGTTGCTGAAAAAGACATTATTTTGTTCTTTTTTATGGCTGAGTACTATTTCATGGTGTATATATACCACATTTTCTTTATCCATTCATCGGTCAGTGGGCACTTAGGTTGGTTCCATGTCTTTGCAATTGTGAATTGTGTTGCAATAAACATATGTGTGCGGTGTCCTCTTGATATAATGACTTTTTTTCCTTTGGGTAGATACCCAGCAGTGGGATTGCTGGATCAAATTATAGATATACTTTTAGTTCTTTAAGAAATCTCTGGGCCAGGTGCAGTGGCTCACTTCTGTAATCCCAACACTTTGGGAGGCCAAGGTGAGCAGATCGCTTGAACCCAGGAATTTGAGACCAGTCTAGCAATATAGTGAGACTTCATCTCTTCAAAAATAAATTTTAAAATTAGCCAAGTGTGGTGGTATGCACCTGTAGTCCCAGCTTCTTGGGAGCCTGAGGTGGGAGGATCACTTGATCCTGGGAAGTGGAGTTTGCTGTCCACCTCCCAGGCTCAAGCATTAATGGTGCATGAGCACACCACCACTGCCCTCCATTCTGGACAACAGAAGAAGACTCTGCAAAAAAAAGAAAAAAAAAGGAAGGAAGGAAGGGAGGGAGGGAAGGAAAGAAAGAAAGAAAGAAAGAAAGAAAGAAAGAAAGAAAGAAAGAAAGAAAGAAAAGAAAGAAAGAAAGAAAGAAAGAAAGAGAAAGATTTCCATACTGTCTTCCATAAAGTTTGCACTAATTTACATTCCCACAGCAGTGTATAATCGTTCCCTTTTCATCATATGCATGCCAACATCTTTTGTTTTTTGACTCTTTAATAATGGCCATTCTTGCAGGAGTAAGGTGGTATCTCATTGCGGTTTTAATATGCATTTCCCTGATGATTAGCGATGTTGAGCATTTTTTCATTTGCATGTTGGTCATTCTTGCTGATTTGTTTGAGTTCCTTGTAGATTCTGGATATAAGTTCTTTGCCAGGTGCATAGTTTGCAAATATTTTCTCCCATTCTGTGGGTTGTCTGTTTACTCTGATGATTATTTCTTTTGCTGTACAGAAGCATTTTAGTTTTAATTAGGTCTCTTTTATTTTATTTTATTTTGCATTTGCTTTTGGGGTCTTAGTCATGAATTGTTTGTCTAGGCCAATGTCCAGAAGAGTTTTTCCTAGGTTTTCTTCTAGAATTTTAATGGTTTCAGGTCTTAGATTTAAGCCTTTTATCCATTTCAAGTTGATTTTTGTATAAGGTGAGAGATAGGGATCCAGTTTCATTCTTCTACATGTGGCTAGCCAGTTTTCCCAGCACTGTTTATTAAATAGGGTATTCTTTCCCCAATTTATGTTTTTGTATCCTTTGTCAAAGTCAGTTGATTGTAGGTATTTGGCTTTATTTCTGGGTTCTCTATTCTGTTCCACTGGTCTATGTGTCTACTTTTGTACAAGTACCGTGCTGTTTTGGTAACTCTAGCCTTACAGTATAATTTGAAGTTTGGTCATATAATGCCTCCAGATTTGTTCTTTTTGCTTAGGATTGCTTTAGGTATTCAGGCTCTTTTTAAGTTCCGTATGAATTTTAGAATTGTTTTTTCTAATTCTGTGAAAACTAATGTTGGTATTTTGATAGGAATGGCATTGAATTTGTAGATTACTTTGGGCAGTATGGTAATTTCCATGATACTGATTCTTCCAATCCATGAGCATGGGGTGTGTTTCCATTCATTTGTGTCATGTATTATTTCTTTCAACAGTGTTTTGTAGTTCTCCTTGGTTAAGCATATTCCTGGGTTGTTGGGTGTTTGTTTGTTTGTTTTTGTTTTTGTTTTTCTATTTTTACAGCTGTAAGGGGTTGAGTTCTTAATTTAAGTCTCAGCTTGGTCATTGTTGGTGTATAGCAGTGCTACTAATTTGTATGCATTGATTTTGTAACCTGAGGCCTTACTGATTTTTGTTATCAAATTTAAGAGTCTTTTGGAGGAGTCTTTAAGGTTTTCTAGGTGTATGATGATATCATTGGTGAGCAGCGATAGTTTGACTTCCTCTTTTCCAATTTGGATGCCCTTTATTTCTTTCTCTTGTCTGATTGCTCTGGCTAGGACTTCCAGTACTATGTTGAATAGAAGTGATAAAAGTGGGCATCCTTTTGTTGTTCCAGTTCTCAGGGGGAATGCTTTCAACTTTTCCCCGTTCAGTATAATGTTGGCTGTGGTTTTGTCATATGCGGCTTTTATTATTTTGAGGTAAGTCCCTTCTATGTCTAGTTTGTTGAGTGTTTTTATCATAAAGAGATGCTGGATTTTATCATATGCTGTTTCTCCATCTATTGAAATGATCATATGGTTTTTGTTTTTAATTCTGTTTATGTGATGTATCACATTTATTGGCCTGCATATGTTAAACCATCCCTGCATTCCTAGGGTGAAACCAACTTGATCATGATGTATCATCATCCGTTTGATGTGCTGTTGGATTTGATTAGCTAGTATTTTGTTGGGGATTTTTGCATCTGTGTTCATCAGGGATATTGGTCTGTAGTTTTCTCTTTTTGTTATGTCCTTTCCTGGTTTTGGTATCAGGGTAATACTGGCTTCATAGAATCAGTTAGGAAGAGGTCCCTCTTTCTCAATCTTTTGGAATAGTTTCAGTAGGGTTGGCACCAATTTTTCTTTGAATATCTGGTAGAATTCAGCTATGAATCCATCTCACCCTGGGTTTTGTTGTTGTTGTTGTTGGCATTTTTTAAAATTACTGACTCAACTCACTGCTTGTTATTGGTCTGTTCAGGGTTTCTGTTTCTTCTTGATTTAATCTAGGAGGAGTGTATGTTTCCAGTAATTTATCAAGTTCCTTTAGACTTTCTAGTTTATATGCATTGAGGTGTTCATAGTAGTCTCAAATGATTTTTTTGTATTTCTGTGGTGTCAGTTGTAGTGTCTCCAATTTCATTTCTAGTTAACTTTATTTGAATTTCTCTCTTTTCTTGGTTAATGTAGTGAATGGCATGTCAATTTTGTTTATCTTTTCAAAGAACCAGCTTTTTGTTTCATTGATCTTTTGTATTTCTTTGTTTCAATTTCATTTAGTTCTACTCTTATCTTTGTTATTTATTTTATTCTGCTAGCTTTGGCTTTAGTTTGTTCTTGTTTCTGTAGTTCCTTAAGATGTGACATTAGGTTGTTAATTTGTAGTCTTTCATACCTTTTGATGTAGGTATTTAGTGCTATAAACTTTCCTCTTAGCACAGCTTTTGCTGTGTCCCAGAGGTTTTTATAACTTGTGTCGTTATTATCATTCACTTCAAGGAATTTTTAAATTTCCATCTTGATTTCATTGTTACCCCCAAAATCATTCAGTAACAGATTGTTTAATTTCCATTCATTTGTGTAGTTTTGAAGGTTCCTTTCATAGTTGATTTCTAGTTTTATTCCACCATGGTCTGAGAATATATTAATACTTGATATGATTTCAATATTTTTAAATGTATTGGGACTTGTTTGGGGAGTTATCATATAATCTATCTTGGAGAATATTCCATGTGCTGAAGAGAAGAATGTATATTCTGCTGTTCTTGGGTAGAATGTTCTGTAAATATCTGCTAGATGCATTTGTTCTAGAGTATAGTTGAAGTCCATTATTTCTTTGTTGACCTTCTGTCTCAATGATCTCTTTAGTGCTATCAGTAGAGTGTTGAAGTCCCCCACTATTATTGTGTTGCTGTCTGTCTCATTTCTTAGGTCTAGTAGTAAATGTTTTATGAATCTAAGAGCCCCAGCGTTAGGTGGATATGAATTTAGGATTATAATATTCTCTTGTTAGATTGATTTTTTTTGTTATTATATAATGACCTTCTTTGTCTTTTTTTATTGTTGTTGCTTTAAGGTCTATTTTATCTGATATAAGCATAGCTACTCCTGCTCACTTTTGGTTTCCATTTGCATGGAATATCTTTTTCCATTTCTTTACCTTGAGTTTTTATGAATCCTTATATGTTAGGTGAGCCTCTTGAAGACAGCAGATATTTGGTTTGTGGTTTTTCATCCATTCTGCAAATTTGTATCTTTTAAATGGGACATTTAGGCCATTTACAGTCAACATTAATACTGAGATGTGAGGTACTGTTCCAGTCATCATCTTAGTTGTTTCCTAGATACTTTTTTTTAATTGTGTTATTATTTTGTAGGCCCTGTGACTTTTAGGCTTTCAAGAGGTTCTATTCTGGCTCATATCAATCTTTTGTTTAAGGATTTAGAACTCCTTTTAGCATTTTATGCAAGGCTGGTCTAGTAGTGACAAATTCCCTCAGCATTTGTTTGTCTGAAAATGGCTTTGTTTCTCCTTCGTTTAGGAAAGAGTTTTGCTGGATACAAAATTCTTGGCTAACAGGTATTTTGTTTAAGGAGGCTAAAGATAGGATCCCAAACCCTTCTGGCTTGTAAAGTTTCTGGTGCAAAGTCTGCTGTTAGTCTGATAAGTATTCCTTTATGGGTTACCTGGTGCTTTTGTCTCACTGCTTTCAGAATTCTTTCAAGTGAAGGGTTTCTTTTAGGGGTGATGAAAACCTTTAGATAGTGATATTGGTTGCACATCTTTATAAATATACCAAAAGCTGTTGAATTGTGCACATCAATGAGTAAATTTATAGTATGCCAGTTATACTTCAGTAAAAATAATCTGAATCTCTATTTTCAGATTTCAACACCTGTGTTGCCAAGGTTGGACTATTACAGGGTGTAACTTTTTGGTGGGTTCCAATATAATTCACACCTTCCTCTGGAGTTTTCTCCTAGAAGAAAACAGAAAGAACTGCCATGGGTTGCCCTTTTCTGTTTTCCTTTTTAATGGCCTCTGGTTTTTATTTTATGGAAAAAGTATTTTATTAGATAACTCTGAAATACCAATTGTATCTTCTTTAAGTTATCTTTTGCACATCTCTGTTTCCTCCAGGATTTGTTCCTGTTGGTGTCTTTCTCTTATACATTTGTTTTGCTGAATGTGTGGTGCTATTTAGTTGTCCTTTTAGGTTTATGAAAGAAGGCCTTGGTTGAATAATATAAATCACTAGTACGAAGTGCCTCATCTTCCAGGTGGCTCTGTTTCCCCCAGGTGCCTGGGCATGGGGTTGAAGCATGCATATGGCAAACTTTATTTTGACTCAAGATGAAAAGCAGGTGAGTTTGGCAATGCCCTCCCCTCCTACCAGAGTTAGGGTGGCTTTCCCTGGGCCAGAACTCACATTGCAAGATTTAGTCCTTCCCTGGTAAATAGTTCATTTTCTTACTGTTTCTCTTCTCTTAATCTGAGGCCAACTCCACGGCTGGTGCATAGTTCTGTGTGGGTCCCATATATCCCCTCTCCTCCCTCCCTGCCTCCTCCATGATCAGGGGAGGGAACAGCTTCCGTTTCTGCTGCAGTCACTCTGGGCTCTACTCTGCTTCACCCATCAGTACAATCCTCTCTGCCCTCCATGTTCTTCAAATTCATAAAAATCTCTTGCCTCCTAACAACTGTTCTCCACCCCAGTCTTTTGTTGTTATTAATTTTACACTTCTTTACTACTATTTCAGAGGAGATTTGGGAGTCAGGAAAGATAAATGCAGGTGCTCAGCCACTACTTTAAACTGGGACCCATCATATCACTAATGTCTTTTAAGTCATCCAGGACACTCATCAGAGACAGAATTATGGGTCTCTTGCTTCCTGCCCCATCCTTCTTTCCTTGCATCTCTGCTTGGAATTTGCCCCATGAGACTGTCAACCTGTGAAGGTGGGGACAAGCATAGGGCATGGCACAAAAATAGCTGCTATGCAAAGTGCACAGATGGTTTTCTGAAAATAAATGTTTGTTAAATGATTGAACAAATCAATTAATATTAACATTATAGTCAGAATTTAGGAATGTACCTGTAAATATATTGCACAAAATCCTACCTTTTCCTTTCTCATTTAAAAATCAAGTACAGAATTTTTAAATTATGAATAATTGATTATTTTCTTATCTCAGTCTTTCGGTGCAGTCCGCACAAGCTCCAGTCAGCACTGCTGAGAAATAATTGACACAGGCCCTCCTGGAAGCTATACTGTAGCCCAGGCATGAAAAATGCCAGGAGGACTCCATCCCCTTCCAATGTGGGAAGCTATTTTTCAAGCCAAAGAAAAGTCTTTCAAATATCAAATGTTTTCCTACCAGGCTTTATAAAATAAAGGCAAAGTCTCCAGGAAACCTGGATGTAATGAGAAACTTTTAAAATTGCACCAGGAAATTTCTAGGGCTTAAGCCAAACAAACTTATGCATAATGAATCTCCACAAAGCTCTCATTATCATGTAGATTTAGATATGTAGCAATCAAATTTACCAATTCCTGTAACAAAACTTACTCCCGCCCCCACTGTTGCTCTATGTGGGCAAGTCTTCCATAAGATTTATATTCTGATGCTCTGGTGATAGCGTGGACTCTAGATTCGATTGTCAAAGACAGGTAGCTCCTCAGAGAGGAAATCAGAGCTACCCTAGAGATCTAGAGACTCAGCCCCCTGCAGGGCTCCACCTCCAGGGCTCAGACCCACCATATCCTGAAGAAGCTCCTGCCTCAGCCACATCTTGCAGGAAACATGAAAAAGGGCAGAGCACTAGGCTCAGTACCAGCCTCTGCTGAGCACTGGGTCTTCTCCCACATGCCAAACCTCTTGGCCTCCAGGCACCAGCCCTTGCCCCCTTCCCACTCTGCTCTGCTCTGATCTGGTGTCTGCTCTGATTCTGATCAACTCCCACCTGGCTAGTTCCACTTCACCATGGCAAGCAGCAGCCTGGATCTTTGGAGGTGGTCCTGGTTTCCAGTTCTCCGTCCTATAGTCCTACAAGGACATTCAGTGAATGGTCATTGTTTGGAATTTGAGTTTGGCCATCCCTCCTTCCAGCTTGTCCACATTTCTGTACTCAACGCTGCACTGAAGCCTGACCTGTAATACCAGCCATCCCGTTTCCAAAACCTGACACGTTCTGGGAAGTTCCACCCTCCTGCTACTCACATCCCTGCATGGCACAAGCTTGGGTGTGTTTGCAACCTACCTAGACTTGTTGACAGAACTTAGCTTTGCTGGCTATGGGCCTTTACAAGACAAGCTCTGGCACCTACATCTTTATCCTGTGCCCTGGCCCACAGCAGACAACTGAGCAGTGGGGCTTTCTATGTCTATCTGTGCCAATACCATAAGACAAGCCCTTCACCCGGCACCTATGCATTGGGGAATAATGACTTGGGTCTCTGCCTGCCATTGCTGACCTCTGTTTTCTAGGGCCACAGACTATGTTTGCTGGGGATGAGGGTAGTTGATGAATATTAACTAAACCTTCAAAGCTCAGGCATCTCACACCCAGAGTCAAGAGCCTGGTCTCTAAATACAATGTTCCAATAAAACATTGGAACTGCTCAAAAAGCAAAAGGATGGGGCATGTCAAAGGGACACAGGGCCCAAATGGAAAGAAGTGAAGCTGGAATAATTTAGGCAAAAATATAAACAGCGTGATATTGAAATATAACCTGAAGCATAATCTACCAGGTCTCTACTGTTATAAATAAACATTTGAATAAATAACTGAATGGGAAAATAGACAAATCTTCCTTACAGAAGAATTTCAAGCAGTATATATAGATGCTGTCATCTAACAGGTGGAGCTTAACCCTCTCCCCTTGAGGGTAGCTAGACTTACTGATGCACTCCTGTAGAGTAGTCTAGGGAAAGGGGAAAGAGTGATTTACAGTGAAGGAATCTGGCAAACACCATGTTAGCCAAGTGGTCAGAGATAACATCACCAGTGATGCCGTGCATATTCCATGTACCGCTGATGTGACGTGATGAGAAAGAAGGGCTCTTAACCTCATAGTCTCTCAAAACACCCAAACAGCCAGTGTAATCATGAGGAAAATACTAGACAAACCCAGACTGGGGACATTCTAAAGAATACCTAACCAGTTCCTCAAGATGGCCAAGGTCATGAAAAGAAGGAAAGTGTAGAAAACAGCTTGGTGGTTCCTCAAAAAGTTAAGCAGAATTGCTGTATGATCCAGCAATTTGATTCCTAGGTATATGCCCCAAAGAATTGAAAACAGAGACTCAAACAAGGCTTTATTTTTTGAGTACCGTTATCTGCCACACAAGCAATCTTCATTTTATGCAATAAATTTATATTCTAAGTTCCTGCTGTGCAAATGAGTGAGTTTGGGAAGAAGAAAGGTGACACAGATACTCACCCATGGGTGCCCTGGCTGCCGAGAACTGTCCCAGAACAGAGAGTCGAGGCTACTGAGAGGATTTGCTTCTGACAGGAGTAATAGAGAGGCAAGGGTAGAAACGTGCAAGGGCGGGCGATCCACTCATGCTTCCCGGTCACCTCCTGTGTAACATTAGGGTCCAGGGGCATTTCCAGAAGCCTGGCCCTCTACCTCCAGCCCGGGGGGTGCCACCCGCTGGCCCATTAGGCTTCTGAGGGCCCAGCTGTGCTTGTCTATCTCTTCATTCACAGTAGGAAACACAGAGTTTGGCATAAAGTCAAATTTAACTGAATGAATGCTATTGACTGTGTTTGGGGAGGGTGAAGGAATGTAACAAAACAGCAGAAAACAGAATTACAAATGTTTAGAAAGAGGAAGAAAATGAAGCCAGTATTTCTTGAATCCCACGTGCCATAGTTACTCTGCCCCGGTCCTTACATATATTCTTTAAATGCACACAATGCCTTAAAATAGGAACATTATTTGTAAATGAGGAAACATACCTCAAGAAGATTGATTCATTTTCCCAGTCTGTCAGCCAGCAAATGACAAAGAAAAGATTTGTACCCAGCTATGTCTTCCTCTAAAACTTCTGATTCTTCCACTAAATCAGCCATCAGTGACAGCTGTTAAGTGAATGCTTGCCTGGTTGAAGAGTTGCTAATTTCCCTTTTGGAAAATCACATTCCCTTCGACAGGCTTCACTCATGTCATACATATTTACTGAGCACCTTCCTTGCAGAAGGCCCCGGGGCTGCAGGTTCTGGAATGGAGTTAGGAAGCCAGAGAAGACAGGTCCTCTGCCCTCCACTATCCCCCTCTTGCACTCCTGAGTCAGGTAGGAAGAGCTCAGCTCAATCAACAAGTCTTAGAATTTAACAGGAAAATGAGGATCCAGTTAAATTAGCATAAAAGCAAATTAGCAATTACCAAGCTGTCAAGTCACAGCAGAGGCCCAAGAATTTCAACAATTATCAAGACATCATTTTAAAATATTTAATTCCACTTACATCGTTCCAACTGGGGGATCAGATTGCTTCTGCTTGGTTAGAGGTGTTCTTTGGGGGAAAACATTAAAAGTGCCAAATGGTGGGGGTTTTTTCCATACAATGAGCAAATACACTGACAGCTGTACAGACGTGGTGGAACATACTCTGGTGCAAATGGATTTGGTCCTATTTGCTCACTTACCTGGAAGAAGCAATATTGGTTCTTACTGTGTGACTTGGAGGTTCTACTGTGTGCATTTGAGATTTAGATGGAATAACAAAGCATTTTTACCTGGCTGTCAAAAGACAATCGGAACTTTAATTAAATATATGAGATTAAAAATCTATCACAACTAAACTTCTCAAAGAACTAGTACCATTTACTGTCTGTAGCATTTTATGTCTTAAACATCTCAAAATCTTCCCTTTGCCACACTTAAACTTCTGAATGAGGACTCCACAGACAGAATGTAACAGGCAACTGATGCCTCTTTGGTGGGCGTTCCCAGGATCGCTCTTGATATGGTTCAGATCTCTGTCCCCACTGAATCTCATGTCGAATTGTAATCCCCAGTGTCTGAGGTGGGCCTGGTGAGAGGAGATTGGATCATGGGGGCAGAGTTCTCATGAATGGTTTAGCGCCATCTCCTCAGTGCTGTTCGCGTGATTGTGAATGAGACCTGGTTGTTTAAAAGTATGTGATACCTCCTCCCCACTCTGTCTTCCTCCTGCTCCAGCTGTGTGAGATGTTCCTGTTTCCCCTTAGCTTTCCACCATGACTGTAAGTTTCCTGAGGCCTCCCCCAGAAGCAGAAGCCACTATGCTTCCTGCACAGTCTGCAGGACCATGAATTCTACCTCTTTTCTTAATAAGTTACCCAATTGCAGTATTTCTTTATAGCAATGTGAGAATGGAATAATATACCTCTCTTGATGGGCATTTTCAGGATTCCTCTCTAGGTGGGCGTTCCCAGCATTAAATTGGCAAAAAAGCGAATTCTCCGTTCTTGTATTTCCAGGAGCCTTCTCTCTGACTCCAGATCCTACCGTGACACTGACACATATATGTGCCAGTGTGCCACCTCCTTCCAGTGCCTGTTCTCTTCTCCCACTGAGAGTGAACAGCAACTTCTCAGTTGAAAGGGTCTTTTCCAGGCCAACCTAACCCCTGGCATCCCACAAAGATGATCTAGGGCAGCAGTCCCCACCATTTTTGGCACCAGGAACTGGTTTCGTGGAAGACAATTTTTCCATGGACCGGGGATGGGGAGTGGCTTCAGGATGAATCAAACACATTACATGTATTGTGCACTTTATTTCTAGTATTATTACCTAATAATATATAATGAAGTAATTACAGAACTCACCATAAGGTAGAATCAGAGGGATCCCTGTGTTTGTTTTCCTGCAACTAGACAGTCCCATCTGGGGGTGACAGAAAACAGTGACAGATCATCAGGCATTAGATTCTCATTAGGATCTCACAGTCTAGATCCCTCATATGGGCAGTTCACAATAGTGTTCACACTCCTATGAGAATCTAATGCCACCGCTGATTTGACAGGAGGTGAAGCTCAGGCAATGATTTGAGCAATGGGGAGCAGCTATAAATACAAATGAAGCCTCACTCCCTCACCCGTCACTCACCTCCTGCTGTGTGGCCCAGTTCCTAACAGGCCACAGACCAGGACCGTTCTGTGGCTCAGGGGTTGGGAGCCTCTGATCTAGAAGACAGCAATGGTCAGCGTCTTCCAGGAGCATCTGTAGCCGAGGCCTACAAGAAGCTCACAGTCCAGCATCACAAATGGGTCAAGTGAACAACCACAATCGCCTTGCAGCCAACAGTAGGCCAAGTTACAGATAAGTCTTATCAAATAGACATTATCTTCTGCACTTTATAGGCGAGGAAACTGAGGAACACGATGTTTAAGTAACTTGAGCAAGTGGTAGAAGCAGTACTCAAACATAATGATTGCAGTTCTACGAAAAGCTCAGATGAAAAAGCTAATCCCAAAAGGTCACACACTGTCTGACTCCATTATATAACATCCTTGAAACAACAAAACTATAGAATGAAAAACATATTGGTGATCACCACGGGTTAGGGAAGGGAGGCTGGGGGGAGGCGGCCATGGTTGTAAAAGGGCAACAGGAGGGATCCTTGCGGAGATGTAACTGTTCTGTGCTTGATTGTTGTGGGGGAGATGTGAACCTACCCATGTCCTTAAGGCTGCACAGAACTACATAAACACACACACTAATGGGTGCAAGGAAAAATGAGGAATCGGAATAAGCTGGGTGTATGGGTGTATTGTACCAATGTCAATATCCTGGTTGGGATACTGTGCCATAGTTCTGTAAGATGTCATTATCAGTGGGAAATGGATAAAAGGAACATTGGAGCTCTCTGTGTTATTTCTTGGAATGGCTTGTAAGCCTACAATTATCTCAAAACAAAGCTTTTAACTAAAAGATACAGTATTCATAAAATATGTGTGTGATAAAACTTATCAAATTTAGCATTTATCTAAAGAGACATTGAATATGCTGTGATATGCAGAATTTGTTAGTGTTGTTTCAACTTATTTGGTAACTTTTTTTGGACACGGTGTCTGGCTGTCACCCAGGCTGGAGTGCAGTGGCAGGCTCAAGGCTCACTGCAGCCTCAGACCTCCTGGGCTCAAGTGATCCTCCCACCTCAGCCTCCTCAGTAGCTGGGAATACAGGCATGCACGACCACATCCAGCTAATTTTTGCATTTTTTGTAGAGACAGGGTGCCACCATGTTGCCCAGGCTGGTCTCAAACTCCTGGGCTCAAGCAATCCTCTGGCCTCGGCCTCCCAAAATGCTGGGATTACAGTTGTGAGTCACTGTGCCTGGCCAACAACTTTTATAAGTTGTATTTTAAGGTTTTGTACATTCTGTGAACTTAAAGTAAAAAGTGAAAATGATTATAAAGTTAAATCAATTTTAGCCTTGAAAACAAAGTGCTCAGAAACTCTGAGGGAGAATTCCCTTCTTGCTGGCAGATTAAGACAGGCAATATGATGGGAGTGATGTTTGCACTTGGTCTGGAAGCATGAGCTCTGTTTTGACAGATAAGGTGGAAAAGAGGAGTGTTCCATATTGAAAGAAAAGTGGACGCAAAGCTCAGAGTCAGCTGAGCACAGGACAAATCCAATTTGTGCTTTCAGTAGCTATTCTAGTCCTATTCAGACTGGTGTCACGGTACTGATCCAAACTTAATCTTAAATTGTGCTCTTTTTTAAAGATTTTTTTTATGTTTTTAAAAAGTTTTTTGAGTTTTAGGGTAAAACTACATTCAGTTTTTTTATTTGGTTTCTCTTTAGTTTAAAAATTTGCTTTAAGGCCAAGAGTGGTGGCTCATGCCTGTAATCCTAGCACTTTGAGAGGCCGAGGTAGACGGATCACTTGAGGTCAAGAGTTTGAAACCAGCCTGGCCAGGATGGTGAAACCCTGTCTCTACTAAAAATACAGAAAAAAAAAATATATATATATATATATGTATGTGTATATATATATATACAGAAAAGATATATATGTATGTATATATATATACAGGAAATATATATGTGTGTTTGTATATATATATACAGAAAATATATATATGTATGTATATATATATATATACAGAAAATATATATATGTATATATATATATATATATATATAAGAGCTGGGTAGGGTGGCAGGTGCCTGTAATCCCAGCTACTCGGGAGGCAGAGGCAGGAGAATCACTTGAACCTGGGAGCTGTAGGTTGCAGTAAGCTGAGATCGTGCCACTGCACTCCAGCCTGGGTGACAGAGTGAGACTCTGTCTAAAAAAAAAAAATTATCTTTTTACTTTAATTATACATATTCGTATATATGTATGTATGCATATGTATATACACGTGTGCGTGTGTGTATATATATATCTTCACGCTGTTGTTCCCTCAATGCCCTGCTCTCAGCTAGGTGCTCAGGAAGTTTGCTTGTGGTGGTGGATAGAAATGGACTTGACAACTGGGAGGCCTGACTGCGTACAATCTACTATCCCACCATTCACTAACTAGATGACATTGAGCAAACATCTGAACACCAATTTCTCCCCTTGTAAAACTGGGGGTGATGATACCTACTTTGCAGGGCTGTTATAAACATCAAGCAGCATAGTATACACCCAAGTGCTTTGCAAATTGTAAAGTGCTAAAGAGATATGAATTGCTAATACGAATAAACTAATTCATACTGAGGTGTACATTACTGATAATGGCTCCATGTTCTGCTCTTTGATGATGATTGCTGTGGGGGATGTCACAGTATGGTAGCCAAGAGCAGAGGCGTGGAGAAAGGCAGACCTGACCAGATTCTAGAGCTGCCACTGACTTAGAAGGATCTCATCACCTTGGATGAACTATTTTGCTTTTTGAGTTCCGGTTTCCTCATCTGTGAATGGGGATATGAGAACCTCAGAGTTGTTGTAAAAATTAACTAAAACAAACAAGATGCACTAAATTAAATCACATAATTTACATACTGGATAAAATATATGTTGTCCATTATTTTTATATTCACATTTAAATGAGGGGCGGGCTGCAAACCAAGAAGTGACCTTTGCAGGAGTGGAATGGGCAGAGATTAGAGACGGCACCTGGGGACAAGAAGCCAGTGTCATCAAGTGATTGCAGCATCCCCTGTATCGAGTCACCTGGAATGCCTAAGACTGCGCCCTCCCGGGCACCCTAAGTAGAAGGCAACTGAAGCCCAGCAGCAGAGGCCACGGCAGCCTCACTCCCCCACTTCCCTCCCACCCATTCCCTCCCTCTCATTATTTTTATATCAGCGAGTTTTACTAGGTTTCTACCTCAATGGTATTCTATTCTGTCAGTACAGTCCAGATGTATAAATGGACTCTGTGTGTGTGTGTGCTTGTGTGTGTATCTGTGCATGTGTGTGTGCACGTCTATGTGTGTATGGTGTGTGTGTGCACGCACATGTGTGTGTGTGCGCGCACCCACGTGTGTGCATGTGTGTGTGCCTACATATGCATGTGTGTGCACACTCATATGTGTGTGTGTGTGCGTGTGTGTGTGTGTGCTGGTGGCGAGGGAGTGCTTGAGTCTTCTCCTATTTTTGGTTTTTCTCATTCTATCTTGCAGGATCTTAAACCTTCCCCTTTTACTTCTTCTCCCCTTCATCATCTGATTTCAAAAGAACACTCTTCCTTCACATTTGCTTTTTTCTCCCCAGAAGCTGTGCATTTTGAAAACCATTCCTTCAAGCTGCACAGAAGTGTCAGTCCCTTGCTTGCAGTCCGCGCTGTGATCTACCCAGATACATTTTTAGTACTTTCAGATGGAGGGTCGACATCATCTTTATGGTGGTGGTTTTAGATCAACCTTGGGACCCTTCGTTAAACTCCCCTCTTCTCTCTTCCTTCAAGTTTCCCTTGGTCTGCCTTTGCTTGCTACAAAGCCTGTGGTGGGGTGAAGGTAGGCCAGGAGCATGAGCAATTGTGTGCTTGTGTGCTTGGACTTGGTGATTTTTCCCCCTTTTAACTTACAGTTATTTTGAAGCAGGGGCACTCTCTGACTTCAAATTTTTCTGAGGGTTGATGTAGGCACAGATTTTTCCAGAGCACTGAATGTGAAGAAAAACATCCTAAATCCATTTGATGAAGCGTTGATATTACATTGATAACTCAGCCTAATAAAGATGGTGCAGATATACACACTAACACCACTCATGAACATCAGTGCAGAAGATGCTAAGCAAAACGTTAGCCAGCGGAATCCAGTACCACGTTCAGAAAGTACTTAAGAAATGAACAAGTGGACTTCATTCCTCCAATGCAATATTTATAACATGTGGGTCTACACCTGTTGACTACAGGGCTCGAAACTTACGGCATTCGCCAAAGCATTGTGAAAACAGGGGAATATCAGTTGCTGAATAAATGGATGACTAAGAATCACACACCTAAAATCCCAGCTAGATATGATGCGAAAATTTTAGAAGGAGCGGATATGCGTTAACATTTATTCATTGGATGGGGTTAAAACACCCTCACAGTTGAGAGTGCATTTAAGGCACGGCTTTGCCCCTTGCTGAACAGCTACGCACGCCTTTGTCCTCACTAGGAAGCCCTGCTTCCTCCTCTGAATTGTACCATGTGTAGAGGAGATGTTGTTATTGGTGCTGACGCTGCTGTCGTTTTCCCACAAGGGCAGGGTCCAGACATCCTGCAGAGCATCCAACAGCTGCTTTCCCCAGGCTCTGGCCTTCCACAATCTGCACTGAACAGCACCTCAGTCTGAGGACTGAGCCATGCTACCGGGTTGGTGTAGTCCACCCACAATTTCTCCCTACCACCCTCTCACGTCTTATCCCAGTTTCAGAAGAAAATAGGGCACTAGGAGGCGATAGAAAAAGGATAGAGGCTTCCATCCTAAGCCCAGGTGTATCACACAGTAGGTGTGAGGCTTAAGACAGCCAAGTCATGTCCTCCTACCCCTGTTTCCTTCTGTGTCAAATGGGTCTTCACCTTGCAGAGGGCTGTCACAAGGATGCAATGATCTAGTGCTTTGAAAGGAAGAAAGGCCGAAGAAATGCACAGCTGCATGTTCCCCATTGAGCAGGGAAAGAACCAGCAGAGTCTCTAGTATGCACAGATAGCTTTGTCCATGAAGTCTGTTGATGATTATAATGAAAACAAATACATCCTAATTCTTCTCCCAAAACCTAAATTCATAATTGATCAGTAATTGCTTCACCCAGGAAGCTCCAACTGCTTCCATTCAACCAAATAAAATGAATGTTTCATTTCACTCATCCTTTTCAAACACAGAATTCCTGTGAACAATTACAGGAAGAAACCCTGTGACAGAGGCATTTCTCCTGTGACTAATCCTGTGGAATACCTGTCTATCTCCTCCTTGGCTTCCAGAACAATCTTCCCACTGAGAGAACAAAGCCAACTGGCACGCTCCTCCCCACGCAGAGAATACATGGGCTCGTTCTGGAAGCTTGAACACCCACCATCTCCCCAACAAACAAAAGCCTGACATTTGCGCAGGCGCTTTTTTTAAGGTCAGAATACTGAGTAAAGATTGAAGAAGTTTGAATTTAAAATACACAAATCCCTGGTATTTTAGACCATGATCTCTGTCTCAGACCACAAATGCACATTCAGGTCCACAGACATACACACACACACACACACACACACACACACACACACACACACATATATGTATATATACCTGCATACATATATGTGTGTGTATACGTGTGTGTGTGTGTGTGTATATATATGTGTGTCTGTAATTTGGTGAGGGTTCTCTTTACCCACAAAAATCCCTGTTGAAAGACAAGCCTATCTGTGTCTTGCGGTTGACTAGATTACAACAAAATCTCTTTATTTATTGGCCGGGTGCGGTGGCTTATGCCCGTAATCCCAGCCATTTGGGAGGCCAAGGCAGGTGGATTACCTGAGGTCAGGAGTTCGAGACCAGCCTTACCAACAAAGCGAAACCCCTTCTCTACTAAAAATACAAAATTAGCCAGGCGTGGTGGTGCGTGCCTGTAATCCCAGCTACTCAGGAGGCTGAGGTAAGAGAATCATTGAACCCAGGAGGCAGAGGTTGCAGTGAGCCAAGATTGCACCATTGCTGAGAGCCTCATGAAGAACACGTGGACGGGGTGGCCGTCCGCAGGAGCCTGACGGTCTTAGGCATTAATCAGATGCAGAATCACAAGACACTGTTGCAAATTGCAATGAAAGCAGCAAAGGAAAAGACCAGGTCTGGCTCTGTTCTGGGGTGAGGGTGGCAAGAAAGGCTCCACAACCCCCAGCCCTAGACCTTGCATGTAGTCAGCACTCAGTACATATTGACCGGATGGACATTTGATGAGCCCTGGAAGATGAGTGGGAGTTAACGGGGCCGGGGTGGTCCAGGAGGAGGCCACAGCTCATGCAAATGTCCTGAGGCAGGAGGAGAGTGGCCATTTAGAGCCAAGGAAGAAAGGTCACCGTGGCAGGTAAGTGGAGAGCACAGGGCAGACAGTGGAGGAGATGAGGGGAGGAGGTCGTCAGGGGCCACAAAACTCTTTTCTCGGTCCCAGAACAAAGAATTGATTGTGAGTCCTTCCCACTCACCTCACTGAGATCAGTTCCACTTACCCAAGTTTCACTCTGAAGGTACTAGCGCTAGACGCCAGCAGGGATCAAGGAGACCAGGCCTGCCCTAAGGGTTTTGCTTTCTTCAAAATGTACAGCAAGTAGAAAGCATACACTACTGCAAGGGCCCTGGGCACACTATTTGCACAGATGAACAATACCTGTGGGGATAATACTGATGGTTTGAGCACTACTTTGTACACACCTGCCATTATTTATGTGGTAACGTCCTTGACAAAATGATATGTTCCTATGACACCTCTCAGCCAGTGGAGTTTCTCAGGCTAGCACTATGCCCAAATCCCCAGAAAGACATGACACAGATTAAAATCCCAGCAGAAGAATCTCCTTAGGGCCTAACACTGATCCAAACATTCTAGGCCAGTCACCTCCATTGGCACAGAAATACACAGAGGGAAAAACCTTGAGTCCCCTGCTGCAGAGGGGGCAGGCTGTGCTGTCGGGGGAGGCAGGTGATCCAGGGCACACATATGGGGTGAAGGGTTCTAGAATCACCCACCGGAAAAGCCAGAAGGGGACCCCAGAGACAGTGTTCCTCAAAGCCTGTCTTTCTACAAATGAGAAGACTGAGGCCAGAGAGGGCACTGTGGCGTTCACAAGCTCGCTCAGAGCCACAGTGGAAAGCAGAATTCAGTAAAATTTAGCATATGGGGCCGGGTGCAGTGGCTCACACCTGTAATCCCAGCACTTTGGGCGGCCAAGTTGGGCAGATCACTTGATGCCAGGAGTTCGAGACCAGCCTGGCCAACATGGTGAAACCCCATTTCTACTAAACATACAAAAATTAGCCAGACATGGTGGCATGCACCTGTGATCCTAGCTACTTGGGAGGCTGAGGCATGAGAATTTCTTGAACCCAGGAGGTGGAGGTTGCAGTGAGCCAAGATTGCATCACTGCACTCCAGCCTGGGTGACAAAGTGAGACTCAGTCTCAAAAAAAAAAAAAAAAAAAAAGTCTCACAGTCCAGTGCTTATTCTATACCACCACACTAGCTCCCGGTATGAAGACTGTCTGTTTGTACAAAGACAATATATATCAGGCTAGAGAATAAGATATCTGAGCTGACCTCTCTCACTTTTAACCTTATGACTTTACAATAAGCATAAAGATCCAGGAAGAAGGGAGATGTGGAGGGATTAGGAAAAGGTCATTTTTTCCTCTGTTGGTGAGAATGTTGTCAGCTGCAGGAACAAAAATGTGTCGTCTTACCTAATAAAACTTTCTACCCAGCCAGGCACAGTGGCTCACGCCTGTAATCCCAGCACTTTGGGAGGCTGAGGTGGGCGGATCATGACATCAGGAGTTCGAGACCAGCCTGAGCAACATGGTGAAACCTCATCTCTACTAAAAATACAAAAATTAGCTGGGCGTGGTGGCGCACACCTGTAACCCCAGCTACTCGGGAGGCTGAGGCAGGAGAATCACTTGAACCTGGGAGATGGAGGTTGCAGTGAGCCAAGATCGTGTCACTGCACTCCAGCCTGGGTGACAGAGCGAGATTCCGTCTCAGAAAAACAACAACAACAAAAAAGCTTTCTATCTAGTTATTCAATGACATTGTCAAAGCCCCCAGCCCTTTTTGCCTTCCTGCTTCGACATGCTTAGCAGGTTGACCTGTCTTGAAGCCAGCTTTCCTCATCATAGCTGCACGGCGGCTACAACTGTCCGGGCATCACCTCCAAACCTAGCAGTGGCTAGAAGAGAGGTTCCCATTGGCCAGAGCTGTTTCTCATCCCAAACCTAAATCCATCGCAGAAAAGGAGAATGAGACCTCAGGGACCAGGCTCAGCCTTCCCTGAATCCTCTGGGGCCCGGGCAGACATCTGCACAAAGTCAGCCAGGATCAAAGGCAGACGGATTTCGAATAAGGAACCGCCTGCCTGCTGAGGCTCCACGCACCTCTCCTTGCCTCTTTGCGCCATTTCATCTGTAGTCACTCTAAGCGAGGAGTTTGGATGCCAACAGCACAGTCGTCACGAAGGAGGTCTGCTGCAACGAGACAGTAGGTATGTCCTGTGGAGTGGATTATAATGGACTCAAATGCCATTTCATTTTGCTCCGTGGAAAAGTCATATTCAGAACTCGCATCTTCCTCCCCTCCAGGGGCCTCTGCTGTTCAGATTCACATGACCAATAAGCACTCCTACAACTTTGTCAGATAATAGAAATGAAAATGAGAACAAGAAAGATTTCTGTGCTGTTTGTCCTTAATATCCTGAGGCAAGGCTTGGATTTATTTATTTGGAACAATACTGTGGCTTGCAAAGCCTCATTAAAGCTCCCCGTGCTATAAAACCATCAAATACCTGCAGGTCTTAAAAACAAAATCCATGGAAGGAACTGAGTTTCTTTGTTAGTCCATAGCTAGAAAAAACACAACTACAAACAAAAATTAATGGACATCTCTAATGTTAATGCATCAGATGGTTTCATTATCTGTGCTATAACATAAGATTCTGTTACACAGACTTTGCAAAAACAGCGACAGCTGCTCACTTTGTAAGAGTATTCACTTCGTAAGAGTATTTTTGTACGTGAGAAAATACGCATTACTCAAGGACACTCCGACCTCCCCTCTTATTTATAGTGTTGCTTTTAGTCTGCTGATGACAATGCTTCATGCTTCTCATCCCCTCCGTGGTGATGTTCACAAGGGCCTGGGCAGGGACCCCATGAGCAGATCGCCTCTCAGCCTCCCCTAACCCTCCACCCCACCCACACACCTGGCTGCCAAGAATCAGATGCGGTTTCTCTGAACATGGTATATTTTTTCACACCTCCATTCCTCTGCACAAGATTTTGCCTGTGTCTAAAATACCCAACCTGCCACCACTTCCTTCTTTGCCTGGCTCCTTCAGATCTTGTTTCCCATCTAGTAGGAGCATGTCTCTGAGTCCAAGCCCTGTGGCATTGCTGGTGACCTTGTGCCGGAGCCTTTGGTGAGACTTCTCTGCCCTGAGTGGCCCCTCATGGCATCTACTGCTTTGCTAAGTCAGCACTGCCATTGGGCGCTGCCCCAAGCCCCAGCCTTAGTGACCTTCCTGCCCTGACCTTCCTGGTCACTCCCCTCCCCACTGGCAGAGGCCAAGGAGTTGTGCCAACCTGGGGCCCACGCCCCTGCCCATCTGGACCATGCTCCAGTGGCCCAGCATCCCAGAATTGCTGCCCAAAAGGCCCCAAGTGTGCCTCAGGCCTGCATGGGCCTCCTCCCAGGCCCAGCCTCCCAGAGGGGCACACGTGGGTGTGCGCACCCCCAGGCCTAAGGAGCAGCTGAAGGCGGCTCCTTGTGGGGCTGTGGCTGCCGGCAGTGTCTCATGCCATAGAGAGAGAAATGAACCTTGGGGCAGGGGCAGTCCCGGGCCCGCAGCCACCATACAGCCACCTTTCCATAGGAAATCTGAGGAGCCCAAGGATTCTAAATTCAAACCTCACCTTCCTGGCACATATCTCAAGGTGGAAGAATGAGGCCTGTTTCACTGAACAGCGTACAAGGCCAGTGGATAATCTTTAGATATTCAGACGTGGATGTGGGCCCCCATGTGTGCCCTCGCCCCGGCCCTGCAAATGTCAGGGGCAGCTCTGGTGTGACCGTTCCTCCTTGGGAGGCTGGATTTGAACTTTGATTCCTGTGAGTGCTCTTGGTGTGGGGCCACCCACCAGACTTTGAGGAATTGGCTGAGGTCAGTTACCTTGCGGGGAATGTTCAGAGCAGATAGCTTCACCCCAGGGCACCAAAACTCCTTGGGGGGCCTTTCCTTGAGAACTTTCTACAGTGTTGACAAAATACCACATAAAACAGTGTGAGTTCCAACCAGGCTGGTGATTAAGGTAAATTGCGTCTGTTTGCAAATTACATTCTGACAATGCTGTTTCATTTCTCAAGGTTATAAGATGAAATTCATCCTGAGATGATAAATTCACAGGAGTACTTCCTTGCAGTACTCTATGGTGCGATGCAATCAGCCATCTTTGCTGACACTGACCTGGCAGCTGTACCCAGTTAGAGACCCATCTGGTGGTCACAGTGTTGCAGCTTCAAACCCTCCAGTCCAGTGGCCCAAGATGCTGATGTGGGGCGTGTGGTCTGGTTTCAGGAGGACACGCAGATCGTTTTGAACAGGCACAGGGATCTGTGTTCGTTAGGATTTTGTGTGTTAGTTTCCCAGGTGAACTTAAGAGACAATGAGGCCAGGCACGGTGGCTCACGCCTGTATTCCCAGCACTTTGGGAGACTAGCGGGGGTGGATCACTTGAGGTCAGGAGTTCAAGACCAGCCTGGCCAACATGGCAAAATCCCATCTCTACTAAAAATACAAAAATTAGCCGAGCGTGGTGGCAGGTGCCTGTAATTCCAGCTACTTGGGAGGCTGAGGCAGGAGAATCGCTTGAACCCAGGAGGCAGAGGTTGCAGTGAGCTGAGATTGCACCATTGCACTCCAGCCTGCGCTACGGAGCGAGACCCTGTCTCAAAAAAAAAAAAAAAAAAAAGAGAGAGAGACGATGAGGACCACTGTGAGGGGGCCATTTTCCCAAAAGATAAACACGCCCATAGTTCAGTTCAGTAGACCCTTATTGCACACCAACCACTGTGCTCTTTGATTTTACATGGGATTTTGTTTTCAGACTTTGCAGCAATCTTGTGAGATATGAAAGCTCCTCTCCAACGGATGAGAAACTGAGATGGAAGAGGGTTGGGTGATTCACCGAAGTTCACAGAGCAAGTTTGTGGTGAATCTAGGGCTTAATTAAAGACTTCTGGCTCGAAGCCCAGCAGTATTCCACAGAAGCACCGGCAAATGGCATGCTTGAGGAATTGCTCTCAATGCTGGCAAAAAGGCTTGTGGCTTAGCTTCCTCTTCAAAGCCATCAGTTTGTCAGGATAATTCCAAGTGGCTGTGCATTTTCCACATTTAAGAAGAGGTCTGGCAATAGCACTTAGACACTCAGGTACCTCCATCAATGACGGAATCAGGGCTGGCAAAGAGAAACTGTGGCATTTCTAAAGACTGGTTTCTGAAGCGATAATAGACCATTATTAGAGGGGAAAAAACTCTCATTCCATTAACAACACTGTTTAATGCAAGAGCATAAAAAAGCTTTTAAAGCTTCAAGAGCAAACGCACAAATTTTCTCTCTGTCTAAAAAAATATAGTCTTCAAACAATGCTCAGCCCTTAGAACAGTTCCCAAATGATGTTTTTTGTCATTAATTCTGCAGACATAAGTGCATCAGCTTGTTTTCCATAGTTCCTTCAGGAAAACTGGTACACGAACGCCGTCTGTTCAAAGATAACTTTAGGAATAAAATCTGCTTTTAGGGACTGCTATAATCCACCCTCCAAATGGCCTCTTCTTTCTGGTGGAAAGAACTCAAGAGTCACCCAACTTCCTTCTGGTCTCTGCATCTTCTGCTGTCCCCCACCCTTCCCTGGCCCTTACCCCCTGCGAGTCTCATAGCTCGGATGCCAAGCACAGAGCACCTGTCTTTCCATTCTGATTGTAAATTAACTTTTTTCTTGGATCTCTCTCCTTCCTAGGTACCCTGATATCCTGGGCACCCCAATATTTCTGTGGAGCAAAGGGAAGGGTCGCCATTATTACATTTCAGCTCTCATCCTAAGATATTTTTGGGTTTCTCAGTTCTCTCTCCTCCCAAAAGCAACCAGTGTCATGTTTTTCTTGAGAGTCTCCGCATGGATACACATATCTGCATAGATAAACACTTTCTATACACACGTTTACAAACTATGTAACTAGCTTCACATTATGCTTCTAATTTTTTACATATATATTTAAAGGGTGTTGATTTGTATATATTAATGTTTTTACACAGCCACCTTGGTAAATTACCTGATGTTTATATAGATTGTCCTGTTGGTTCTTTTATAACATCTGATAGTAATAATGTTACCTTCTCCTTTCTAATTTGTTTGCCTCATTTCTCTTTCTCAGCTAATTGACATTAGATATTTAACAATGCTAAATAATAGTGTGACAGAGAGAACATTCATAAAAATTAACCATATCTTAAGCCACAAAGCAAACCTTAGTAAATTTTTAAGAGTGGAAATTGTACAAACAACATCCTCTGACCATAGGCAATAAAAGTAGTAACTTGAGTAACGCACATCCCTAAGTTTACACTTAAACTTAATCAATGTCTGTTGCAGTGTGGGTTTCCTGGGAAGCAGATGCCAAGATGGAGTTAAGAGTGCAAAAAGTCAAAGGAAAGGGCAGGAGGCAGATAGGACAGGCAGGGCACTCAGACCCCAGTGTCGCTGTCTCTGGCGCAGAGGGGGATCTGGAGCAAGGGTCGCCTGTTAGAGTCATTCAGGGTTGGGCAGAAATGTCCAGGCTCTTCTACTGGCCTTGCTCAGTCAATAGCCAGCAGCTGCCCTGAGAACAGCATTCCTTTGGCCCCAAAGCTGAGGTGGACCCTGACAAAACTGGTGGAGGCTGTCAGCCAACCACCTGCTCCCAACGGGGCAGGGTCTTTTCCTGAAGGAATATCTGAGCAGTACATTTCTACATCTTCCGTGATGTTGGAAACCTATAGAAGAAAACCTAGAAAACATTCCTGAGAGAACAGAAGAAATTTTGAACAAATAGAAAGACATCCTATGTTCTTTGATAGGGAAACACGACATCACTGAGATGTTAGTTCTCCCTAAATTGAGGTATAGATGTAACACAATGCTAATGAAAATATCACCATTTTTTTTCTGGAGCTGAATAAGTTGATTATGAGGTTCATTTGAAGAAAGAAACAAGCAAGAATAGCCAGGAAATTTCTGAAAAGAAGAGTAGCAAGAAAGAGCTCTACATACCAATTAAACTATTTTTCATTAAAGAAGTGTGATATTAGTGAATGAATAGATAAGCCAATGGAACCAAATGGAAAAATTAAACTATAGAGCCATATATAGTATAAAATAAAGACAGAATCTCAAGTCAATGGGGAGAAGATGGACTTTTTAATAAATGAAATTAGTTAGTATAACTAAATAAACATAGGAAAAAAGATGAAATGAAATTGTATATTTTTCATACCACACACCAGGATAAATATTAAATGGATAAACATAAAAACCTTTATAAGTGCTAGAAGAAAACATGAGTAAACTTCTCCATAATCTAGGAGTGAGAAAAACTTCCTTAACAATGACTCAAAATCCAGAAACAATAAAGAAAAAGAAGGATAAATTTGACTACATAAAAATTTTAAAAAGATTTTGCATATCAAACAGCAGAAGCAATGAGAAAAGCAAATACCAATTTGAGAAATATTTTATCCTTTGTCACAGGAAAAAATTTATGAAGAGCTTCTAAAAAATGAGATAAAAATACAAAGCAAACCCTGTAGAAAAATAGTGTAAGAATATGAATAGGAAGTTCACAGAAAAATAAAAATGACTTTTAACAGTATGAAAAGATGCTTAACCTTGCTCATAATAAAAGAAATGCAAATTAAAATTATCTGAGATTCTACTTCTCACCTATCGCATTGACAAAACTCCAAAAATTTGACAACATGCTCTGTTGGTGAGGAGGTAGGGGCGATGTTGTTTTCATATGTTTGCTGGGGGAATGCAAAATGGTTCAGTCCCTATTATAGAAATATGGTGATATGGAGCAAATTTACATATATGCTTTTTCCCTTTGACCCAGAAATCCCACCTCTAAAACTCTATCCCCAAAAGACAAAAAGACATTAATGCACATGGCTATTTGTTGCAGCACTGTTTGTTATAGTAAAAGACTGGAAATGACCCAATGTTGATAAGATGAAACTGGCTTTTTAAATATAGCAAATATACGATGAAGTACTATACAACAATAAAATGGCATAAGGATATCTCAATATACTACTTACTGATTTTCAGGATATTTTATTAATAAAAATCAAGATGGAGAAAAATGTGTATGGTATGGTACCATTTATCTAAGAAAGAAGGGAGATGTGTGT
This sequence comes from Homo sapiens, assembly GCF_000001405.40. Lineage (NCBI taxonomy): Eukaryota > Metazoa > Chordata > Mammalia > Primates > Hominidae > Homo > Homo sapiens. Next base: position 11,059,955 of record NC_000002.12, read on the forward strand.
GTTATATTTTTTAAATGAAAGGATAAACAATAAAATACTAAGTATTGTTATTTATAGGAAAAGGGGAAGTATAGGGTGGAGAGAATAGGTTTAGAAGTTAGATTTCATTGAATATATCTGTCTTATAGATTTGATATAAATAATTTATGTATCTAAAGCAACATTAAACTTTAGAAAGCAATCCCTTAGAATCAAAAGCAAAGTGAAACAAATGAATCTCACCATGTATCAGGCTGTGGATTATCCTGTAAAGAAGCATCATGCAAGGGACTTTAAGTCACAGTAATTTAATTTCACCCACCTAGTGAGATATAACCTCCGAACAAAAGGATTTTTCCCATTCTCCCAGAGGGCAAAAAAAAAAAGCTTTATATTGTTTTTTTTGCTATTCTTATTGTTGGTCATAGTTTTAGTCGCACTCTGAAGTGATTGTGCATGTTCTGTGGGATAAAGAAACAAGTAATTATGTTAAAGTAAATGAAATGAATTTTTGGAGTAGAACAAAGAAGTGCAGATGTAAGATAAACAAGCTTAACAAAAACTGTGTAGGTCTACACTTTGCCAGTGCTGGCCAGTGAACAAACCTGAAAACAATGACTAATCAAGATAATAGGCACCCCTAACATCTAATTGTGGTCATAAATACCAATTCCCACTAAAATGAGCCAGGGCTCCTTAGAGAAATAACTAATTCCAAGTCCGGTACAGGAAATGTGAAGGACTGCCTGGAACATTACAAGGCATACAAAGAAACGAAAGTATGGCACATTCAAAGGAAAAAAATAGATCAACAGAAACTGTCTCTGAAAAAGACTTGGTGGCAGATCTACCAGAAAGATGTTAAAATAACTGTCATAAAGATGTTTAAAAAACCAAAGGAAGATGCGGAGAAAGGCAAGAAACCAATGTATGACCAAAATGGAAATATTAAAAAGGAGGATAGAAAACCTCAAAAGAAACCAAAAGAAATTCTAGAGCTGAAAACTGTAATGACTGAAATGAAAATTTCACTAGAGAGAGTCAGAGGCAGATTTGAGCAGGCAGAAGAAGAAATATTGGTGAACTTAAAGATAGGACAATGAAAATTATCAAATCTTAGCAAAAAAAAAAAAAAAACCTGAAGAAAAGTGACCAGAGACTATGGGACCTGTGCAACAGTATTAAGCAGTCCAGCATTAACACTATGGAAGTCTCAGAAGAGAGAGAGAAATAGGCAGAGAGAATATATGAAGAAATAATGGCTGAACACTTCTCACACAAAGTATAAGGATGTAATTTTGTGACAACAATAAATGAAACAGGTGAGAACAGGATTGTAAAGAAGCAGAGTTTGTATATGCTATTGAAGTTAAACTGGTACAAATTCAAAATAAAGTGTTACAAGTTTAGGATGTTAAATGTGACTCCCATGTTAACCACAAAGAAGCTATAGAACATAACACAAAAAGAAATAAGAAAGAAATTGCACTTGTACTTTTATAAAAAATCAATTTTTCAAATGTGTATAAGTCTATTTCTGGATTCTGTTCTTTTCATTGATCTATTGTTTCACTAATACCGTAATTGTCTTAATAATAACAACTTTATATTAAGTCTTAAAATAAGTTCATGCAAGTTTTCCAACTTGGTTCTTTTTCAAAGTTCTTATGATTATCATATTTCCTTTTTCTCTTGATACTATTTTAAAATCAGCTTGTTAATATTTATAAAAAGTCCTACTAAAATTTAGATTGTGATTGTGCTGAATCTATAGATCAATTTAGAGAGAAGACCATATAATTAATGTGGAATCTTCCAATCCACGAACATAGAATATCTATTAATTTATTTAAGACATCCTTGATTTCTTTCATCTCCTCATATAGTTTTCAGCATACTGATCCTAAACATATTTTGTTAGATTAGTACATAGTATTTCATTTTTGAACCATTATAAATGGTACTGTTTTTTAAATTTAAAATTCCAATTGTTTAGTGCCAGTATAAAAAAATATTTTTTTGTAAAATGATTTTGGATCCTGTGATGTTAACAAGCTCACTTATTAGTTCTAGGAAATTTTGCATACATTCTATGGAATTGTCTACAAACAGTCATGTCATCTATGAATAGAAAATGTTTTATTTCCTTCCTTTATCAATCTGAAAGTCTTTTATTTCTTTATCTTGCCTTATTGTATTGGCTAGGATTTCCAGGACAATGTTAAATATGAGTGGTGAAAGCAGATGTCCTTGCCTTGTTCTTAATCCTAGGGAAAAGCATTTAGTCTTTCACCATTAAGTATGATGTTAAGAAAGTTTTCTTCAAACTATGCTACAAGGCTACAGTAACCAAAACAGCATGGTACTGGTACCAAAACGGACATAGACCAATGGAACAGAAGAGATCTCAGAAATAAGACTGCACATCTACAACCTTCTGATCTTTGACAAACCTGCCAAAAACAAGCAATGGGGAAAAGATTCCCTATTTAATAAATGGTGCTGGGAAAGATTCCCTATTTAATAAATGGTGCTGGGAAAACTGGCTAGCCATATACAGAAAACTGAAACTGGACCCTTCCTTATATACCTTATACAAAAATTAACTCAAGATGGATTAAAGACTTAAATGTAAAACCCAAAACATAAAAACCTTAGAAGAAAATCTAGGCAATACCATTCAGGAAATAAGCACGGGCAAAGATTTTATGATGAAAGTGCCAAAAGCAATTCCAACAAAAACTAAAATTGACAAATGGGATCTAATTAAACTAAAGAGCTTCTGCACAGCAAAAGAAACTATCATCAGAGCAAACAGGCAACCTACAGAATGGGAGAACATTTTTGCAATCTACTCATCTGACAAAGGTCTAATATCCAGAATTTACAAGGAACTTAAACAAATTTAAAGAAAAAAACAACCCCATCAAAAAGTGGGCAAGGATATGAAGACACACTTCTCAAAAGAAGATATCTATACAGCCAACAAACATGAAAAAAAGCTCAACATGACTGATCATTAGATAAATGTGAATCAAAACCACAATGAGATACCATCTCACACCAGTCAGAATGGCAATTATTAAAAAGTCAAGAAACAACAGATGCTGGTGAGGCTGCAGAGAAATAGGAATGCTTTACATTGTTGGTGGGAATGTAAATTAGTTCAACCACCGTGGAAGACAGTGTGGCAATTCCTCAAGGATCTAAAGCTAGAAATACCATTTGACCCAGCAATCCCATTCCTGGGAATATACCCAAAGGAATATCAATCATTCTATTATAAAGATACATGCACACATATGTTTATTGCAGCACTATTCACAATAGCAAAGACTTGCAACCAACCCAAATGTTCACCAGTGATAGACTGGATAAAGAAAATGTGGTACATATACACCATGGAATACTATGCAGCCATAAAAAGGAATGAGATTATGTCCTTTGCAGGAACATGGATGAAGCTGGAAGCCATCATCCTCAGCAAACTAACACAGGAACAGAAAACCAAACACCACATGTTCTCACTCATAAGTGGGAGCTGAACAATGAGAACACATAGACACAGGGAGGGGAAAGACACACATTGGGGCCTGTCATGGAGGCAGGAGGAGGGAGAGCATCAGGACTAATAGCTAATGCATGTGGGGCTTAATACCTAGGTGATAGGTTGATAGGTGCAGCAAACCACCATGGCACACGTTTACCTATGTAACAAACCTGCACATTCTGCACAAGTGTCTGGGAACCTAAAATAAAATAAATTTTTTTTAAAAAAGAAAGCACGAAAATCTCATTTAAAAAAAGTTTTCTATTCCTACTTAGTTGAGTGTATTTAAGACAACTGGATATTTAGTTTTGTCAAATGCTTTGCCTGCATCTTTTGTGATGGTCATATAGTTTATATTTTTTATTCTGTTAATATGATTAATTACATTGATTGACTTTCAAATGTTGAATCACCCTTGCATTCCTGGGATAATTCCCATATAATCATGCTGTATTGTCCTTTTTATATATTACTGGATTCAATTTGCTAATATTGTGTTGAGGATTTTGTATCTAGGTTAATGAGGGATATTTGTAGTTTTCTTATAGTGTCTTTGTCTTGTTTGATATCAGAGTAACGCTGGCCTCATAAAATGAGTTGAGAAATATTTCTTCCCCTTCTACTTTCTCTAAGCAATTGTGTCGAATTGGTATTATTCTGCTTTAAAGAATTTGCCAATGAAACCACCTAGTCCTGGACTTTTCTTTTTTTTTTTTCCAGAAGATTTTAACTATGAATTCAATTTCCTTAAGAAATGTTGATATTTATAGTATATTCAGGTTATGTATTTTTAATGAATGTTGGTACTTTTTCTTCTTCAAATAATTAGTCAGTTTAGTACAAGTTATCCTGCTTAAAGGCACAGGGTTGTTCATAGTATGCCCTTATTATGTGAATGTCTGTAGGGTCTTTAGTGATATCCCACACTTGCATTTCTGATTTTAGGAATTCGTGTGTCCTCTTTTCTTAAAAAATCGTTTTTAATTGACAAATAAAAATTGTATACATTTATGGTGTACAGATAATGTTCTGATACCTGTATACATTGTAGAATGACTAAAGCAAACTAATTAATGTATTTACTCACATATTTATTTTTTGTGTTAAGAACATTTCAAATCTACTGTCTTAGCAATTTTCAAGTATATAGTACATTGATATTAACTAAAGTTATCACGTTGTACAATAGATCTGTTGGTTCCCTTTTTCATATTGGTCAGTTTGGCCAGAAGTTTATTAATTGTGTTGATATTTTACCAAATACCGATTTGGGGCTTCATTGATTATTTTCTATTATTTTTCTATTTTCAGTGGCATTGATTTATGCTGATATCTTTACTAGTTCCTTCCTTCTTCTTGAATGTAGTCTGTTCTTCTTTTTCCAATTCCTTAAGATATAAGCTTGGGTTATTGACATGAGCCATTTTCCTTTTCTAATATAAGCATATAATACTGTAAATTGCTTTAAACATTGCTTTAACTGCATCTCAGAAATTTAGATATCTTGAATACGTCATTCTTCAAGTTTGGTTTCCCTTCCCAATCTGCCTGCTATTTTTAACTTTTCAGTATATTTTGTCCGGAGCTTTTAGTTGTAATTGGTGTGAGGGAAAGGCTGTAGTGAGCCTAGTTCAACCTGGCTTACACTAGACATCTATACAACCTATTATATTAATTATATCACTTAGTTCTATATCCTTAATTAGTTATTTGGCTACTTGATTTATCATATGCTAAAAAGATGAATTAATATCTTCTACTATTAATGTGTTTCTTTTTCTCCTTGTATTTTCTGTAATTTTTGCTTCATGAGTGTTGACTCATGAAGCTTTATAATTGGAAGGCATCTTAGTTTGGGTTTCACAAAAGGTATGCTGTACTCAGTTTATAAGAAATTACCACCAACGGAGTGCCTTAAAACAACAGCCATTTATTTTCCCACAGTTTATATTGGTCAGAGGTCAAGACATAACCTAGCTTCTCTGCTCAGGATCTCAAAAGGCTGAAGTCAAGGTGTTAGCTGGGGCTACGATCTCAGGAGGTGGGAATCTTGGGGTCATTTTAGAATTCTGCCACCACGTGGACCCTTAGACAAGAACTTGGGTTGTTTATTTGGAAGGTGATCCCGGGAAACAGGAGTGAGAGAGTGAGAAGTGAGACAGGGGAGAAGTGAGGAAGGAAGAAGCCATGGTCCACATACATTAGGGTCACTGCTGCAGGTGCTCAGAGGGTAACTGGCATCTCTTATGCTAGAGAAAGTCAGGGACCACGAATGTATGAGTCTGTATGCGATTGCCTGTGAAGATGGAGGAATTAAATAAGGGGAAGGTGAGCAAAAGGGGTGAGGGGAAGAAAGATGAGAAGCCAGGTCGGGTAGGAAAAGAAAAGTACACCGAACTGGGAATCAGGAGCCTGCATTCCAGTCTGGCTCTGCCACAAATTTCCTGGGTCATAGACCTTTCTGAACTGCAGTATCCCTGGCTGTAAATACATAAAGTTACATAAACTTCCTCATAAGCACTTTACTAGCAGTAACAATCTATGACTCCAAGACAGATGAACGGCGACAGCCCTAACTGGCAATGCCAAGAAATCTCAGAATAAACAAACAGCATATAATTGTACGCTGAGATTCTAGAGATGGCCACACAATGAGAGTCATGCCTAGGCACTGAGAAATGTGGACAGAGGAAATACCCTGGTATCTTCCACCTGAAGCAGCAGCCACCGCTGTCAGAACCCTCTGGGGAGGCTGTGATCACCAAGAACCCAAGGGCTGGAGACGTTCCTTCTGACGGTGCTGAGAAAGTCCAGCTGCGGAGGAAAGGAGAGGGCCAGGCTATTCAGAAAGCTTCCCAAGGAATCCAAGCCTTCTCTCTCACAGGGAACATAGCAGGACGAGGTCGATCCACTGCCCGTTTCAAAAGACAGAAGGTGGAGCATTAACCAAGAAGATGCCAGGACCCATCAACTTGCATCAACTGTGATGGTAACAGAAGAAAGAGCAAATTCTGGCTGCAGGTCTGTCACCAAATTGGGAGAAGGCAGAGTCAAAATTGTGGTTCCAGCAAGACAGGGCTGCAAAGAAGCTCCTCCAGTTTGGAAGCAGATGCTACAGCCCAGTGAGATGGTGGTTGCGGTGAGAATGCACCTTTTCTTTTTTTTTCTTTTTATTTTTTTACTATTTTTTTATTATACTTTAAGTTTTAGGGTACATGTGCACAACGTGCAGGTTTGTTACATATGTATACATGTGCCATGTTGGTGTGCTGCACCCATTAACTCGTCATTAAACATTAGGTATATCTCCTAATGCTATTCCTCCCTCCTTCCCCCATCCCATAACAGGCTCCCGTGTGTGATGTTCCCCTTCCTGTGTCCATGTGTTCTCATTGTTCAATTCCCACCTATGAGTGAGAACATGCGGTGTTTGCTTTTTTGTCCTTGTGATAGTTTGCTGAGAAAGATGGTTTCCAGCTTCATCCATGTCCCTACAAAGGACATGAACTCATCCTTTTTTATGGCTGCATAGTATTCCATGGTGTATATGTGCCACATTTTCTTAATCCAGTCTATCATTGTTGGACATTTGGGTTGGTTCCAAGTCTTTGCTATTGTGAATAGTGCCGCAATAAACATATGTGGAGAGCGCACCTTTTCGATTCGTCTGCAGGGAAGTGATCGCTCAGGCCTTCGCTGACATGCTCTGAAACCGTTCCCTACGCTTGTGCTGAAACAATTCCCATCAGCCACTCCTAGCCACGACGGAGCATGCCAGGGACACTGAGGCAGGCCCATTCCTGGGAGATGGGTCTCCCCTGACAGGTGACTGTGGCTCCAAGTTTCACCAGGACGAGGCCGACCTGCCCTGAGAACCTCATGGTGGACTCAGCCCCCTCCTCAGATCCCCCTTCCTCTCCCTGCGCTCCTCTGATGGGCATCGCCATCCCACGGCTCGCCTCGCCTCTCTGCACCCCACCCCATCTTCCCCCACTTGCATGTCCCCTGATTTTCCGGCTTTACTTTTTTGCTGGTGTCTGCTCCTCAGAGCTCCCAAGCTCCACAAATGGTTCCAGGGATGGTCCAAGAAAACGGTCGGTCAGAGGAGGATTTGGGACCGGCTTGTCCACTGCCCAGAGGATGACAAGGATGCCATCCTGGTTAAAGACAGGACACTGATAGTTTCTGGAACCCGGGCCAGCTGAAGCTTCCCCCAGTAGTGACCTTGGAAAACCTCCCAGCAGAGGAGGGTCAACAAGCAGCTGTGATTCATGGGACAGCCGTCGGGCCTCTGTGGTAGCTCCCGAAGAGGCCCTCGTCTCTCACACGTGGGCTGAGCAGGCGCAGAGCTCCACAGCCATCTGCGCAGTCGGCCAAGCCAGATCTGCCATGCAAAGGTTGGGGCTCTAAGGAGGGGACCCTGGGACCCTGAAACATGGATGGCTGCCCCCAGGAATCCCCTGCAGGTCCCTCTGGCCCCTTTGTGCTTGCAGAGGTGCCCCACCCTTCCCTAATAGGAGCTAGCACTTCTGCCAGGATGGAGGATGCTGCAGGGACCACTGCCCCACAAGGCAATGGAGGCCCCTCAGGAGTTGCACCCATGCCATCTCCTGGCTGCTAACTGCTATAGTTAAATCTTAGCATAAATGGTCCTGGGTTTGTCCTGGCCTGATAAGGAAGGAGGTTATGTACTTACAGGAGGGCAAGAATGAGCCAGCATGACCAGCAGGAAGGGACTGCTCTGACTGGGGTCCCACGGCCTGGGATGCTGAGACCGGGTGAGCAGAAACTTATTGACGGGGGCATTGTCTTGCATTAAAAGACAAAAATCACAATTGAGTTTAAAGATCGAATTGCTTTATTTGTGATTCTAGAATCGGGCAGCGCCTTGTGCTATGCAACAGAATGAGTGCTCCAATGAGTCCATCACAGGAGTTGGCTTTGTAGGCAAACAAGGACTGAAGGGAACAGAAAAGAGAACAAAAAAAGTGGACTGATCACTTCAAAGTTACTTTCCTTGTATTGCCAATACAGAGGGGACTTCCCTATTATGCTGACTCGGGTAGACTGGGATCTCCGGGGGTTTGTTGCTGTTGTTCTTTCTGAAAACTGGCCCATTTCAAAGTTCATTTCAATTACGGGGCATTTAGTACAAGTGCCTTCATGCTGGTTGGGTCTGGTCCACTGGGGCCTCGTGCAGGAGGCCCATCCAAAATAACGGCCTCCCATGAACTTTGTGTCACATGGGGACACAGGATTTAACACCATAGCAAGAACCCCAGGGAGATGGGACAAGCACACTCTTGGGATGGCTCAGAGTGGCCAGGAAGAAATGACGACCAACAAGGAGAGATGGAGATGCCTGAGTTGGCCTGGCAGAGAGCAGGGAAAGCTGAGGGGAGCGGGCGTGCTGGGATGGGCATTTGAGGTGTGGGCAGAAGGTGCTGTTTCAGGAGCAAGCCCAGAGGACACATATCCCCCCCAGGCTACTTGGAACCTGCTGGCAAGAGGGGCAGCAGCGTCACTGAGAGGCCTGACAAGGGTTGTCCCCTGCAGACCAGGCACAGTAGGCGGCAGTCACAGAGCTGAGGTCACTGACATCCATGGGGATGGTGGGGCCTCAGAGTGACAGAGGCCAGGCTCAACCATGGAAGCCAGGACACCCAGCAGGAGGCGAGAAGGGAGACCTGTCACGCACCCCGCTTCCTTCTCTGTGCCAAGGGACAAAAGTACAATAATTTATGTTTTACCGTGGAAGGATATGCCAGCTTGCCCCTGACCAATGGCCCCTAAAACCCCCCTGGAGTGGCCAGTCCCCGAATCTCCCGAGGGTGTGTGTCTGCAGGAGCTGCACTGCGTGGAGGGGTGGGGATAGATAATAGAGCTGGCACCTCCAGGGGCAAGTTGGCAGTGGCCAGCAGAAGGGCCACTGTGCACTTATGGCCAATAACAAGCAGGAACGGGGGGCAGAGGTGGAGGGTGGCCGCCCCAAGAAAAATAAAGCCCCTTGCTCTGCTCCTAGACCTAAGCCCATATTCAGACCCCAAAACTATTGACTAAGGAGGTGGCCTTCCCCAGAGGGAAGGATCCTGTGACATTCTGGGAAGTCTTTACCATGCCAGTCCCCCCATCCTTTCCCTGAAGGGTCTGTGGCAATTTGTTCAGGTGACCGTGCGCTGGAAAAAGGGCAACAAGCAGACGTGTCGAGGACTTCTGGATATGGGGTCTGACATTGATCCCAAAAGGCCCAAAGCATCCACACAGCCCTCTGTGTGGGTGGGGGTGCAGGTGACAAGTGGCGTCCTGACGCAAGTCCAGTTCACACTGGTCCACTGGGCCCGTGGGCCCGCCCTGCGGTCCTTTCCCCAGTCCCTAAGTGTGTCATTGGAATGGATCTACTCAGCAGCTGAAGTAGATCAGGACCCACCTGACTCTCCTCCACTGACCATGACCAAAACTCTCCATCTGCCCTAAAAACTTGCTTCTCCTGGCTTCCTACCTGAGGACACCACTGTCCACCAGGTCACCATCCTCTAATGGTCACCTGGGCCATCAGGTCTCTCCTGCACCCCCAAGAGTGACACTAAGTCAACACAGCCTGTAGGATCTTCCTGGAAGCAGGGGTGAACCTCTCCTCAGAGTCTCCTTAACAAGCAAGACAAAGACAAGTCAAGCGTGATTCAGCATCACATCTAGTTAATCACGTTGAGATGCTCTGTGACAGCCGTTCACCTGCGGGGAGGGACCACCGTGCCATTTCCTTTTTTCTTTACCCAAAGTAAGGCCAAACAGCATTCGGATATTTGCCCACATTGTTTTAACACCCCGGGCTGCTGCAATTTTTCATTTTCAAATGTCTGGGCCATTCAGGAGCCCCTTTCCTGGGAGCAGACTGGGTTGGGAAGCGGGGGATGTTGCCCAGAGCCACTGGGAGTCTCTGTGAGCTCCATTCAGACGTGGCCTCCTAGGCAGGGATTTCCCCGCTTCAATCTGAAGCAGGTTCCGTGGGTAATTCCCTCTCTGTTCCTTAATAAGAACCCTGAAAACCACCAGGACAAATTCTGGGCAGAGAGAGATTTCTCAGAGGAATGTTGTAAGTATTAGGTTGCGCAAAAGTAATTACTTTTCTCACCCTTCTATTACTTTTGCACCAACTTAATAGTACCTGTTCTAGCTCTTGTTAATATATAATTCATCTTCTAAAAAGGGGCACATGAATGTTACTGTCCATTAATGACAACAGACGGTGGCCACATTTGCCAGTCCCATTTGCTTCTCACAAGAAAAAAGAAAAAAGTCAAGAGCATCTTGCCCACCCAGGACAGGGCTTCTCGCAGCTGGTTCCTTCTGGGCAACCAGCCCCCTGGAACCCCTAGAGCTGGGGCGATTGTGAAACAGTCTTCCCCCATTTTTTTTTTTTTTTTTTTTTTCAGTTGCAAGATTTAATAGAGTGAAAACAGAGCTCCCTTGCAAAGGGAGCTATACTGTGATACATGGAAGACTGGATCATCTATTGCCTGAGAGCACAGCAGGAGGTACAATGATCGGGATATAAGGGATATAAACCCAGGCATTTGAGCCGGCAACGGCTACCCTCTTTGGGTCCCCTCCCTTTGTATAGGAGGGGATACTGGATGTGATGCATGGATACTGTATCACATCACACCCAGAAAGGTCTGGTGGCTCCTGCTGTAGCCACCAGAATAGATGATTCAGGAAGGGTTGGGAGGAGAGTACCTGCGTGAGGGAGGAGAAAGTGCCAGTGAAAGGAGGTGGGTTATACATAGGGACATGGACCACATAAGAAGCCATATGAGGACGATGGGAGCCAGGGCCCTCATATCAAAGAAGTGAGTTACAGACGTGGAAAGGGGAAAGCTAGAATGAGCCCTGTTGTTTGACCTGGTGAGACAGCCAAGTAAAAAGGGCTCCCGGGAGAACTTCTAACAGGCCTGCACACTAGGAGGACGGGGTGGAGCCAGGGAACTTCCAGCCATTTGCAGAGGGGAGGAGCCCGGCCTCTTCAGTTCCTGTGTGGTGGGGGCAGGAGCTGATTTCTCAGCTTCCCTCTCGCTCTGCTGAAAGTGTTTCTCTTCTTCCTTTTTCACCCAATAAATTCCATTTTTCTCACCCTTCTATGTGTCTGTGAGCCTAATCTTTCCTGGTCATGTGACAAGAACCTGGTTTTTAGTTGAACTGAGGAGAAAGTCCTGCAACACTGGGATTAAAGTATCCATGTGAACTTAAAGTTTTGGGGAACAATAGACAGCTGATAGATTGATTAGAGAGATGAGAGATGGATGGATGAAGGTTAGATATAGATAGATGATAGATAAGTTAGATGATAGAAATAGATATTAGATAGACAGAGATAGATGATACACAGATAAATTAGATGATGGAGAGAGAGAGATTAGCTAAACAGACAGTGATAGACGATAGATACCAGGTAGAAAGATACACATATATATATTACATATATTCCCTAGCTCTGCCCATTTAAGGAGCCTGGGAACAGCAACAAAAGCTGCTGTTTCCCAAAAGCACTGAGCACACCTAGCACCCAGACTTTGGCTTTTAAATTTCATTCTCCACATGAAAGAGGAACCCACATCCCCTGGAGAAACAATTGATTCCAGGGCTGGGACTGAGAAGCTTCAACAGCAGCCGGCAGCTCCCGCTCTAAGGGGCTTTGTGGTTTACTGCTGTTGATCAGTCAAAGGCTATGGTGAGCAGTAGAACTGTGGTGTTCAAAGGACCCTCACCCTTAATGTTTCAAAGCAATTCATTTGATTCATTAAAGTTTACATTTTATTACTTTAACAAATCAAATAATCTACCTAGAAAAAGTAATAATGTCCCCCAGTGCCTCTATTCCCAGTATGACCCCTAACTCCTGCTCAAGAAGCTAGATGCCACCTCCCCTTGCTCCTTGGTTATTCACCTGATTCTGTTTCCTGCCTCTTAACAATTGTATAACCACCCAGCGGGTTCTCCTTGCCCGCTACCCAGACAGAGCAGATTTATCAAGACGGGAGAATTGCAATAGAGAAAGAGTTGTTGATGCACAGCCAGCTGTGCAGGACACCAGAGTTTCATTATAACTCAAATTAGTCTCCCCGAGAATTGACTCCAATTCGGGGATTGGAGTTTTAAAAGATAATTTGGTGAGTAGGGGCCAGTGAGTTGTGACTGCTGATTGGTCGGGTTGCAGATGAAATCATAGGAAGTCAAAGCTGTTCTCTTGTGCTGAGTCAGTTCCTGGGTTGGGGGTGGCCACACGACCAGATGAGCCAGTTTATTGATCTGGGTGGTGCCAGCTGATCCATCGAGTTTGGGGTCTGCAAAATATCTCAAGCACTGATCTTAGGTTTTAAAACGGTGATGTTATCCCCAGGAGCAATCTGAGGAGAGTCAGAGTCTTGTAGCCTCCAGCTGCATGGCTCCTAAACCATAATTTCTAATATTTGGCTAATTTGTTAGTGATACAAAGGCAGAGGAGTGCCCAGGCAAGAAAGGAGTTTGTTTTGGGAAAGGGCTGTTATCGTCTTTGTTTCAAAGCTAAACTATAAACTAAGTTCCCCTCAGAATTATTTCAGCCTGTGCTCAGGAATGAACAAGTACAACTTGGAGGTTAGAAGCAAGATGGAGTTGGTTCAGTCAGATCTCTTTCGCTGTCTCAGTTATAATGTTGCAATGGCCGTTTCAATTCAATGGCATCCATGTAGATTCCTCAGGAGTTCTGTGGGGTGCCGGAAGCAGGGCGGGGCAGCTGTGGAAAGGACAGGTTTAGGAACAGGCGGCTTAAAACAGTGGGGCTATAGCAGGAGCCTGCAGACCTGTCTGGATGTGATGTGATGCGGACGGGGGCAGGATGGAAATGGGAAATCTGAGAACGTCTCAGGTCGAGCACTGCCCAGCAGCCTTCTCTCCCTTTCCTCTTCCCCTCCCGCATGACCCAAGCCAGCGCCAGTGGGTGGCGCTGCAGCGTCTCTGCCTTCACCTCTGTCTCTGTTCCTTCTGGCACACACACACAAACACAGACACACACACATATGCACACAGAGGTTTTGAGTGTATGTGTTGTTTGTTTAAAAAAAAAAAAACTACGTAGTGCTATATAATCTTGTTTACAACTAGCTTTTCCCACTTCAGAATATCTTGGAGGTCAATTATCCAGGTCAATACATACAAATCTATATTCTTACGATAAGAGGTGCCATTGAGGTTCAATCAGCCCAATGCTGAAGGTCATTCGGGGGTTTTAGTTTTTCACCGTCAACAGTGCCACAGCAACCATCATCTCACACCGAAAAAGGAGAAAGAGACCATTGAGGAGACCCAAAAAACTTCGGTTGGAAAAATGGGCCCCATGAGGAAATTTTTACATCCTTATGGAAGAATCGCTTGAGACTTTTAAATCTATGAAAGCTCATATGTCCATAACCAGCCGCCCTTGTGTCCTGAAGGAAAAAATGTAAACAGGAAATTGCTTTCAACTGCAAGAAAAAAATGACTCAGGAACTCAGGATGAAAATGGAGACTGGACAGAGATGGAAGCCAGGACTGAGCCCATGGTGCCAGGCGGCTGCGCCCAGCCCCTGCCCACCTGTACTCCCCTCCAAAGGGAAAAATAAAGAAAAAGCACCGTCAAATGCACACAGGTGTGATTGTGCCACTGTGGTGCACCCTTTACCCCGGGAAACGTGTGCTGCCGTTTGTCTTTATTCTAAGGGCGATGAGGATCACTACAGCGATTGTCTGCAGCTGGAAACACTCCTTTTCTAATAAGTGGTTTAGCTGCTTTCCTTTCCATGTGTCTCACTCAGACCCAGTACAAAATTTAAAATGGCACAAATAACAGATGCTCGGTCGCCAGAAGTGCAGTTTGGAGGCAGCAACGCAGAGCAGTGGAAGGGGCTCCAGGTGTTCCCATCTAAGGCAGTGGCCGGCAGGCAGGAGGCCACGGCTGGTCCTGGTTCTGCCTCAGGGTGGCCCATGGTCCTGTCGGGTCACCTCCCTCCCCAAGGCCTCAGACTCCTCCTTTGTAATGTAGGGATAATGACCCGAGCCTGGGGCTCCTCACTGGGTGCCACGAGGATGACTTGGATGCCATCTGTGCAGGCTCCGTCTCCTTCTCTGAGGGCTGGCACTAGGCAGGGCTCTGAACTGGGCTGATGTGAGCAGGACGGCACCTACGTGACCGATGGGGACACTAAAACCCAGCCCCTTGCCTCAGGTGGGACAACATGGGTCCCATTCACAGTCCTGGGCTCCCTGTGGGGTCAAACCACCTCTTTGTCTACTTCTTCCCCTGTCTGGGTACGCTTCTCTCACCCTCACACACGTCACCCGAGGGCACTCCCTCAAGAGTTTCTGTCTCAGGCCTGACAAGGTGGCTCACGCCTGTAATCCCAGAACTTTGGGAGGCTGAGGTGGGAGGCTTGCTTAAGTCAAGGAGTTTGAGACCAGCCTGGGCAACATAGTGAGACCCTGTCTCTAAAGAAAATTTTAAAAATTAGCCAGGTGTGATAGCACACCTGTAGTCCCAGCTATTTGGGAGGCTGAGGCAGGAGGATAGTTGAGTCCAAGAGTTGGAGGCTGCAGTGAGCTATGATCACACCACTGCACTCTAGCCTGGGCCACAGAGCGAGACCCTATCCCTTAAAAAAACAAAAACTCCTCTCTCAAACTCTGCTTCTATAGGAGCCAGCCAAAGAACACCATGTTGGTCAGAAGGCGATGCACGGCACAAACTGAAATGTAAGTGAAAACGACTACTGTTCCTGTTGGATCTGTACAGATAAAACAAGATTGGACACCATATGAGACACAGCGGTGGACTGAGGAACGGCTAGCATCACTGCTTCCCTCCTGCCAGTGGCCTTGCCAGTGTCACAGCAGGCAGCAAGTGACCAGCAGCTCTCAGCACAGGGGGGACAGCTGGCCAAAGTACAACTGTCCCTACCATCAGACCCACCTCAGGCCACTGACTTTGTGTATGTGGCAGAGATTACAGCTGCTACCTATTGCCATTCTCTCTTCTTTCTTAGTAACACAGTCCTGCTTTTTAGCTGGACATGTTGCCACTTAAGAATAAAGACTGCCTTCCCCAGCCTCCCTCAAAACTAGGAGTGACCAGTGAGATGCAAATGGAAGTGTTGTGTTGGACTTCTTGGAGTGTTTCTCAGATGATTGAGGGAGCCCTTCTTCCTCACTTTTTCCTTTCTGGTGCTTCAACTGTAGGAATAATGGCTGGAGCTCTGGCAGCCATCTTAGGCTGTGAGATTGCCTTGATATTGGAAGTGATACCAGGCAAAAATAGAAGACAGAAAGGAACCGGGTTACCTGATAACTTCATGGAGCCACCACATCGGCCCTAGGTTGCCTACGTCTGTACTACTTTTTTGTGAGATAATAAACCTTTGTGTGTCTGAGCCTCTAAGGCCAGGTTGCTGTCACTAGCAGTGAACCTACTCCTAACTAACAGTCTTTGGCACTCCTGTCTGTTCTGTGACTAGGAGAAGTCTATTTCTGTCATTTTCTTCTTTCTGTGTTCTCATCTTTAATGTGACATCCTCAGCATCTAGTAACAAGTTGCATAATGTTTTATTGTACTTTTTTCTCCTTTTTTTGACAAATAATACAAATATATTTTATTTGAAATAAACAAAAATGCATACACAGCTCAATGGGTCACTTGGAAACAAACTGTTGCTTGACTATATTGCTGAGCAGAAACGAAACGGAAGCACAAACATGTGCTTCTTTTTTGACATGTATCTGGAGATAGGTAGGAAGACACTGCTTGGTTTTTTAAAAAACTGACCTTCCCTTAAGGCCTGGTCATAGAAGTGTAAACATTATAAATGAATCCACCATTACCAGCTGTCATATCATATCTGTGTCACCTGCGTATTCTGAGATTACACACATACCTGCCAATATACCTGGGAAAGGTTATTTTATCACAGTTACACGTGAGTTCTTGGCAGGCAGGACCGAGGAAGAGTAATTTGAAGTAAGTTTTATATCCTATTTAGAAGAAATCACCAGTATTTCCTTAAATAACAGGTTACAATAGAAAGACACTGCCTGGAAGTTATCCTTTTCACTTTGGTTCCTTTTTAGTTTTTGCTTATGATTTACATAGCTGTTTAATTCACTTGCTTATAGTACCATCCTGCCATAAAGTATTAAAGCACAAGATACTTATTATTCCTTCAACATCTGCATTTTTCAAGTTTTATACTCCACATCCACAGTATGTCAGCAGTTCTGGAATGTTTAAAAAAATAAATGGGTAAAATGCTTCTAAAAATGCAGATGTCTATAATCACAATGGTACTAAGATGGGAAGGAGACACTGAGAGAAGGGATGAAAGCGAACATGTTCATGTGTAGGGAATGTGGTTGGAGTCTTTGGATTTAAAAACAAGTTCCCCAGAGAAGCTGGCACTTCCTTTGCCCTCCAAAAAGGACCTGAAAAGTCCCAGTCCAAACTTTGGAAAATTACAGTTATGTTTCTTCTCCTTTCTTTTTTTCTTTTCTTTCTTTTTTTTTTTTTTTTTTTTTTTGAGACACCCAGGCTGGAGTGCAGTGGTGAGATCTCGGCTCACTGCAAGCTCCGCCTCCCGGGTTCGCGCCATTCTGCTGCCTCAGCCTCCCGAGTAGCTGGGACTACAGGCACCCAGCACCACGCCCGGCTAATTTTTTGTGTTTTTAGTAGAGACGGGGTTTCACCGTGTTAGCTAGGATGGTCTCGATCTCCTGACCTCGTGATCTGCCCGCCTCGGCCTCCTAAAGTGCTGGAATTACAGGCGTGAGCCACCACACCCGGCCTTCTCCTTTCTTTTAAAGCAATAAAGCATTAGTGATGTCTTTTACAAAATAATACCAGCCATTACCATCTTAGGAAGTGTGAATATTTCAGGAGTAAAACGGGTCTTTCAGACCCAAGCACTGGAGATGCAGAGTATCAACAGGAAATGAGCAATGGTCTGGTGGCAGGTCTGGGACCGACAGCATCCCCCTGTCTGTGGGGCCTCCCCTAGACCCACATTCCCACTTGTCCATTTAGAAGTAGCACCTGCTGCCCTGTGGAGGGAGGGCAACATAGAAGCCAGGAGAACCATGATCAGGTGACAGATGACAAACAGCCACCAGCTGAGGGGGTTTGGCACATCTGTTGTTCATTTACGGGCTCAGTTCCCTCATCTGTCAAGAGAAGGAGTCTTGGGTCCCTCTGAGGTCATGTTCAGTGACTTTATGATCACAGATGCCATGACAAATCACATTCTCACCCAAGGTGAGGGTCCTAGTCCATCGTGAGTGGGAAGAGAGTGCTCTGAGTGAAGGTGTGGCCTGATGGAGTGACACTAACTCTCTCCCACAACACTACCCAGGGAAGGCCAGCAGTGCCCAGTCCTGATTAACTAAGCCATTGCCTTTCGGCTCTCCCCATGGCAAGAGGCACAGATGGTTTCCCTGTGGGACTGGTTGTCCAAGAGCAAATAGATTTTCTACCCAGTGCTTGTTAGCATCTTATCAGTGTTTCACAAAAATCCAGGAAATAACTTGCTTTGAGTCTCTTCCATATTTTCAAGATCCACTGTTGTTGCTTTTCCCTGCAATTCCCTCAGAGCACCCCATGACTTCTGGACACAGAGTTGAAGAGGACAGGCAGTGAAGGAGCCAGCCACATCCTCAGGGTAAAGAGCAATGGAGACAGTCCTGACCTTGGTGCCAAAGAGGACAGCCTTCACCCAGGTCTGCAGCTACAGTGGAGCAGGAGCTGCCTGGGTCCTTTCCAAATCCAGCTGAATGGTCTATGCACAGGGTGGAATATTATACAGCTGCAAAGAGGAATTGGGATGGTGATATTCACTACAACACAGATGGACTTTGGAAACACTATGCTAAGTAAAATAAGGCACACACAGAAGGACAAGTATTGTGTGATTCCACTTACATAAGGCATCTAGAGCAGGCAAATGCCTAGAGGCAGAAAGTAGAATAGAGGCGACCAGGGGCTGGGGGTGGAGGAGGAGGAGTTATTGTTGAATGGGTACAGAGTTTCTATTTGGGATGACAAATTGCTTGGGTATAGATAATGGTCATGGGTACACAACGTGGTGAATGTACTTAATGCCATTGACTCATGCACTTCTGAATAGTTAAAATGATTAATACTATGCAATGGCTTTTTGTTTGTTTGTTTGTTTTTGAGACGGAGTCTCGCTCTGCAGCCCAGGCTGGAGTGCAGTGGTGCGATCTTGGCTCACTGCAAGCTCCGCCTCCCGGGTTCACGCCATTCTCCTGCCTCAGCCTCCCGAGTAGCTGGGACTACAGGCGCCCACCACCACACCCAGCTAATTTTTTTTTTTTTTGTATTTTTTTAGTAGAGACGGGGTTTCACCATGTTAGCCAGGATGGTCTCGATCTCCTGACCTCGTGATCTGCCCTCCTCGGCCTCCCAAAGTGCTGGGATTACAGGCGTGAGCCACCACGCCCAGCCATGCAATGTATTTTTAACCTCCTCCCCCAAAAAGAAACAACAACCCACAGTCTAATGGGTCCGGAATGGGCATTTGGTATTTGGATCAAAAATGGGGGTGGGTGGGGAGCTGTTGTGAGGAGGGAGGTGCTTGGGCTTTGAGGACACCTGAAGAAGCCATCCCTTGGAATTTGCTTTTGATCACACTTGGCCTCCAGGTGCCCCCAGTGCCTCTGGGCACTGACAGCTCACCTTGATGGAATCATCTTCAGCAGATGAGGCAAACGAGCAGCCCGGCCTGTTACTCTGCACCAGTGGGTGACAGATGATCACTACTAAGAAGGAAAGCACAGTCCATTTGTCATTTTTGACATTCAAAGTCCAGAAGGTCCTGGTGACCATGGAGTTCCCTTCCTGCAGGATGTGACAGGCCATTTACAAAGCCCGCCCTGGGATCTTTTTATAGCCATTCAATTTACGTGAAGCAAGCACAGCTTGGGGCATTGAAGCAGTATAATTTTAACACTTAATTACATTGCTTCCTCATTGACAAGACAGCTGCATCGGATGCAATTTGTCATTTCATTAGGCAATAAATATTGAAAACAGCAAAACAAACCAATGTGGGCAAGCACAGCTCCAGCCCAGCAGCAGCTGACCGCACTGGCACACGGGAGTGACAGCAGCAGGGCCACCTGTGCGACCTCACCCTCACCACTCCCTCAAAACCAGCCACAACCACCACCAATACACAGGCCCACAGTCATTGGTGATTTTGATGCCAAACTGTCAACTGTCTGTCCTTCATTAGAAAGACACAGAGTCAACTTTTGTGGGCCCCTGGCAGACGACTGAGTTAGAAAGCAGAATTGTGGCCCGGTGCGGTGGCTCACACCTGTAATCCCAGCACTTTGGGAGTCCAAGGTGGGTAGATCACCTGAGGTCAGGAGCTTGAGACCATCCTGGCCAACATGGTGAAACCCCGTCCCTATTAAAAATACAAAAATTAGTTGGGTGTGGTAGCAGGCACCTGTAATCCCAGCTACTTGGGAGGCTGAGGCAGGAGAATCGCTCAAATCCGGAAGGCAGAGGTTGCAGTGAGCTGAGATCGCGCCACTGCACTCCAGCCTGACGACAGAGTGAGTCTCCGTCTCAAAAAGAAAGAAAGAAAGAAAGAAAGAAAGAAAGAAAGAAAGAAAGAAAGAAAGAAAGAAAGAAAGAAAGAAAGAAAGAAAGAAAGAAAAGAAAGAAAGAAAGCAGAATTGCTCCCTGTGTCCCTGCTCGCAGGCAGGGCATCCTCACTGGGTGTGAGATTTGCAGTGGAAAGCAGGCTGGAGTTGTGCATGAGAAGAGAACCTGGGAGCTGCAGACAGAGAGCACAGTGAGGCTGGTGCTGCCAAGGGGCCAGGCTGGGAAGGGCAGGGGGATTGGTGGAGGCAGACATGAAAGCCGGAGGACATTCCAGACCAAGGGAACAATGAACAAGGAGAAACCATGCATGAGCTGGGGACAGCTGGGAGACCAGCTGACTAGAACAGAGACACTACTGGAGGCCAGGTGGCTGAGAAGTGGGGGCTGGATTCCTGGGGTCTTAGGATTGGATCTGCCTGCAGAGGCAAGCCTTTGAGCACCTCTCCAGATAGGCAGGCATTCAAGGAGGTGTCCCCAGCTCACTTCCCTCCCTGACCTCTGAAGCATCCTTCCTGCAGATGAGGCCTACGAGAACGTGATTAACGCCCTCCTCCTCATCATGATCACTGGGGTGATTAGGACTTGTTGTGCACCTACTATGTGCTAAGCACTGTGCTCAGGGCTTCGCGTGCAGCCCTGCTCTCACACTCAGAGACTCAGCTCCACCACGCCTCTCTGGCAGCCAGTTGGGGTCACTGAGGCAGAAACAGGGCCAGGCCGGCCCCTGCCAAGTTCCTGTAGGCTGAGCCATGTGGGGTCAGCGCATGGTAAGATCCACCCGTGAACCCTACTCTGCGGACATATCTGTAATGGGAAAGGGGAAGCCTGCGGCAGACTCCCTGGGCGGCCAGGGCAGAGGGGAACGGGAGGAGAGCCCTGCATCGCCACGACGGAACAGGGACTCTGCTCGGCAGCCACATGTCATTTTCCGCCCTCCCTCCCTCCCTCCCTCCCTCTGGCCTCCCCCCTCCCCCTTCCCCCTCCCTCCTCCCTCCCCCCTCCATGCCTCCCTGTACCCCCCTCCCCTCCTTCTCCCTTCTGTCCCCTCCTTCCCCCCTCCCTCCCCCCATTTCCCCCTCTCTCCCCCTCCCTTCCTTCCTGAAGGAGTCTTGCTCTGTCACCCAGGCTGGAGGGCAGTGGCGTGATCTCAGCTCACTGCAACCTCCACCTCCCAGGCTCAAGCGATTCTCGTGCCTCAGCCTCCCGAGTAGCTGAGATTACAGGCATCCACCACCATGCCTGGGTAATTTTTGCATTTTTAGTAGAAATGGGGTTTCACCATGTTGGCCAGACTAGTCTCGAGCTCCTGACCTCAGGTGATCCACCCGCCTTGGCCTCCCAAAGTGCTGGGATTACAGGCGTGAGCCACCGCGTCCGGCTGTCATGGCTTTTATCTCTGAAAAAGCCATGTGAATATCTTTACCCTTGGAGAGGTTACGCCATCTGCCCAAGTTACTCAGCCAGTAAGTGACACAGTGAACCCAGATTTGTACTTTTTCCTTACACTATAGCTGCCTCTTTCAGAAACAAGTAAGCCAACAGAGCTTCTCCAAAACTTCCCTTCTGGGTCCCTTAACTCACTGCGTGACAAACTCTCTTCTATGCCCTTCAGACTCAGTGCTCCTTCCACTCTTCCACCCAAAGTCAGTGCACAGTTCTGGTACTAGTCATTTACATTTTAGTATGAATTTAAGCCCCTGTGCTACTTGTCCAATGTGTCATTTGCATGCTATGCCTCCTCTGTAATGAGTAAGAAACCTGTTAAAGAAATCTCAGACGTAAGTGAGCTGATACAGGAAGACTAATATAGAATTTTTTTATTATTATTTTTGAGACAGAATCTCACTCTTTAGCCCAAGCTGGAGTGCAGTGGCACAATCTTGGCTCACTGCAACCTCTGCCTTCCAGGCTCAAGCAATTCTCGTGCCTCAGCCTCCCGAGTAGCTGGGCCTACAGGCACATGCCACCACGCCCAGCTAATTTTTTGTATTTTAGTAGAGATGGAGTTTCACCATGTTGCCCAGAGTGGTCTCAAACTCCTGAGCTCTGGCAATCCGCCTGCCTTGGCCTCCCAAAATGCTGGGATTACAGGCGTGAGCCACCGCACCAGGCCTAATAAAGAACTTTTGAATCCCTACCAGTGGAGAATCAAATACTCGTCCCAGACATTCAGTTAGCCATTTGTCTAAGCAATGACATAAACCAATCACAAGATGAGATGAGTGACCCAAATGACTTTTGAAACCCACTTTTTCTTCTTTTCTTTTTTTAACTTTTTTTTTTGGTGGGGCACGGTGGGTCATGCCTATAATCCCAGCACTTTAGGAGGCCAAGGCGGGCAGATCACTTGAGGTCAGGAGTTCAAGGCCAGCCTGGCCAACATGGTGAAACCCTGTCTCTACTGAAAGTACAAAAATTAGCGGGGCGTGGTGGCATGCACCTGTAGTTCCAGCTACTTGGGAGACTGAGGCCCAAGAATCGCTTGAACCTGGGAGGTGGAGGTTTCTGTGAGCTAAGATCGTGCCACTGCACTCCAGCCTGGGCAACAGAACGAGACTCTGTCTCCAAAAAAAGAAAATTAAAAAAAAATTAAAATGAAAAAAAACACACAAAAACTTTTTTTTTTACATATGCCCACATGCTTAAGTGAAAATATATCATACTGTTGTTTTATTGGTTTGGGGTTTGGGGGTGTTTCGTTTCATTTTGTTTTGCCTGTCTTGGCTCTCCCTTCATACCCACCATGAGGTTTATGTTATGTGTCCACTGGACTGGGCCATGGAGAGCTCAGATGTATGGTTGAACATTGCTCTGGCTGTGTCAGTGATGTTTAGCATTTGAATCGGTAGATGCAGGAAAGCAGATTTCCCTCCCCGGTGTGTGCAGGCCTCATCCAGTCCACCGAAGGCCTGACATGTGCTCTCACTGTCTGAGCTGAAACATGAATCTTCTCTGCCTTCCGATTCTGACTCGGACTGGAACTTACACATCAGCTCTCCCAGGTCCCCAGCCTGCTGACTGCAGATCTGGAGACCTCTCAGCCTCCATAACCACGAGTCAGTTCCTTATGATAAATCTCTCTTTCTCTCTCTCTCTCTTTCTCTCTCTCTCTCTCTGCATGTGTATGTGTGTGTGTGTGTGTGTGTGTGTGTGTGTGTGTGTGTGTGTAGGCTATTGGTTCTTTAGAACCAATTCCCTGGAGAACCCAGACTAAAACACCAACAAAACCTAAGTCATTAACAATTAAGTCATATATTTCCATATGTTCCTCCATGCCTATATAATCCTTTACAGACCAAAAAATGGATGATGGCATCTTTACTAAAGGTAAATTATGAAATTTTTTTTAGAAAAAGGCTATAAAAAGCCCTACCAATTCTAATTCTTAAATATATGGTCTTCATTCCCATGTGTCTCCTCCAGGTAGGACCCACCCTCACCTCCTCTGCCTGATGCTGTATCTGCTTCCTGACTTGCCCCCTTCCCTAAGATCTGGCCTGGCCTCTTCTCCACCCGACAAAGCTCCCACCAACCCCCGCAACACATCTTCTCTGTGCTCCAAAGAACTCTGTCTGTTTTTCAAACACTGAATTGTACTTAGCTGCAACTCCTTGTTTCATGTTTTTTATAATAAAACATGAGTGTCACTAGGGCAGGAATGATACTTCTCTCAGTCACCATGGTGAATAAACACCTAGGACTTGGACTGTCAGATAGGAGGCGCTCACAGAATCTTTGAGCTGAAAAGTCAGCCAGTTGAAACGGTCATACAGCTGCTAAGTAGTAGTGTTTAAACACAGGTGTGTGGAACTGGGAAGCCAGGGTCCTTCAATAGCCCCACCCACTGCCATCATGTCAATATTTCCCATGGTCCTCCCTGACTTTCTCTGACCCTGTCCGTCTTTTAAAAGATAGATCGGCTGGGTGCAGTGTGCCCACCGCCTGTAATCCCAGCACTTTGGGAGCCCAAGGTGGGTGGATTGCATGAGCTCAGGAGTTCCAGACCAGCCTGGGCAACACAGTGAAACCCCATCTCTAGCAAAATACAAAAAATTAGCCAGGCGTGGCAGCGTTCACCTGTAATCCCAGCTACTCAGGAGGCTGAGGCAGGGGAATTGCTAGAACCCGGGAGGCAGAGGTTGCAGTGAGCCAAGATTGTGCCACTGCACTCCAGCCTGCGCGACAGAGCGAGAATCCATCTCTAAAAAAAAAAAAAAAAAAAAATCTAAGTTTTACAGAAATATATATTAGCACCTGTATTAGTCCATTCTCCATTCTCACACTGCTGTAAAGATACTACCTGAGACTGGGTAACTTATAAAGAAAGGAGGTTTAATTGACTCACAGTTCTACATGGCTGGGGAGAACTCAGTAAACTGACAATCATGATGGAAGGTGAAGGGGAAAAAAGGCACGTCTTACATGGCATTAGGAAAGTAAGAGCAAAAGAGCAAGGAAGTGCCAGAATGAAAACCATCAACTCTCTTGAGAACTCTCTCACTCTCACAAGAACAACATGGGGAAAACCACCCCCATGATCCAATCACCTCCCCCCAGGCCCCTTCCTCAACATGCGGGGATTACAATTCGAGATGAGAGTTGGAGCCAAACCATATCAGCACCCAAAATAAAATGATAGCATTACGTTACCTACTTACAATTCACTGGTAGTTTCTAGGAGTCTTGAGATATTATGTTTTGCAGATGGGAAAAGGACAAGTGATTCTGGGCTAATTACCCTTCCACCTGACTCAAAATTTATTTAATTGGGAGTAGCTGTTATAACTGGCAATTTTCTGTACTTGCACATTGCATTACAAGGCAGCCTTACCTCTGATTTACTGTCTGTGTTAGCCTCAAGTTTCTTTCTGCCCTATATGGACTCTTCTGAACTAATGCCAATTGAACTTTCAAATCTTTTTCCTTTTTTTTTTCTTTCTTTTTTTTTAGAGATAGGGTCTTGCTCTGTAACCCAGGCTGGAGTGCAGTGGCACGATCATAGCTCACTGCAGTCTTAAACTCCTAGGCTAAAGCTATCCTCCTACCTCAGCCTCCTGGGTGCTGGGACTACAGGCACACGCCGCCACGCTTGACTAACTGAATCATTTTTGCCAAATACTTAACTCTCCTCTCGGATCTCAGTTGAATCTTCTTTTAATCCCTAAAAAGTCCCCCCAAGGTATCTGATATTTGTCATGTCATGCCTAGGCTAGGCAAAAAATATTGTCTACATTTACGAATTGCAATTTCAATTCATGTCCTCAAGACCGTTTTTAAAACTCACTAATGAAGTTGCAAATGCTAACACCAATTGTGGTTAACCTGCTTAAAATCCAGAACTTTGTGCAAGAGAAAGAGATTAGTGTTTAAGGAAAATGGTGCAAATATCAAACTGGATTGCCTTTTTCTGTGTAGCTCACTTGAGATGCACAATGAATGGGAGACATCTTGTTTGGGATGAACCCCAAAAGTTCCTCTCTGTTTTTTTTTCTATTGATCTATAGAAGTCTATGGATTTCACAATCAAAAAAGTGTATATTACTAAACAATGGGCCCCCAAATTTGATTGAGCAGATGTCAGTTATTAGACTAATGCTTCTGCCATATTCATTTTGCCTCTTCATTACCCCTCCTGTTCTTCTCTGGATCATTACAAACGTAGTAAGCTTATCCAGCACATCTCTCATCATTACCCCAGCACTATTTTTTTCTTTTTTACAGACTGTCCAGATACAGAAGAACCTCTCATGATAATTAAGGAAATTACAAACTTGTATTTTTTCAATATGGGTTTTCACATCTGTAGAAGTATAAGGCAGCACTATAATAAATTCAACATTCCCAGGGCATTGCTTCAGCAATTAACAAAAAAAGAATTCAATTTACCATCACATTCTTTGGAGCTGTGTGTATAAGAAAGAGACAGCTTCTCTGCTTCAAATGACATAGAATCTCTTATACAAAAGCACTGGGCATGTTGGAGTGAATAAAATGTTGGCTTTGGGGGAAGCAAGATAGAATTCAAAGGCTTAGTAATAATGAGTTTTAAAGCACATTTTCCCCATATAACTACAGTGTGAACCTCTCACTTAGAAAAAGATTGCAAAATTGCGCCTGTAGTGAATAAGCCCTGCAGACACATTTTTATTTTCAGAACAGAAATTACCCAGAAAACAAGATTTCACCATGCCTCCCTTTCCACCTCCCCTAGAACATTCATTGTCTATACCTTGGCCAAAATAAAACCAAATAAGTAATACAGCAAATTCCAACAAGTTCAATCTTATTGTGTCTTTTCCTTGTTTGACTGGTGTAAACTCTGCCAACTTCCTCTTAGTTTTTGTAAGATACTTTTTGACAGTCTTTTTGTATTTTCTTTCTTTCTTTCTTTTTTTCTTTTTTTTTTTTTTTTTTTTTTTTTTTTTGAGACAGAGTCTCATTCTGTTGCCCATGCTGGAGTGCAGCAGCACGATCTTGGCGCACTGCAACCTCCACCTCCTGAGTTCAAGTGATTCTCCTGCCTCAGCCTCCTAAGTAGCTGGGACTACAGGTGCCCACCACCACACCCAGCTAATTTTGTCTTTTTAGTAGAGGCAGGGTTTCACCATGTTGGCCAGGCTGGTCTTGAACACCTGACCTCAAATGATCCACCCTCCTTGGCCTCCTGAAGTGCTGGGATTACACACGTGAGCCATCGCTCCGGCCTTGTATTTTATTTCTATGACCACAGAAAGGTCAACATCATACCATTTCATTCTATGTTTATTTGTATTTGCTTTGTGTCCCAGTATGTAGCCAATTCTTGTAAATGTTTTATATCATGTTTGGAAGTTAAAATGTGAATTTCCTAACTATTGGGCATAGGTTCTATGCAGCTCATTAGATCAAGCCTATCAGTGTATTGATCATCTCTTCTAGTATTGTTTTTCTGCTTGAGTGATCAATTCTGGAAGCTGGTATTAAGATCTCTCACTATGATTAGCGATTTGTCAACTTCTCTGGAAAAGTACGCCAAATTTTGCTTTATCTATTATGATGATATGTTTTAGGAACACACGAGTTCAGGATTTTTACCTCTTTCTTGTGAAACTTTTCGCTTACCGTATTTAATAACTATTAATCCTTAATGATGTAACTCAAATCTCTTGTGTCTAATATTAATATAACTAGTAGCTTCCTTCAGTTATTCTTTCATCCTTTTTAATCTTTCCCTGTTTTTAATTTTAACCTTTTTGCTTCATTATTTTCTGGGTATCATAGCACATAGCTGAATTTGAACTGGTTTTGTTGTTGTTGTTGTTGTTTTGAGACAGAGTCTTGCTCTGTCACCCAGGCTAGAGGGCAGCGGCACCATCTCGGCTCACTGCAACCTCTGCCTCCTGGGTTCAAGCGATTCTCGTGCCTCAGCCTCACAAGTAGCTGGGATTACAGGCACACACCACCATGCCCAGCTAATTTTTGTATTTTTAGTGGATATGGGGTTTCACCATGTTGGCCAGGCTGGTCTTGAACTCCTGACCTCAAATGACTCACCCGCCTCAGCCTCCCAAAGTGCTGGGATTACAGGCATGAGCCACTGCATCTGGCCTGATTTTTGTCCAAGAGTTTCTAAATGAACTAGAAAATGGAATCTGTTTACTTTTATTATAATTACTGAACTAATTAGAGTTAGGTTTGCTATATTATTTTGTACTTCCTACTTAATGTTATTTTTCTTTTGCTTTACTTCTTTTTTCTCTCTTCCTACCTCCTAGCATTTTGAAGGAATTCTATTCTTATTTTTCCCCACGTTGTTTTTAAAATGCACCAAGATGAACGTTTTAAGAGCTCTCTTTTGAGAGGTGGCACTTCTATTCAACATTATACTAGAAGGGCTGACTATGCCAGTTAGGCAAGAAAAAGAAATAAAAGACATCCAGATTGGAATGGAATAAGTAAAACTATCAGCATTTGCAGATGGCATGATCTTGTACATAGAAAATCCAAATGAATCCATGAAAGAAACTATTAGAGCTAATAACAAGTTCTTCAAGGTTGCAGGATACAAGATCAACATACAAAAGCAATTGTACTCCTATACATTAGCAATGAACAAACCAAAATTGAAACTAAGAAAACAATTGCATTTACAATAGCATCAAAAAATAAAATATTTAAGAATAAATTTAATGAAAAAAGTGCAAGGCTTGTACACTACAAACTACAAAACATTAAAACAAATTAAAGAAAATCTAAATAAATGGAAAGCCATTCTATATTCGTGAATTATAAAACTTCATATTGTTAAGATGGCAATACCCTCCAAATTGACCTACATATTCAATACAATCTCTATAAAAATTCTAGCTGCTTTCTTTCTGAAATTGACAAGATAACCTAAAATTCACATAAAAATGCAAGGGCCCCAGAATACCCAAAACAATCTTGAAAAAGTATGTCAACCTAAAAAAAAAAAGACATCAGAGAAAAATGTCTCCAAATATGTTGAATTTGGAGGGGAATAGAAAAGAGGATTACAATCCGTAATACACTATGACAAGTCACAGGTGCACCCAGTGAGGGAAAAGGAGTAAGGGGAAGTTATTATTAGCAAAAAGAGAGACATTCACATAAACTTCTTGGACACAGAGTTCATTGGTTCTGGTAGCTCAAAGCCAGAGTTGGCATCAGTTCATTGGTGGAGGGCTTACTGAGCAAGCCTTCTTTCAAGAGCATATTATCAGAATTGTTACAGTCCTAAAGAATGTCTACTGATAAACCACGTGTCATAGAAATATGTGCACCCGGCCGGGCACGGTGGCTCACGCCTGTAATCCCAGCATTTTGGGAGGCCGAGATGGGCGGATCGCAAGGTCCGAAGATCGAGACCATCCTGGCTAACACAGTGAAACCCCATCTCTACTAAAAATACAAAAAATTAGCCAAGCGTAGTGGCAGGCGCCTGTAGTCCTAGCTACTCAGGAGGCTGAGACGGAGAATCGCTTGAACCTGCGAGGCGGAGGTTGCAGTGAGCCGAGATTGTGCCACTGCATTCCAGCCTGGGTGACAGAGCGAGACTCCATCTCACAAAAAGAAAAAGAAAAAGAAAAGGAAAAAAAAGAAATATGAGCACACATGCAAAACATACAAGCTGCACAAAGCAGATGTGTGAAGGACATGAAGGGATTTCTTCCAGGGTTTCTAGAAAGTCCTTGGAATAGTTCTTATTTCAGATATGTAAACATGAGCCCCTCTCCTTCACGCCTTCCCAGCACTGTATTGTCTGGATCTGACTAAAGTGATTTCATCCTCATATCTGCAACTTTCACAAGTAGAACAAAGTTGGGGAATTTACACTTCCTGATTTCAAAATTTACTACCAAGCTAGAGTAATTAAGACAATGTGGCACCCACATATGGATAAATACATAGATCAACGGAATAGGATGGACGGTCCAGAAATAACCCATACATCTATGGTCAATAGATTTCAGACATGACAATTCAAAGGATAAAGAAGAATCTTTTCAGCAGACGTGCTGGAACCATCATATAGTCCCACGCAAAAGAATGAACTTGGACCCTTACCACACCCCGTTAGCAAAAATTACCTTAAAATGGATGAAAGGCCTAAATATAAGAGCTAAAACTATAAAACTGTTACTCCCCCAACACATACAAAAAAGCATAAATCTTTATAGCTTTGGATTAGGGAATCGTTTCTTAAATATGACACCTAGAACACAAGCAGCTAGAGAAAAGATTCGGTAAATTGGACTTTGAAATTAAAAACGTTTGTGCTTCAAAGGACACTATTCCAGAAAGCGAAAAGACGACCCATGGAATGGGAAAAAATATTTGCAATCCATATATCTGAGGATACTTAGAATATATAAAGAACTCTCTCAACTTAATAAAAAGACAAATGCCCCAACTAAAGAATCAGCAAAGGATTTAAATAGACATTTCTCCAAATATTATATAATAATGGCCAATCAGATATGAAAAGA
Source organism: Homo sapiens (assembly GCF_000001405.40). Lineage (NCBI taxonomy): Eukaryota > Metazoa > Chordata > Mammalia > Primates > Hominidae > Homo > Homo sapiens. Next base: position 11,090,160 of record NC_000002.12, read on the forward strand.
TGCTCGACCTCATTAACCATTAGAGAAGTGCAAATGAAAACCATAAAAAGAGACCACCTCACACCCACTAGGATGACTGAAATTAAAAAGTTATTCACTGGTGTCGGTGAGGATGTGGAGAACCTGGAACCCTCACTCATTGCTAGTGGGAGTGTAAAATGGCACAGTCACTGTGGAAAGCAGTTTGGCAGTTTCTTGAAATGTGGAACATAAAGTTACTGCATGACCCAGCAGCACTTCCACTCCTGGGTATACACCCAACGGAACTGAAAACATGGCCACACAAAAACTTCCACATGAATGTTTCTATCAGCAGTATTCATAATAGCCAAAAAGTGTAAGGAATCAAACCAAATTTCCATCAACTGATGAACAGATTTAAAAAATGTGGTATATTCATACAGTGGAGAATTGTCATCCATATAAAGGAATGAAGTCCTGAAACATGCTGCAACATGGAGGTATCTTAAATATATATAATTAAAATAATATTATATATATAATATATATAAATTAATTATATAATATATATAAATTATATAATATATAAAAATTAATATATAATATATATAAATTATATAATATATAAATTAATTATATAATATATATAAATTATATAATATATAAATTAATTATATAATATATATAAATTATATAATACATATAAATTAATTATATAATATATAAATTATATAATATATACAAATTATATACTATATTAATTATATATTATATAATTAATTATATAATATATATAAATTATATATTATTAAATTAATTATATAATATATAAATTATATAATATATAAATTAATTATATAATATATAAATTATATAATATATAAATTAATTATATAATATATAAATTATATAATATATAAATTAATTGTATAATATATAAATTAATTATATAATATATAATATATAATTAATAAATAATTATATATTAATTATATAATTAATAAATAAATAATAAATATATATAATTAATATATAATATACATCATATATATCACATATAGATTATATAATAGTTATATATTATATAATAAATTATATATAATATATAATAAACATATATAACATATGTTATATATTACATAATATAGTATAATATATAACATATGTTATATATTACATAATATAGTATAATATATAACATGTTATATATTACATAATATAGTATAATATATAACATATGTTATATATTACATAATATAGTATAATATATAACATATGTTATATATTACATAATATAGTATAATATATAACATATGTTATATATTACATAATATAGTATAATATATAACATATGTTATATATTACATAATATAGTATAATATATAACATATGTTATATATTACATAATATAGTATAATATATAACATATGTTATATATTACATAATATAGTATAATATATAACATATGTTATATATTACATAATATAGTATAATATATAACATATGTTATATATTACATAATATAGTATAATATATAACATATGTTATATATTACATAATATAGTATAATATATAACATATGTTATATATTACATAATATAGTATAATATATAACATATGTTATATATTACATAATATAGTATAATATATAACATATGTTATATATTACATAATATAGTATAATATATAACATATGTTATATATTACATAATATAGTATAATATATAACATGTTATATATTACATAATATAGTATAATATATAACATATGCTATATATTACATAATATAGTATAATATATATGTTATATATTACATAATATAGTATAATATATAACATATGTTATATATTACATATTATAGTATAATATATATGTTATATATTATATAATATAGTATAATATATAATGTATGTTATATATTATATAATATAGTATAATATATAACATGTTATATATTATATAATATAGTATAATATATATGTTATATATTATATAATATAGTATAATATATAATATATGTTATATATTATATAATATAGTATAATATATATGTTATATATTATATAATATAGTATAATAAATATTATATTATATATAATTTATTTATATTAATATAACTTTTTTGAGATTTTTTGAGACAGAGTCTCACTCTGTCACCCAGGCTGGAGTGCAGTGGTCTTGGCTCACTGCAACCTCTGCTTCCCAGGTTCAAGCCATTCTCATGCCTCAGCCTTCTGAGTAGCTGGGATTACAGGTGTGTGCCACCACAACTGGCTAATTTTTTTTTTCTGCATTTTTAGTAGAGACAGGGTTTCACCATGTTGCCCAGGCTGGTCTCAAACTCCTGGCCTCAAGTGATCCACCTGCCTCAGCCTCCCAAAGTGCTGGGATTACAAGTGAGCTATGGCACCCAGCCTAGGAATGTTGAAAATATTATGTTAAGAGAAAGAAGCCAGATAAAAAAGTACATAGTGTATGATTCCATTTATACGAAGCATTCAAACTAGGCAATCCAAAAAGACAAGAAGTAGATTAATGGTTGCCAGAGGCTGCGGGGAGGTAAGAAGGGGAAATGGGAGGCAAGAAGGGGAAATGGGAGGGAAGAATGGGAAAACAGGAAAAAGGCTTCCTTGGGGATGATGGGAATGTGAAATTATGCAGTGGTGATGGCTGCCCAGCTTTGTGACTATACCAAAGCCACTGAATCGTGCACTGAAATGGGTGAATCTCAAGGCATGTATATTACAGCTCTCCCTGTTTAAGCAGCTCTTGCTGCCTCCCTCAGCTCCATGCCCACTTGCACAGGCTGGAAAGAGCCCTCCTCGTGCAGTGGAGCCCGGAGAAAGAAGAATGAGGGATGTCATGTGCTGCAAACTGCAGGCAAACAAGGACATATTCTCTCAACTCTGTCTCTCTGGGAGAGAAGATTAAAGCAAGGAAGGCAGCCCAAGCAGACAACAGGCACCAGAGGCAAACTCAGCAGGTGACAGATAAAGAGCCTCTGGAGTCTGGAGGGATGGGGTGATGGATCGAGGTAGCCAGCCTGGGAGAAACCCCAGCAGGCCTGAGCCCCTGCTGATGTACCTCACCGTGTGCAGTAAGTGGATTCCTAAAATGTAAAAAAAAAAAAAAAAAAAATCAATGCACTGATCAAATCCTGCTTAGAATGTGTTTAGAAGAGCCAACAACTGAAAAAGAATCCCACAGTGAAACAGATTGTATTATAAATCAGCATCACCCCATGGTTTTTCTGTTGGATGAAGCCAAATTTTTATTGTAGGATTTATGGTATACCCAGCTCCCCCTGGCTTAGCCATTTGAGTCAATTAGGAATTGTTCATTGCACTCTGTGTGCCAGGAACTGTGTTTACTCTTCACCCACTCAATATTCCTCACCCTTGGGGCATGCAAGGAGCTTTTGCACAGGCCCTGGCCTCCAGGAGCTCACTCCTGTACCTAAACTGCCACAAGGCCGGGAGGACAGGGCCAGTCACACTCTGGCTGTGGCAGCAGCTGGACACCTCCACATCTATGGAACCCATGACACCAGATGATCAGGAGCACAGACAGCAGGGGCCTCACACTTGCATCCTGGGACATGTGAGATGCAAATGTCCCCAAGACAACATGGCCTCCCGGGTCACCCCTGAGCTGCTCCCCCAGCTCGGTGCTCAGTGGAGCTGCACAGGGAATCCTGTGGAGGCATGCTTCTGCCCAAAGGGGGCCACATCACCAGCCCAGAAACGACTCTACCCATTAAAATGAGCAGAGTTTAAATCCCCTCTCTCCCATCACAAAACAGAGAGCAGAGAGCTGCAGCACTGGGGAACAGAAGGACTAAGTCCTTCCCAGGGTCAGAAACAACCCTGAAGCCTAAGCCATTGAGGAGGGCACCCTCATTTAAAATCAGCTGATAGAATTTCTGTGCTTAAATTAAACTGCAAGATGTACAAAAGGCACTGGATTCCCAGCAAGAGTGGATGAGCGAAGGAAGCGCAGAACCTGGGTGTCACAGGAGGAGGAAACATCCGGATCATTCTCTTTCGCCGCCTGCCTGTAGCCACAGTCTCACTGGCCCCTTAGTGAGAAGCGTCAGACGCGTGCCAGGCTCCTCCAGAGGGTCTGTGGGGTACGGTTAGGTGTCAGCTAGGGAGGCAGCAAAATGAACCGGACCCTGCTGCAGAGGACCAGTTAGCCACTCCCTAAGCTTTGGCCACCGTCCTCCCCCTTTCTGCTCACAGGCATGATCTGGAAAGCCTCTCTGCACATCACAGGTGGGTGGCCAATCCCTGTGCATCCCAGGTGTGCGACTTCTTATACAAAGTATTCCCCCAGGTCCACAGCATCAGCAGCCCAGGTTGGCGGGCGGGGGGCTCTCCTACCAGGGCTGGCAGGATGCCTCAGCACAAGGGACAGGAACCCTGGGAAAGTGGCCGTAGAACACCAGCAGCCTCTTGTCACACATCATGAAAGGTTCAGAGATGAGGGCGTTGGGGGTGGCTGGGTTCAGGGGGACCTTTCCACTCTGCTACCTTCAGCAGAGTCACCGAGCCCCTCACCTGTCACCTCGTGGTTCCAATGTGGCTTCTGCGCTTCTGGGCACCACTTGCAGATGTGACAATGTCCACTTAAAGAAGGGGGCATTTCCTCCAGTACAGCTCTTTGAATTAGGGAGGGAGCATTTCCTAAAAGGCCCCAGAGACTCCCCATCTGGTCCCACTGGGCGGAGGAGCTCCCATGCCCAGGCCCTAACTGTAACTGGGGGCTAAGGAGAGTGTCTAAAATGTTCACCTCTGTGACAGGATGTGGGTTCTCCTGGCCACAAAGAGAAGGGATGGGCAGTTGGGTGGCCAATCCCAGTATGTTCCAGATACGCCACTTCTTGCATAAGAGGTTCAGGAATAAACTCACCATGTGATTTCTGTTGAAAGATGGTCTCGTGCAGCAAAGATGGAACTTTCTCACTGAGATTCTACTAACCTCGTTTTTAAAAAGCTTTAAGTGTGAGCCATTTTCCAAACTGAGATGGATACATCGGAGCTGCGCCCAAGCAGATCTTCAGCATTGCATTTGCCACACTGTTGCATAACTGTATCTTTCTGCATCTCTCTTCCATGTTAGCTTGAGCTCCGCAAGGGCAGGGGTAGCGTCTTGACACTGAATTCCAACAGGTGAACTTGCGCCTGATACAGGCAGTTAATCCAGTCTTGGTTTTTGAGCACCATCTATTACCAGGCACTGTTCCAGGTAGTGCATAAAACAAATGACCTGCTTTCACAGAGCTTACCTTTTAGTGGATGGAGATAAATAGGACAGATAAACAGGTGTACATGCAAGTATATACATGCAGAATGTCAGCTGATGGGTGATAAGTGCTGCAAAGGAATAAAAGGCAGGATGAGGGGCTAGAGGTTGATGAAGAAAGCTGCTGTCTCAGCTGGATCACTGGGAAAAACTCTCAAGAGGTGACATTGTGCCAGCGACCTGAATGCAGTGAGGGAGCCATGTGGGCTTGTTGAAAAAGAGAATTCCAGGCAGAGGAACAGCAGGTGCAAAGGCACTATGGCAGAAGTCTGCCTGAAATGTTCAAAGGCAGCACGAAGGCCAGTGTGCCTGGAGAAGCATGAATGGGGGAGGCGGTGGGAAATAAGGCCAGAGGGGACGTCAGGGCCACAGTCAGAATGTAGGCTTTACTGATGAACATGGATGTCATTGTCCACTTTTGAGTGAAGGAGAAGCATAATTCAACCTGCATTTACTTTTTTATTTTTCTTTTTTTGAGACAGTCTCACTCTCTCCACCAGGCTGGAGTGCAGTGGCATGATCTCAGCTCACTGCAACCTCTGCTTCCCGGGTTCAAGCAATTCTCATGCCTCAGCCTCCTGAGTAGCTAGGATTACAGGTGTGTGCCACCACACCCAGCTAATTTCTGTATTCTTAGTAGAGACGAGGTTTCGCCATGTTGGCCAGCATGGTCTCGAACTCCTGACCTCAAGTGATCCACCCGCCTCGGCTTCCCAAAGTGCTGGGATTACAGGTATGAGCCACTGCATCCAGCCTCAACTTGCATTTTAAAATAAGCATTTCGGCTGGGCAGGGTGGCTCACGTCTGTAATCCCAGCACTTTGGGAGGCCAAGGTGGGTGGATCACCTGAGGTCAGGAATTCAAGACCAGATTAGCTAACATGGTGAAACTCTACCTCTACTAAAAATATAAAAATTAGCTGGGCATGGTGGCACATGCCTGTAGTCCCAGCTACACAGGGGGCTGAGGAAGGAGAATCGCTTGAACCCAGGAAGCGGAGGTTGCAGTGAGCCATGATCACGCCATTGCACTCCAGCCTGGGTGACAGAGAAAGACTCCATCTCAAAAAAAAATAAAATAAAATAACCATTTTGGCTTTACCTCCAGAATACTTTGGGAGTAAGCATGTGAGGAGACAGCCTGGGGGTGGGGGTGGGGGTGAGGGTGGAGGTGGGGGTGGGGGTGAGGGTGGGGGTGCTGCACCACTTCTGAGAAGCACCTCTCGTTGGGGTGGGGTGGCACCGTGGCTAACAAGCAGACCTGGAAGCCAGGCTCCCCGGGTCCCAGCCAGAGCTGTGACCTTGGACACGTTGCTTAGCCTTTTTGTGCCCCATCTGACTCACCATAAAGTGGGGATCATAACATTACCTTCCTCGGTGGTTCTCCAAGTGTGGCCTTGGCCAGCAGCATCGGCATCACCCGAGAACTTACTGGAAATACAAATCCTCAAGCCCCAGCACAGACCTGCCATTTCAGAAACCCGGGGGGTAGAGCTGCCAGACAAACTACAGGTCATCCGCTAAATTTGAATTTCAGACAGATGATTAATATTATCCACGCAATATTTGGGTCATGCTTATATTAAATGATAATTCATTATCTGAAATTCAAATTTAATCGGATGTCCTGAATGTTTGTTTGTTAAGTTTGGCAGCCCTGTCTGGGGGCACCCTGCAATCTGCATTTTAAAGGGTCCTCCAGGTGATGCTGGTGGCTGCATCACGTGGAGGTTTCAGAGCATGGACCCTCCTCGTGGGTGGTGCTGGAGGCCTCCGAGCTTAGCACAGTGCCTGGCTTGCGACCAGTGCTGGAAGTGGCCACCATTCCACCGAGCACTCACCGATGCCAGGGAACTGAGTGCCTTGGCGGAGGCCCACCGGGGGTGTGGTCTCTTCTCCAGGAAGGTTCTTATTCTGCATGGGTTGATTTTCAAAGTACACCAACTTGATTACCTGAAATCATCCTACTCCCTCCCTCTGATGGGCATAGGAAGCGAGTACCCATCCTCCCTGTGGCTCAGGAGTTTGAAATTTCTCTAATTGAGTAACCAAGAAGGAATGAAGTCTAAAATCTAGCTGACTCATGACACTGCAGAGAGAGTAGGTTTCTGCTTCTGGATTGCTCTGGTCAGTTTTGCTGAGCACTTGGACTGACGGGGCCTAAAGGAGTCACTCTTGTAAATGTTAACTCAGTGGTCAGAACAGAAGGCTGAGGTGTTTTTGTGAAGACAGCGAGGAAAACACACTTCCTGGCTTCCCTGGAAATAACAGACACGTATGTCCTAATTATTTATTAAATGAATGAATAATTTGTGTTCATCCTATCATCACCCAACCCATTGGTGTCAAAGAATGATGCCAACCTGTTATATCAATAGAGTTAGAAATTTTATGTGAAATCATCATCCTGAGTAACTGTCAGGAATATCTGAAAAATACTAATTATCATGTTAGATTGGCCCTGGGAGATAAACACGGAACTTAAGAATCTAGTAATGTACAGAGCTCACCCCAGCCTCACTCACAAACAAATACCTTCTCAAGATGCCACCGTGTCCTCAGAACTCGATGTGTTCACACACGTGGCTTGTTCCCTAGCAGCAACTTCACATTCAAGCAGAATTCAAGCAGAGGCCTGAAATTAAAACGTCTCCATTTTTCTTTAACCAAATGGTAGTTCTAATTATAGCATTCAGACTGGCGTGCATGTTTATTTGCTCATCTCTCGCTTTATTAAGAGTTAGTGCATTGTACCTTAAAAATGGGTGACAAATTATTACAATGTGTTCTGGGCTGTCGATGATTAGAACAGGTGGTTAAGGAGGCTTGGGGTGTTATCCATTTCTATAATTATGTCATCGTGTTACATTTAATGTTCGTGACCAGGACGCAGGGAATGCAACCTTCAGTCTCAATCCCATCGGAAAAGGAAGCAGTCTCTTCCATGGAAGCACGTGGCCTCCTGAAAACCCTGAAGGGCAGGTGCTGGGAGCCCCCAGTTCTGGTCCTCGTGCTGCCCTAACTGGCTGGTGACCCCAGAGAAGCCATTGCAAACCTGGCCAACTCCTCTTTCGTGAGCCTTTATCTGTCTTCCTAATTTAGCAAATAACAGTGCTCAATAAATATAGTGTCAAATATAGTGTGTCAATATAAAGTGTGTCAAATAAAGTGTGTCAATAAACAAAGTAATTGATGAAAATCACTCAGTCCCACTTCTGAATTTTCCTTTGTTTGTTTGTTTGTTTGTTTGTTTTTTCTGAGACCTGGTTTCTTTCTGTTCCCTGGGCTGGAGTGCAGTGGCACAATCTTGGCTCATTGCAGCCTCTGCCTCCCAGGTCCAAGTGATTCTCGTGCCTCAGCCTCCCGAGTAGCTGGGATTACAGGTGCACACCATCACACTCGATTAATTTTTGTATTTTTAGTAGAGACAGGATCTTGCCATGTTGGCCAGGCTGGTCTTGAACTCCTGACCTCAAGTGATCCACCTGCCTTGGCCTCCCAAAGTGTTGTGACTATAGGTGTGAGCCACTGTGCCCAGCCAGAGACTCTTGTTTTTTGTTTTTTGTTTTTTTTTTGGCTTTGTTTTGTTTTGTTTTGTTTTGTTTTTTTAAAAAGAAAGAAAAGAAAAAGAAAGAAAGAAAAGAGGCCAGTAGCCTGGTCAGAATTTTCTTTTCTGACAGCATGCCTCCTATTAGGTGGCCTCACAGGGATAATATCCCTGTTACAGAAGCACAGAATTCAAATCCTGCACCCCTTGTGTAAGGCACGGCTGCATGAACTAAAGAAAATTACTACATCTCCCAGAGCCTCAGTTTGCCTACTTGTCAAATGGGATACAATAACATTTACTGGCCATGGCTGCTGGGAAAATTAAGTGAGGTGACGCATGCAGAGCACACGGTGGCAGTAGGTGCTCAACAGATGATGGTCCTCAGGATTCAGCTGGTGCCCTTCCCATTCTTCACCTAGTCAATGGTTGTTGAGTTCACTCAAAGCCATCAGACATCCACAGTCCGTCTGGCCTGGCCTTTCCTGCTATGTCATGGCACACAGAGAGCCCATTGTCACTGTCACACCCAACTGTCCTTGTTTCTTTGTCACAATGTCCATCATCCCCTGGCTAGTGCTTGGGCAGAAATGGTGGCTCTCTTGCCAGCCTAGTGCCCCTGGCACTGACATGGCAGCTGACGTTCCGTCCCCCAAGTCGCATCCCCCCATCAGCTCAGTGGCACACTTCTCCCCAGTAGGGCTTCAAGGAAGAATCTGGAAAGGCTCTTGTCTGAAACTCAGGAGAAATTCTCTTGGCGCTGGAAAAGCCCAGTGCTGCTCAAAATCATGCGCCTTTCCTTTCCTGGGGAGGAGCACCCACTTCTGCAGAAAGTCCTGGAGCCGCAGGGTCCTCAAAGGACCTCTTCTTGCAAGAGCCAGTTCACGCTCCAGCCTTGGCACATCAAGGGCTGCTGCCTGTGCCGCCTGGCTCTACCCCACTCTTCCTCACCACCTGCCTGGCGGGAAGGCTCCGTCCTCCCATTTGTCTTCCTGGTGGCTGAGATTTTCTCCACTCCACATCTTTCTCCTTCCAGGAGCAGGATCTTCCCTAACCCTGCCTCCAAGTCCAGATGGCAGTCAGGGATCAGGATTTAAGGAACAATTAACACCCAGTGTGATGATTTCAGATCCTGCTCCCATGACCTCCACATCCCCTAAACTGTATGGCTGCATGATCTAAACAAAATCACTAAATTTCCCAGAGCCTCGGTTTGCCTACCTGTTCAATGGGATGCAATAACATTTATTGCCCATAGCTGGTTGGGAAAACTTAGTGAGGTGATGCGTGTAAAGCACATGGTGGCAGGGGGGGGTGTCTCTGTTTCTCCTTGTTTGCTGCTGCCCTGTGGGGAGAGCAGCCCCTGCACTGAGGAACAGAGTGACCTCAAGGCCCGCAGGCCCTGGGCCTGACAACCCCACCCTCTAGAAATACAGGTGGGCATGGGAACCAAAGCAGAACAGCCGGTCAGCCATTTGCTTTCCTCTTAATGCATTAACTTCAGACACACGCAGGGTTCTCCCAAAGCCTGCCTTCTATTGGTCGTGACTTCAGTGTGCTACAACCAGTGACACTGCACACTGTGAAGAGCATTTCTGGATTGACTCCTGAACTTGACCTCTATTTGAGAGTGCCAAGTTTTACAACCAAATCATCTAGTGTATTGCAGTCATCTAAATAACAGCAGCAGGTGAAATCAGTATCATTCGGGGACTCACAGGAAAGTCTGGAGCAGTGTTTCTCAAAGAGTGTTTCCCACATCTCCGATGAGGTCCAGAGAGGCCTTACTGGGCTGTCTGGAGTTTTCTAGGAGAATGTGTAAGTCTGTGTTTTCATTTGGTGCCAGCCTGTGCTGGGGGTACAGTAACAGAAAGGACAGCAGGGCCCTGTCCTCAGGAAGCTTCCAGTCTAGGGGATGTGGAGGTCATGGGAGCAGGATCTGAAATCGTCACACTGGGTGTTAATGGTTCCCTAAACCTGATCCCTGACTGTCATCTGGGCCTCAAGGCAGGGTTGGGGAAGATCCTGCTCCTGAAAGGAGAAAGATGTGGAGTGGAGAATATCTCAGCCACCTGGGGGAAACAGGACTTCGGAGCCTTCCCGCCAGGTGGTGCTGAGGAAGTGTGGGGTAGAGGCAGGTGGCACAGGCAGCAACCTTTGGTGTCCCCTCTCCCCCTGAGCCCACGCTCTCCAAGCCAGGAGGGTCATAAAGCAGCATGGGGAGAGGTCAAAGCAGGGCCCTGCCTCGACCTGATTCCCATGGGGACTCCAAGAACACCCGGCCTGCGGGCCCCACCCCAGTGGCTCTGGGACTCCCAACTTCCACCCAGGCCAGGGCAGCTGGGTAAATACAGAGACTCAAAAAGAGCCCAAGGTGACACTCAGGGTCTGCCCAGCTCCATGTGTTATGGCAGGAACCCCTAGGTACCTATTAGCTGAGGCATGGGGACCTGTCAGAGAAAGTCATTTTCATGGGGGTAAAGGGACTCTGAAGCCAAGGGCGCAATCAGTCAATGGGACTGTTTGAGCCAAGAATCAAATGGAAGTTCCAACCAGACGTCAGGGCACCTCCAGAGCAGCCAGGACATCATCAGCCAGGGTGGAGGGCTGAGCTCCCCAGACCACAGATGATAGCAGCCACAGGCTTCTGCAACAGCCCACCAGGCTGCCCAGGGGCAGGACAAGACAGACCCACCACCTAAGCCTCCAGCAGCCAGGGCCCACCCAAGGGCAGAACAGCCACCTGCCTAGAGACCAGGTGCTCTCCTTCCCCCACCACATGTACCACCCCCACTCAGAGAGGATCAGGGGCTGAGGGGAAGAAGGGAGGTCTGCAGTGCTGACCACGTGTCCGTCAAGAGACTGTGGCATCCCCAAGAGACAATGCTAGCCAGTAGAAACAAAGGGGCTGCATTCTCTTTGCACCTTGGGTGCAGTGTGCTCATGTGGGCTTTAAGAATTCATGTAATTAGCACCACAGGCTAATGATAACCCCTCCCTAGATTAAAAGACAGTCCCATCATCTCCAGCATCTGGCCCCTTGGAGAAGAGTTTGCAGAAGGAAGAAAAGAAGACCAGAGAACATTCTCTATAAGGCCCTTTGCAGAGAAGAAAGCTCAGCTCCTGCCTTGGAAGCAAAGCTGTAGGAAAGCTCTTTCCCATCTTGCAAGATGGCAGGTGAAAAAGTTGAGAAGCCGGATACTAAAGAGAAGAAACCTGAAGCAAAGAAGGCTGATGCTGGTGGCAAGGTGAAAAGGCATCACCTCAAGACTGAAAAACTCAAGAAGGGGAAGCCCCATTGCAGCCTCAATCCCGTCCTTGTCAGAGGAGTTGGCAGGTATTCCCAACCTGCCATGTATTCCAGAAAGGCCACGTGGAAGAGGAAGTACTTAGCTGCGAAGTCCAAGGTTGAAAAGAAAAAGGAGAAGGTTCTTGCAACTGTTACAAACCAGTTGGTGGTGACAAGAACGGTGGTCCTGGGTGGTTAACAAAATGCCTAGATATTACCCTACCGGAGATGCGCCTCGAAAGCTGTTGAGCCACGGCAAAAAAACTTTCAGTCAGCACGTGAGAAAACTGTGAGCCAGCATTACCCCCGAAGCCATTCTAATCATCTTCACTGGATGCCACAGAGGCAAGAGGGTGGTTTTCTTGAAGCAGCTGGCTAGCGGCTTGGTATTTAGGACTGGACCTCTGGTCCTCAATCGAGTTCCTCTATGAAGAACACACCAGACATTTGTCATTGCCACCTCAACCAAAACTGACATCAGCAATGTAAAAATCCCAAAACATCTCACTGATGCTTGCTTCAAGAAGCAGCAGCTGCGGAAGCCCAGACACCAGGAAGGTGAGATCTTCGACACAGAAAAAGAGAAATACGAGATCACAGGGCAGCGCAAGATTGATCAGAAAGCTGTGGACTCACAGATTTTACCAAAAATCAAAGTTATTCCTTAGCTCCAGGGCTACCTGAGATCTGTGTTTGTTCTGAGGAATGGAATTTATCCTCACAAATTGGTGTTCTAAATTTCTTAAGAACCTAATTAAATAACTGATAACATTTAAAAAATAATAAAGCTGTGGGGACAGAGGCCTGGGCCGTGTCTGTGAACAGCATGCCGGAGTGGACATGGGCCAGGAGGAGGCACAGTGAGCCGTGGGGACACCCCGTGCTGTTCACAGGGCTGGGCACCCAGAGCACGGAGCAGAGCGGCTTTCTTCTTCCCCAGGCTGCTGAGCCTATGCTGAGTGTGTGTGGAGGGCGCAGAGGGCCGTTTGTTGGGGCTGGGAGCTAGCCCACTCTGCCGTCTCAGAGCAGATACAGCCATCAATTACCCCAGCATGTGCAAGAAGGATGCCATTGTCCACACGCTGGGGCTGGGTTTGGAGCGCACTTGGAGACGGAGATCTGGGTGCAAGTGGATTATGGGGGTGCCCTGGAGACCAGCCCCCGCCAGGGGTGAGGGCAGTGGGAATGAGCAGTAAAGGCCTCAGCCAGGCTCACAGGCAGCTCTGAGTCTGCGCGGCTGCACAGCAGCCTGAATCAGGCAGGTGGCCCTGACGTTACCTGGCATAGCAATCAGCCACTAAAGCAGGTGGCACGGGAGGAGCATGAGCTTACGCCAGGCAGCCCCCTCCAGGTGAGTCCTGGGAGGCGATGCCTGTGCCTCTGTCTTGGAGGGGGAGTTTGGGGCGCCCCCCCACCACAGCATTCACACGCACCATGCTGGGCTTCCCGGCCAGGCCCCAGGCTTGCCCGCAGAGGTGAGCCCGGCTGGGGTGGGGCCTTACACCTGGTGCCTGTGTCAGCCTCCCCTGGATGGGATTTGGAGTTTCAGTGGATACCAACACCCATGGAGGGCCCACGATGACCTGCTTTCCAATTAAGTGAACACCTCAAAGTCCCTTCCGGCGTAAACAATCTCTGATTCCTTGATTTAATCCTCCACAGTTAAAGGAACCTCTGCACTAATGGGCTTGAGTGACGTCTTTTTGCACAGTAATACGTGGTCGTATAACCCCCACAACGTGTCTCTAAATCCATGTAACAGTCACTGCTCTCAATAGTGATCACAGTTGTGCAGAATTGAGATCTGAATGCTGGTTGTGGTTGTGCAGAGCTGACATCTGAATGCTGGTTGTGGTTGTGCAGAGCTGACATCTGAACGCTGGTTTTGGTTGTGCAGACCTGAGATCTGAATGCTGGTTTCGGCTGTGCAGAGATGAGATCTGAATGCTGGTTTCGGCTGTGCAGAGATGATATCTGAATGCTGGTTTCGGCTGTGCAGACCTGAGACCTGAATGCTGGTTTCGGCTGTGCAGAGATGAGATCTGAATGCTAGTTTCAGCTGTGCAGAGATGAGATCTGAATGCTGGTTTCGGCTGTGCAGACCTGAGATCTGAATGCTGGTTTCGGCTGTGCAGAGCTGAGATCTGAATGCTGATTTCAGCTGTGCAGACCTGAGATCTGAATGCTGGTTTCTACAGTGGATTTGTCACATTCACACGTAGCGGGGCTTGGGACTTGAATGTATCTTTTTGGAGGGACACAATTCAACCCATAACACGCCCCTCCTGGGCACCTGCACCTGGTGGCGGCCCACACTGTGGATAAAGGCCTGGCCCCAGGCTCCACTCGGGACAACCCTGAAGGGGTGTGCCAGCTCCAGAGCTTCCCCAGGGACCAGCGGTTAGGGCATCACTGCCCGACGACTCCCTCTACCCCACTGGCTTTCCTTCTCTCCCTTCACAGACCCTAAACCCAAGAGCACTGCCCCGCCACCAATAAACACTCTTCTGTCTCTGAGTGAGCTTCCCCGGGGACCCAACCTGCATCAGGGACTCACCTATGTGGGGACATGGCCCATGCTGACGCGTGGCCTGGGGGACATGCCCCATGCTGAAGCATGGGTTGGGGGACACGGGGCCCATGCTGACGCGTGGGTTGGGGGACATGGCCCATGCCGACGCATGGCCTGGGGGACATGCCCCATGCTGAAGCGTGGGTTGGGGGACACAGGCCCATGCTGACACGTGGGTTGGGGGACACAGGCCCATGCCGACGTGTGGCCTGGGGGACACAGGCCCATGCTGATGTGTGGCTGTGAAACTAACACATCACCCAAGGCCTCCAGGTGAGGGTCCCCTCATAGCCACGCTGTGACAGGACGAGGTTGTTCCAGAACGTTTCAGAGGCTACCCCTAGGCAGCCATCTCCAGACTCCATTGATGAGCAGCCTTGGGAACCTCCCCCCACCCCACTGTGCCCCACCCGCGTCTGATGATCCTCCCGGTCTGTAAACCTTGGCCCGGCCGACTTTAAGCAATTGTCAGTTATGTACTCACTTCTGCCTCCAAGACGTCAGTCAGCCTCTACTGTACACGGCTCACACTGGGCGCCAAGGACGTGTAGCTCACGGTCATGGCCCTGACCTCGAGTGGCTCAGACTCGGTGGGAATGAAGACAAACACACAGCTTTCCATGACACAGAGTGACGGGTGTGGGAGAGGCAGCCGCCGGCTGCCGTGGGAATCCAGAGAAATGAGACTCAATCCAGACCCGGTCCACGCAGGTGCCTCAGAGACAGTGAGGGGGATGGTGGTCCTGGGAGGGGCACACTGTGGCTGCTCCTGCACAGCCAGGGAGCTACAGGGGTTTCCACGTGGCCAGGCGCAGCAGGGAGGCAGGCACCTGATTGTGAAATGAACAACTATTGAGCTCCATAGGTTACTAAACTAGTTGGAGGCAGCTATCCCCAGTACTACTCGGGCCACAATACAATGCCTGATACTTTTGGTGGCTGTGGATCTGTACCGTGTTTAGCACACGGCCTGGGAGTTAGGACCCTCCCTCTCCCCTTTTCTGGTCTGGAGGTTTCACCTGAACCCTATTCATTCCACATGGGGGGCTGATTTTTTTGATCAGATCAGTCCTGGGTCTTCACCAGCTCATCTGACTGGTCTGCCAAAGTTACTTCAACTTTAATTTATGAATTCTGTGACCATATTCCTCACATCACAGGATTTCCAATCTTCAGATAAGAGAGGGAGGGTAAAAACCTTTGGGTCAATTTAGTTAGGTTTACACTTTGAGAACTAGAAAATTTCTAACCAGGGAAAGTGAAAGAACGTGAGAGCCTCGGCACAGGTCAAATGCAAAAACACCTAAGAAATCAAGACAACTGAAAAGAGAGGCTGGGCGTGGTGGCTCACACCTGTAATCCCAGCACTTTGGGAGGCCGAGGAGGGCAGATCACTTGAGGTCAGGAGTTTGAGACCAGCCTGGCCAACATGGTGAAACCCTGTCTCTACTAAAAATACAAAAATTAGCCAGGTGTGGTGGGCCCCTGTAATTTCAGCTACTCGAGAGGCTGAGGCATGAGAATTGCTTGAACCTGGGAGGTAGAGGTTGCAGTGAGCCAAGATCGCACCACTGCACTCCAGCCTGGGGGACAGAGTGAGACTCTGTTTTAAAAAAAAAGAAAGAAAAGAGGCCAGTAGTCTGAAGACAGGAAATGCCAGCTCAGTTTTCAAAAACAGAGGAAAGGTGAATTCTAAAAACCAACTAGGCCTGGTGCAGTGGCTCATGCCCATAGTCTCAGCACTTTGTGAGGCTGAGGCAGGAGGATTGCTTGAGTCCAGGAGTTTGAGACCAGCCTGGACAACATAGTGAGACTCCCCCCGCCCTCCATCTCTACAAAAAATTAAAACATAATAGTAATTACCCAGGCGTGATGATGCACATATGCAGTTGTAGCTACCCAGGAGGCTGAGGTGGGAGGATCACTTGAGCCCAGGAGGTCAAGGCAGCAGTGAGCTATGATTGAGATGGGGTGACAGAGTGAGACCCCATCTCAAAAAAATAAATAAATGAAAAATAGAAACAAACCAGCAAGCCTGACCAATTTTGAGCAAAATTCCAGTATGCAGTAATTTTTTTTTTTTTTGAGATGAAGTCTCACTCTGTCACCCAGACTGGAGTGCAGTGGCACAATCTCTGCTCACTGCAACCTCCGCTTCCTGGGTTCAAGCGATTCTCCTGCCTCAGCCTTCCAAGTGGCTGGGACTACAGGCATACACCACTGCGCCCAGCTAATTTTTGTATTTTTAGAGACGGGGTTTTACCATGTTGGTCAGGCTGGTCTCAAATCCCTGAACAAGTGATCCACCCGCCTTGGCCTCCCAAAGTGCTGGGATTACAGGCCTGAGCCACCGCACCTGGCCTTAAGTAATTTTGAAATGATTAAGGAGGTGGGGAAGAAAACTAATTGCTGGGAACCAGCACGTGGTCACTGAGGACCGATCGCCTTTCACTTTGACGAGGTCGTTAGATCAACAGCCCTGGAAAATGTTATGGGCTCCATGTTCTCGTCTTTATTGTAGAAAAAAAAATGTACATCTTTCCACAACTCTTTGTAAAAACAGAAGAAAAAGAAGGAGGAGGAGAAAGGGGGGGAGGAGCCTAGAGCTAGGCAATGTCAGATGGTAACAGAAGGCTTCAGTGTAAGGCTGAGGTCCCCTGAAGTCTCCACACCACACTCCCCAGCCTCAATCCCCCAGGTGTCTACAGGTCCATGAAGGTGCTGCTGGGGTCTGCCAGCTAAACACGGCATCTCAAAAGGCCTAATGGAAAGCGTACTCTTACCCACAGGCTAGCTAACATGTCATTTCGGCACGGTGTAATTGAAGGGGACTGGGCTCTTGTTCTGTCCAAGATGCATGGGCTTGAGTCAGTTATAAAACCTCTCTGGGCATTTTTATTTCCAGCAAGAGGAAAATCTACAAAATCTGAAAATCCTGTGGCCAGAAAACACCTAGAAATCCTGGAAAATTTATCCCGAATATCCTGTTAAATACATGGCGGGGCACACATCAGTAAGAGAGCCCCAGTGGACAGAAGCAAAGAAGAAGCTGCGGATTCAGCTGCTGCCCTTGGGGATATTTGCCAAGCTCAGGAACAGAGAGCCTCGGTTTCCACAGCCATCCGGGCACTGGACACCAAACCCGGGGCCTGCACGAGGCAGGGACTTGGAAGTGAGACTCCCTGGAAATGCAGGACCCTTGGAGGCCATACCCTCAGTGATAGAATGAGGTAAAACAGAAATTAATAAAAAGAAATGACAAGGAAACATGTGTCTCAACTCCTGGGCTCTGAGTGGGATAGAGCATCCCCTGAGAATCCATACCTGGCCTCATTGGGTTTGGGTTTGAATTGATACCATTTGGTCTGGGAAACCAAAGTCAAGAAATTAGCTAAGAGTGGTCTTAGGTTGATAGTCCCCCAGATGCTTGACAGAAACAAATGTAAAATCTCTCTGGAGAAACACGTCCTCAAACCAAGGTGTGTAGGATTTCCAAGATAAAGCCCAGCTGTGTACTATAAAATTAACCTTTATTGGCCAGGCGCGGTAGCTCACACCTGTAATCCCAGCACTTTGGGGAGCTGAGGCAGACAGATCACTTGAGGTCAGGAGTTCGAGACCAGCCTAGCCAACATGGTAAAACCCTGCCTCTACTAAAAATATAAAAATTAGCCGGGCGTGGTGCCACATGTGTCTGTAGCCACAGCTACTCAGGAGGCTAAGGCAGGAGAATCACTTGAATCTGAGAGACAGAGGTTGCAGTGAGCCAAGATTGCGCCACTGAACTCCAGCCTGGGCAACAGACCGAAACTCTGTCTCAATTAAAAAAAAAAAAAAAAAAAGATTAACCTTTATTGAAGACTTAACTCGTGCCAGGCACAGTTTTAAATCTTTGACCTGGGCCAGACACAGTGGCTCACACCTGTAATTTCAGCACTTTGGGAGGCTGAGGAGGACAGATCACCTGAGGTCAGGAGTTCAAGAGCAGCCTGGCCAACATGGTGAAACCCCATCTCTACTAAAAATACAAAAATTAGCCAGGTGTGGTGGCAGGTGCCTGGAATCCCAGCTACTTGGGAGGCTGAGGCAGGAGAATCACTTGAACCTGGAAGGTAGAGGTTGCAGTGAGCCAAGATGGTGCCATCGCACTCCAGCCTGGGCAACAGAGCAAAACTCTGTCTCAAAAAAAATAAAAATAAAATAAATAAATCTTTGACCTGTATTGTCCCACCTAATCTTCACACATTCTTCTAATGGTAGGTAGTTTTATTCTCATTATTATTTATTAATGTCATTCATATTCCTGGATTAGGAATTGGAGAGAATGAAGGCACAGAGAGGATAAGTAACTTACTCAAGAACACACAGCAAAGAAGAAGAGTTGAGATTCAAACCCAGGAAGTCTGGCCCACAGTCCGCAGAGGAACCCGTCATGAGCACAAGTTACCTGGAATCAGTCATAGGGCTTCCAGGCAATGGAATCTTGAGGTACAGAATACAAATAAGAATGCTTAAAATGTTTAAAGACATTCTCAAAAATGCAGACAAGATACAGAAGAAAAAGACAAAGTAAATAAGAGAGGAGAAAACAATTAAAATGTTTAGAAATAAAAAATGTAAGTTGGGCACAGTGGCACGTGCCTTAGTCCCAGCTACTTAGGAGGCTGAGGCGGGAGCATTGCTTGAGCCCAGAAGTTTGAGGCTGGAGTGTTCTATAATGGCACCTGTGAATAGCCACTGCACTCCACCCTGGGTGACATAGTGAGACCCTGTCTCTAAAGAAAAAATAAATACACACACTTAAAAATTAAAATTCAAGACTTTAAAGTTAAAGCACAAGTTAGATCGATAGATGTGAGGAAATAAATTACTAAACTGAACGATCTAGCTAAAGAATGCCCAGGATGAGTCATGGAGAGACAAAGACTTGGAACAAATATGAAAGCAAGTTAAGAGAAACAAAGAGGCCGGGCGCGGTGGCTCACGCCTGTAATCCCTGCACTTTGGAAGGCCAGGACGGGTGGATCACGAGGTCAAGAGATCAAGACCAGCCTGGCCAACATGGTGAAACCCCGTCTCTACTAACAATACAAAAATTTGCTGGGCTTAGTGGTGTGCACCTGTAATCCCAGCTACTTGGGAGGCTGAGGCAGGAGAATCGCTTGAACCCAGGAGGCAGAGGTTGCAGTGAGCTGAGATCACACCACTGCACTCCAGCCTGGCAACAGAGTGAGACTCTGTCTCAAAAAAAAAAAAAAGAGAAACAAAGAAAAGGTGAAGGACCAACATGCATACATCTGATGGTCTGGGAAGGAAACAAACAGAGGAAGTGAAGAAAGGCCCATATGCCAAGGGCTGATCCTCAGACTCAGGAACTCAACCTAAAGCATGATCCCACACCTGAACACACCACAATGAAACTACAATAGACCAAAGACAAAGGCACACACTGAAAATCCACCAGAAAGGGCAGACCGCTTCAGAACACTGCGTAGCAGGCAGACAGCTTGACTTCTCATGGGGGTATCGGAAACCAGAATACAAAGGAATATTGCTTTCAAAGCAGTAAGTCAAAATTATTGTCAAAGTGGGACTGACTGCCTGTCTACTGAAATTATCATTCAGGAATGATGGGAAAATAAAGATATTTACAGGCAAAAAGAAACTAAATGAATTTATTAAGAGATCTTCAATTAAAAAGTTTATTAAGAAAGTGCTTCAAAAAGAAGAAAATTGAACGCAGAAGGAAGGCCTGAGATGAGCAAAGAAAGGGGTAAAAAATATACCAATAAAGTTAAAAAAAAAAAACCACTGACTAGAAAAAACACATAACTAATTTAAGGTGAAATAAAAACAAGGTGAAACTAAAATATTGGTCAAAAATAACATGCAAAATAGGATAACGTGATTCTAGTAAAAGCATTCTAAAATTTTTGTATTTCAGACAAAATGGGAGAAGGATAGAAAAATTGTAGAATTGCAGAAATTAAGTACACACATTTGAATTTTCAAACACCACTAAAAAATTGGCAATTTTCAAAGAGATAAGAAAGAGAAATACAGTTTATAATTTTCAGAATAATAGCAAAAGCCAGGCACAGTGGCTCACGCCTGTAATCCCAGCACTTTGGGAGGTCAAGGCAGGTGGATCACCTGAGGTCAGGAGTTCGAGACCAGCCTGACCAATATGGTGAAACCCATCTCTACTAAAAATACAAAAATTAGCCGGGCATAGTGGCATGTGCTTGTAGTCCCAGGTACTCAGAAAGCTGAGACAGGAGAATTGATTGAGGTGGGAGGTGGAGGTTGCAGTGAGCCAAGATTGCGCCACTGCACTCCAGCCTGGGCAACAGAACGAGACTCCATCTCAAAATAATAATAATAATCACTCCAGCCTGGGCAACAGAACGAGACTCCATCTCAAAATAATAATAATAATAATAATAATAATAATAATAATAATCACTCCAGCCTGGGCAACAGAACAAGACTCCATCTCAAAATAATAATAATAATAATAGCAAGAGGAAATTGAATTTTCAAAAAGCAGAGTAAACAGGAAGTACAACATAAGATTGAGGGAAAATTTAAGGAATCAGTAATTATAATAAATGTAAATGAAAACAATTGCTAGTTAAATGACAGAAATTCTCTGGCTGAATTTTTTTTAGAACAGCCTTATGCTGCTTACAAGAAACACAACTAAAACTAAGGATTCAGATTTAAAATAAACTGATGGGAAAAAATATAGCACACGAATACTTATCAAAAGAAAAGCTATGTAAATATATTAACAGGAAAAACAAAAACAAAAAGTTGTGCTTTATAAGCCAACAAACTTACTGTGTAATGATGGAACAGCAGAAGGTATAACAGTCATGAAGCTGATACATCAAAAAACAGCCTCAACAGGAGAATGGCATGAACCCAGGAGGCGGAGCTTGCAGTGAGCCGAGATCGCGCCACTGCACTCCAGCCTGGGTGACACAGCCAGACTCCCTCTCAAAAAAAAAAAAAAAAAAACAGCCTCAAAATATAGAAAACACACCCTTTCAGGACACTGTTTCTTTGTTCGCAGAAGGAGAATTAGACACACTGAATGAACAGAATCATGAGCACTCAGTGAGATGCCAAATGTGAAAGTGAGTCATTAAATCAGAAAGTGCTACCTAGAGTAGGCGGTCATTATGAAGGAGAAAAATACCCACTGTGTGCTGCAGAGAGCAGGCCTGGCCCGGGGAACAGGCTAAATACAGCAGGGCTCCTAGAAGACAGGCTAGGTAGAGCGATTCTGGCCTAGAACACAGACTAGACAGAGCAGGGCTCCAGGAAGACAAGTTAGATGGAGCAGGGCTCCTGGAAGACAGGCTAGATAGCGCGGGGTTCCTGGAAGACAGGCTAGATGGCGCTCAGCTCCTGGCAGACAGGATAGATGGCGCACGGCTCCTGGCAGACAGGATAGATGGCGCACGGCTCCCGGAAGACGGGATAGAGGGAGAAGGGCTTCTGGACCACTTGAGGTCAAGGGTCCTTTGAATCCTACAGAGTCTCTCCCCACCCCCAAAATGCACACCTGCAGGGAACATACCACCAGTATCAAGGGTTTCACAGACACCCTAAAGGACATCCTTGAAATTCTTCAGTGTTCCTAGGGCTCCTGATATAAACAGTTGAAGGCAAGACATCCAGAAGCCATGTCATGGGAGGAAAGTTGAAAGAGATGAGGCCTCATCTTGGAGAAAAGTTGCCTCCTTAGGGTGCTGAGAGACATCCTCAATTACTTGGAGAGCTATCATGAGTGAGGGGTGTTGTTCTCAGTGGTTCTAAGGGTCAGAGTTGAGGCCACTCAGTGAGGCTCATGGTGGTGTGTCTGTTCCTAAGAAAAGTATTTCCAAAGGGAGAGCACTGGCATGACATGAAGTGATGAAAACGGTGCAGCAAAAGTACAGTGAGGAAGGAAGGAAGGAAGGTGAGGAAGGAAAGAAGGAAGTACGGTGAGGAAGGAAGGAAGTATGGCAAGGAAGGAAGGAAGGAAGGTGAGGAAGGAAAGAAGGAAGTACGGTGAGGAAGGAAGTATGGTGAGGAAGGAAGGAAGGTGAGGAAGGAAAGAAGGAAGTATGGTGAGGAAGGAAGGAAGGAAGGTGAGAAAGGAAGGACGGCGAGGAAGGAAGGACAGTGAGGAAGGAAGGACGGCAAGGAAGGATGGATGGATGGCAAGGAAGGAAGGAAGGAAGTACGGCAAGGATGCTGCAGGAGGGAGCGCTGCTGCTAGGGGAATGCTGGTCCCGACTTCTAGCTCCCTTCCAACTCCCTAGAATGCAAGGATCAACAGCGAAGGATCATGTGTGGGGATATTCTCTCCCTCCTTTCCTTCCTTTCTTCCTTCCTTCCCTCCCTCCCTCCTTCCTTCCCTTCCTCCTTTCTTCCTTCCTTCCCTCCTTTCCTTCCTCCCCTTCTTCCTTCTTTCCTTCCCTTTTTCCTTCCTTCCTTTCTTCCTTCCTCTCCTTCTTCCTTCCTTCCCTTCGCCCTTCCTTTCTTCCTCCTTCCTTTCTTCCTTCCTTCCCTCTCTCCTTCCTTTCTTCCTTCTTTCCCTCCCTCCTTCCTTTCTTCCTTCTTTCCCTCCCTCCTTCCTTTCTTCCTTCTTTCCTTCCTTCCTTCCTCCTTTCCTTCCTTCCTCCCTCCCCTTCTTCCTTCTTCCTTCCCTCCCTCCTTCCTTCCTTCCCTCCCTCCTTCCTTCCCTCCCTCCTTCCTTCCCTCCCTCCTTCCTTCCTTCCCTCCCTCCTTCCTTCCCTCCTTCCTTCCTTCCCTCCTTCCTTCCTTCCCTCCTTCCTTCCTTCCCTCCTTCCTCCTTCCTTCCTTCCTCCCTCTCTTCTTTCCTTCCCTCCTTCCCTCCTTCCTTCCTCCCCACCTTTCTTCCTTCCTTCCTCCTCCCCTTTCTTCTTTCCTTCTTCCTTCCTTCTTCCCTCCCTCCCTCTGTCCTTTCTCCCCTCCTTCCTTCTTCCTTCCTTCCTTTCCCCTTCCTTCCTTCCTTTCCCCTTCCTTCCTTCCTTCCTTTCTTCCACAACTGTTTACAGAGCACCTACCACATGCCAGGAGCCATTCTAGCTGGAGATGCGCCAATGACCTTTTACTCTACTGCAGGAAACAGAGAATGAACAAGATAATTGGAGACTTTTAAATGTTATGAAGAAAACAGAGGAATGAGACCAAGTCTCCCAGAAAGCTAGATGGAGGCCTGGTTATTAGAAAGCCATTAAAAAGAATGGTTTGAGCTGGGACCTGAATGACCAGAGCCACGACAGATCAGAGTTCTGGGGTCCCGCAGGCCCAAAGGTGGGAGAGGGGAGCAGCCTGGAGAGGCTGGAGCATGCTCAAAGGTGGGAGGGGGGAGCAGCCTGGAGAAGCTGGAGCACAGGGAGAGGAAGGCACAATCATGAGGCTATGAGAAAATTTAATTTCCTTTCCCTTGGGATGATCTTGTGTTGGCTTAAATGAGACCCAAGGCTTTTGTCCCACCTGTTTACTTTTGCTTTTATTACCTGTGCTTTTGGGGTCATTTTGAAAAAATCATTGCCAAAACCAATGTCATGAAGTTTTTCTTCTATGTTTTCTTCTAAGAGTTTTACAGTTTCCGGTCTTACATTTAAATCTTCAATAGATTTTGAGTTGATTTTTGTGCATAGTATAAGAAAGGGGTCTAATTCCATTCTTTCTCACGCAAAAAGCTTCTGCATAGCAAAGGAAGTAATAGGGTGAAAACACAGCCTATGGAATCGGAGAAAATATTTGCAAACCATATATCTGATAAGGGATTAATGTCCAAAATATATAAGGAGCTCTTACAACTTAATAGCAGAAAAAATGACTACCCCAATTTAAAAATGAGCAAAGGATTTGAATAGACATTTCTCCCAAGAAGATAGACGAATAGTCAACAGATATATGAAAAGATGCTCGACATCACTAATCATTAGGGAAATGCAAATAAAAATCACCACGAGATGTGTAGCCTTACACCTGCTAGAAGGGCTATTATCAAAAAAATAAATAAAAGATAAGAAGTATTAGCAGGGGTGCAGAGACATTAGAGCCCTGTACACTGTTGGTGGGAATACCATTATGGAGAACAGTATGGAGGCTCCTCAAAAAATCATAAATAGAATTACCATATGACCCAGCAATTCCACTTCTGGATGTTGATTCAAAAGAGTTGAAATCAGTATCTCACAGAGCTATTGCTCTCCCGTGCTCACTGTAGCATTTTTCACCATAGCCAAGTTGTGCAAATGTCCTTCAACAAATGAATGGGGGCCGAGCGCGGTGGCTCACACCTATAATCCCAGCACTTTGGGAGGCTGGGGTGGGCCTGAGGTCAGGAGTTCGAGACCAGCCTGGCCAACATGGCGAAACCCCGTCTCTACTAAGAATACAAAATTAGCCGGGCATGGTGGCACATGCCTGTAATCCCAGCTACTTGGGAGGCTAAGGCAGGAGAATTGATCGAACCTGTGAGGTGGAGGTTGCAGTGAGCCAAGCTCATGCCACTGCACTCCAGCCTGGGCAAGAGAACAAGACCCTATCTCAAAAAACAAACAAAACAACAACAACAACAAAAAAGAATAGTTAGAAAAACTGTGGTGCATACACACAATGGAACATTACTCAGCCTTTCAAAAAAGCAAATCGTGCCATTTGCTACTGACTGAACTTGGCAGACATGATACTAAGTGAAATAAGCCAGTCACAAAAGGACAAATACTGAATGATTCCACTTGCACTAAATACCTAAAGTCAAACTCAGAAAAGCAGAGCACAGAATAGTGGTTGTCAGGGGCTGGAGGAACAGGAAAATGGGGAATCGCTGTTCAATGGATATGAAGTTTCCATTATGCAAGATGAACAAATTCTGGAGATCTGCCGTCTAACATTACGCCTGCAGTTGACAATACTGATTGTACACTCACAAATTTGTTGAAAGGGTAGGACTCATTAAATTTTCTTACAAAATTTTTTTACAAACTTCTGTTTATTATTTTTTAAATTTTTTAAATAATAAATGAGATCCAATGCTTTGATAGCTAAGACCTATATAATTGAGACAGTGAAAATTAGCCATGCTGAGGCCAGGCGCAGTGGCTCACACCTGTAATCCCAGCACTCTGGGAGGCCAAGGTGGGCAGATCACTTGAGGTCAGGAGTTTGAGACCAGCCTGGCCAACGTGGTAAAACCCCGTCTCTACCAAAAATACAAAAATTAACAAGGTGTGGTGGTGCGTGCTTGTAGTCCCAGCTGCTTGGGAGGCTGAGGCAGGAGAATCGCTGGAACCCAGGAGGTAGAGGTTTCAGTGAGCCAACATTGCGCCACTGCACTCCAGCTTGGGCAACAGAGTGAGACGTGAGGCCCTGGCTCAAAAAAAAAAAAAAAAAAGGAAAAAAAGCTAATGAGCCATGCTGCAGGCAAACTGAGATAAACAAGGTTTCCAATGGGACACAGCTGAAGCCAACAGAACAGAGAAACCAAGAAACCCAGGCAGGACCATGCTGTAGCTGCAAGAATGACCAGCGCTCCTCCTTGGACTCGCCCAGCACAAGGCCAGGCCCTGGAAGCCTCAGCAGGTGTGTTCCCCCTTGCTACGGCAAGCCAAGCAGACCCAACGCTGCAGATTACAGGGATGCTCCTGGGGGCTATTTTTTCTGGTGGGCTGCATCATCATCATATTAGCCAGCATTATTCTTACCAGATGCCATTCAGTTTGCAGAGAACTTTGCACACAATTGGAGGTGTTTCACGTTTGCCATAACCCTACGGGGTGACTATTATTATCATTATCTATTGTTATTATCCTTCTTCCGAGGGAGCAGGACTGAAACTTAGTGAGCGAAAGCCATAAAGGAGTGGAGCCCACAAGGAGCAGGTGCTCACTCCATAGCCGCCTGCAGACACTGCCCTCAGCAATGCACTGTCAGTATCCTGAGTGCTGGGAGGGGAAGAGCCAGCTTTCTCTTGTAGGTCTGACTCCTAAGTGCTTGCTCGTAATCATCATAGTTTACCACCTTTCCACTGACACAGGCACTAAGTGAATTTCAGTCCTAATGCAAAATGCAAGAGGCATCCCATTCCAGTACACTTGATCCCAGGAGAACCTGCAAGACTTGTAAATCCAAACATATTTCATTCCAAATAGGCACTAATCCCTCTAACAAGAGCAGGGACTTGTAATTCAAACACATGATTTGAGTTGATAATCCTGGAGCAGACATCATCCTTCAGCTGTGTAACTGCAACATTTTAAGGGGCACCACCAGGGCCAAGCTAGGTTTGTGGGGTCTCCCAAGGACACCTCCTCATTTACAGATTCCCCACCAATCTGTAGAACCAGCATGTTGTAGGAGGCAGCTATTGGCCTTTGCAGTAATCAAAACAAGACTAATATTGGCAATATAATCAGCAGGCACTGGTGACTAATCCATCAGTAAACAAAATATTTTTCCACCCATCTTGGTTTAGCAGCCCCAAAGCTAACCCTTGTATACCCTGTCATTTGCGTCAAATACTACTTCCTCCTCAAAATCACTGTTGGATATTTTCTTTTAACAAGGCTTCCCTGCCTCCCTTGTTTAGAAATGAATAGAAGGATTCCCACTTGGAAAGAGTGAAGAGTGGAAGAAAAACCTGAACCCTAGAATCATTTGTTGTCAAATTGATTCCAAGCTGCATGACTTTCCAGCTTGGAGATCTTTGGCAAGTCACCTAAGTTCTCCAAGACCCTTTCTTCAAACTGGGGTAGAATCGTCTGCACTTCACAGGGTACAAGATAAATGAGACAGTAGCATGAAATCACTTAGCGCAATGTTAATACATAGGTCCCTTCACCTGCCAAGCAGGCTTTGAAGTCAGAGTCTGAGCTCTGTGCAGCCTCACCACCCACTAGACATGAGAACGCAGATAGCTCTCCGTCCTCCCAGAGCCTCAGCTGCTCTGAAAACCAAGGATGGGATGCCCCTGAGTCCTTTCCTCCTTCCCCAGCTCCCGACCCTGGTCCTCAGAGGTGACAGCGTTCACTGTGGCCCTTGGCATCTGCTCCTCATGTGTCAAGGAATAGGGCCCAGGCACCTCCCCAGGAAATTGCAGAGGCTGCACCAGCCCAGACCTGGTAGGACCATGGGCACACTGGCTGTATCCGTCCGTTGTTTTTTGTTTGTTTGTTTTTGAGATGGAGTTTCACTCTTGTTGCCCAGGCCACAGGGCAGTGGCGTGATCTCAGCTCACTGCAACCTCTGCCTTCTGGGTTCAAGTGATTCTCCTGCCTCAGTCTTCCAAGTAACTGGGATTACAGGTGTCCGCCACCATGCCCAGCTAATTGTTTGTATTTTTAGTAGAGACAGGGTTTCACCATGTTGGCCAGGCTGGTCTCGAACTCCTGACCTCAGGTGATCCACCTGCCTCGGCCTCCCAAAGTGCTGGGATTACAGGCATGAGCCACCGTGCCCGGCCTATTGGTCCATTTTCACGCTGCTGATAAAGACATAGCCGAGACTGGGAAGAAAAAGAGGTTAATTGGACTTACAGTTCCACATGGCTGGGGAGGCCTCAGGATCATGGCAGAAGGTGAAAGGCGCTGCTTACATGTCGGCGGCAAGAGGAAATGAGAAAGAAGCAAAAGTGGAAACCCCTGATAAGCCCATTAGATCTCATGAGACTTATTCACTATCACAAGAATAGCACGGGAAAGACTGGCCCCCATGATTCAATTACCTCCCCCTAGGTCCCTCCCACAACACGTGGGAATTCTGGGAGACACAATTCAAGTTGAGATTTGGGTGGGGACACAGCCAAACCATATCAGTGGCCAAGAGCTCAGGAGGTTGGGTGTGGACTGAGTCCGAGGGTGACTTCCCACCCCACCATCTGACCTCTCTGAACTTCAGTTTCTTCATCTGCAAAAGAGAAACAATAGCACTTATTTGTCTGTATTAGTCAAGGTTCTCCAGAGAAACAGAACTAATAGGACAGAGAGAGAGAGATTTATTCTGAGGAGTTGTTCATGCAATTATGGAGGCTAAGTCCCAAGATGGGCAGTCAGCAAGCTAGAAACCCAGGAAAGCCGACAGCTCTGGTCTGAGTCAGAGCCTACGGATCTCCAAACACTAAGTGCCAGTCTGAAAGCCAGCAGGCAAGAGGCCCAAGAAGAATTGATGTTTTCCTCTCAGTCCAAAGGCAGGAAAAGAACAGTGTCCCAGCTCCAGCAGTCAGGCAGGAAGAGCCCTTTCGTGCCAGATTTTTTGTTCTATCTGGGTCTTCAAAAGAGACCCACATAGACTTCAACTGACTGGATGCAGCCCACGCCCATCAGAGAGGGCCACCTGCCTCGCTCGGCCCACCCATTCAAATGCAGACCTCACTTAGCAATGCCCTCAGAGACACATTACACAGTTGGTAACGCTCCACCAAATATGGCACCCTTGGCCCAGTCAAGGTGATCCATAAAATTAACCATCGTACCATGTCATTTCGTTGTTGTCAGGGGTCAATGAAATAAAGCATTCGAGTGGTTAAAGAGGTACTCAAGATGTGTACCTATTACCACCGACATCATTATAACAGCAGGACACGGGTACATCAGATTCCCAACATTGCTAAAGCCACGGTGTGATGATTGGGATGAGCTAAAGTATTATAATTGTCTTCTCCATGAGCTGTAAGAAGAACAAACAGTGGCCAGGCATGGTGGCTTACACCTGTAATCCCAGCACTTTGGGAGGCTGAGGGTGGGAAGATCACTTGCACCCAGGAGTTTGAGAATAGCCTGGGGAACAAAGGGAGGCCTCATCCCTACAAAAATCAAAAAGAGTAACTGGGCATGGTGGTGCACACCTATAATCCCAGCTACTCGGGAGGCTGAGGTGGGAGGATCACTTGATCCCAGAGGTTGAGGCTGCAGTGAGCCATGTTCACACCACTGCACTCCAGCCTGGGTGACAAAGCTTGAGGCCCTGTCTCAAAAAAAAAGGAAAAGAAAAGAGGCTGGGCGTAGTGGCTCATGCCTGTAATCCCAACATTTGGGAGGCCAAGGCGGCAGGATCATTTGAGGTCAGGAGTTCAAGACCAGCCTGACCAACATGGTGAAACCCTGTCTCTACTAAAAATACAAAAATTAGCCAGGCGTGGTGGCACTTGCCTATAATCCCAGCTACTCAGAAGGCTGAGGCAGGAGAATCACTTGAACCTGGGAGGCAGAGGTTGCAGTGAGCCAAGATGGTGCCATTGCACTCCAGCCTGGGCAACAGAGCGAAACTCCATCTCAAAAAAAAAAAGAACAACAAAGTGGTGAAAGGGCATGGGTCCCTGGTCAGGTCAACACCATCACCTCCCCCAGGAAGCCCTGCCCACCCAACCACACCCTTTGTCTGCCCACTGACTTCCCAGAGCTCTTGCCTGCCCAGTCCTGGGGCAGAGCGTCCCTGAGTCCTAGTTTAATTGTCCACACATCCGTACCCCGTCCACCTCTAATCTAACCTGCTGCCAGACAGTGTCCATATGTCAAGCTGTGTGTGCCCTGGTGCCACCCAGCACACCCACGTCCCCACTCATCCATGCAAGCTCCTCCCAACTGTCAAGATGAAAGTGTCACTTGTCAAAAGTGCACCAGGTGCCAGCCTCTGAGCAGGTGCTTCATTGCCTCTGTTATTTCATTTAACTATCATGCATCATGACAAATAAATGATTTGAAGAGTCTCTTAGGGAGGGTGCTATTGAAGAAAACATGCTCTGCTGCCCAGGTGACAGGAAGTGAGGGCCTGAGAGTAGGTTTAGAGGACCCGAGACAGACAAGCTGTCTCAAGAGAAATGGACAGGAACTAGGGGTTGAGGGAGCAGAGACAGGACCAACCCTACAGCAAAGGAAGGCGGGAGGCGCAGGCCCGTCCTACCTTCCCAGGATTTAGCTGAATCCCAGGACTCTGGAGGAAGGGTGCAGGAGTCTTGAGGTGATGCCTTCCCCAGAGTCTGGTCACCTGGGAAGGTGGATGCCGGAAGAGCTTCAGGGTCGAGCCCAGGATCTGCATTTTAACACACTTCCCACATCGTGTTTGGGAACCACCGCTCCACCTCTCATGAGGAGGAAACAGGCCTGTGAAAGGAAAGAGACTTGGAATGAAGGAACCCCAGAGCTGAAGGGCCTCCGAGCTCACCCAGCCCCAGCTCACTCTCAAACAAGACGTATTTGTAGCAGCAGTTTCTGCTCAGTCCCTTCTGTGACAGCAATGTCACTACCTCCCAGAAGTGCGTCTCAGAAACAACTCACTTCGCAGTAGCAGACGAACTCACTCCTGGGCTTTGCCATTCTTTAAAGACTAACAGCCTTAGAAGAAATCATTGCAGAGCTGGCCACAGGCCACCTGGGAGCTAGGCAGAATCTGTCTTTGGCCCCAGCCTCTCTGTGATCTTTTCTGTTGCCATGGAGGGATTTCCCAGGACCCATGAGTCAGAGCCCTGAGTTCAAATGCCAGCTCTGCTGTGTGACCCTGGCAGGTTACTCACCTTCTCTGAGCCTCCCTTTTCCAACAGGTATAATGGAAATATGACCTACCTTATGGGCTGGTGTGATGGGGAAATGGCTTAACAAACAAATGAGATGCCTGCAACCCCCAAAAGTCCCTTCCTGTCCCCTTTCACCATATCTCCTCCCCTTCCTCAGTCTCAGGGGCCTGTAGCACCCCTTCCCCCGGCCTTGATTGCTCTCGGGGGACCACTGTGTGGGTTGCTTTCACCATGTGGACAGTAATCCTCTGAGTGGCTCCCTCCCCAGGCACTTCCGCATTCCTGATCTGCCTTTTCCCTGAGCTTCCGAAGACTTTCTCCCCGGGAAGAAGCACAGCTGAACTGAGAATGAACAACCTCAAGGGGGGTGAGCACAGCACTTCACAGTTTGCAGAGCCTCTGGCCCCACCCTCTCATCTGTCCTCTCTCAGCACAGGGGCAGGTCAGGGTGATGAAGCAGGAGCGGGGACAGAGGTCTGCAGAAGCCAGTCCCACAGATCTGGGGACGCTCACCTGGCCAGGCACCCACTTCCCACCCTGACCCCAACCAACCTCCACCTCCCACCACACTAAGGAGCCCCGCTGCTCCTTTAGGACCCTGGGTTATCGCTCCTCTTTAGGGGACAGCCTTCCGCCTTGGTGGGTGGGGCAGAGACTGAGGCTCCAGGCATCAGCCTCACCCCTGACAGAAGGGGCGCCCTCAGCCCTGGGCTCTCTCCACCCTCCCTCTAAGACCCTCAAGGTGTACAGAGCTATATATGTTACAGGAAAGGGGTCCCGATCCACAACCCAAGAGAGGGTTCTTGGATCTCACCCCAGAAAGAATTCAGGGTGAGTCTGTAAAGTGAAAGCAAGTTTATTAAGAAAGTAAAGGAATAAAGAATGGCTACTCCATAGGCAGAGCAGCCCCGAGGGCTGCTGGCTGCACATTTTTATGGTTATTTCTTGATGATCTGCTAAACAAGGGGTGGATTATTCATGCCTGCCCTTTTTAGACCATATAGGCTAACTTCCTGACATTGCTGTGGCATTTGTAAACTGTCATGGCCCTGGTGGGAGTGTAGCAGCGAGGACGACCGGAGGTCACTCTCATGGCTGTCTTGGTTTTTGTGGGTTTTGACCAGCTTCTTTACTGCAACCTGTTTCATCAGCAAGGTCGTTATGACCTGTGTCGTCTTGTCCCATGACTTAGAATGCCTTAACTGTCCAGGAATGCAGCCCGGTAGGTCTCAGCCTCATTTTACCCAGCTCCTACGCAAGATGGAGTTGCTCTGGTTTACATGCCTCTGACATGAGCATGTGTGCCCACCTCGATCAAATCCATCAGGGGCACCTGCACCACTTAGCCCTGCCAGCCATTGGCCTGCTCCTACGGTGGGTCCCCTCCAGAAGTCCCCCAGAGCTCTTCCTCTCTTCACCTGCTTCCCGCCCACACATGCCCTGTGCTCCAGCCACAGGCACCCTGTCCAGATCCCTCCCCCATCTCCATACCTTCGCCCATGCTGTTCCCCCACCTGGCATGCTGGCACCCTCCTCCCCACCCCCACCCCAATCCAGCCACCTGCAAACTCCTCCAAGTTCCAGCTCAAGCCTTTATCCCCTTGGAAGCTTCCCAGAGAGGCTCAGACAGAAAAGACACAGCCAACTTACTATTCAGTGAGCCTCTCTCCCTGTCAGGGATACGAGGAAGGCCTGTCACTGAGACCCTACGATCCTGCCCAGCAGGGCTGCCACTCTCCAGCCCACTGTGGCACTCATATTGAGGACAGGGTCACATACCTGGTAATTATAACTTCAAGTCTATTTAACCATATGCCAGGCACTGTGCCAGGAGCCTTGCGTGGATCAACTCATCCAATCCTCACCCTCAGCCTAGAACTCGGAGGGCACAGAAGAGGCACAGCCACAAGGCTGCTGCTGCAAAGGACGACACAGGCAAATGCAGGTTGGAATAGGTGAAAGGGTCTCTCAAGGAAATGAGCTGGAGTCGGGCCTGGAAGAGCAGCAGAACATGCTCCTGGCCCTGCCACACACCTGGGTCCCAGAGCTACATGGAGCTGGCTGCCACCCCTGTCTGCAACCCTGGCCATCCCCGCAGGACGCCTGACAACTTCCTTACCCTGGCCTGCTGGCTAGAAACACCCGCCAGGCAGATGGCCTTTCTGACTGGCCTTCTCCTGGCTACTGCAGCCTCACCGGAGGGCCAGGGCCAGGGCCAGGGCCAGGCCAGGGGTGGCTCCTGCCTCAGCAGGACAGGGCAGCTCCAAAGGTGGGCTCTGCACCAGGGTCTCCCCTGAGCCAGGCAGGGGCTCCCCACGGGAGACAGTGCCAACCGCACAGGCCAGGGGTGCAAATTGAGGCTGGGGAAGGAGAGGCTGATCTCCTGGTGATCAGGGGGGCAGCACCAGCCTCAGCCATGCAGGTGTGAATTCCTCCCCACAGCCTGAGATCAGTGCCTCACCCCCGCCCTCTCTCCCCAGGCTCCCCGCTGGATTGCCCCTGCCTGACACCCCATGCTGGCAACCAGAGGCTGATTCTGCCCGACTGCCTCCAGCTCCTCGAGTGTTCAGCCTGGGTTCCAGAGGGAGGCCATACAGCCCCGTCAGAGACC
The DNA here is from genome assembly GCF_000001405.40 of Homo sapiens. Lineage (NCBI taxonomy): Eukaryota > Metazoa > Chordata > Mammalia > Primates > Hominidae > Homo > Homo sapiens. Next base: position 11,123,984 of record NC_000002.12, read on the forward strand.
ACCAGGGAAGTATCACAGACCGCAGCCAGCGGGTGAGCTCAGCTGGGAGTTTGCACCAAGCCTGGCTCCGGAGTGTGGCCTGACTGACGCAGGCTGGGACCACCCTACATGGGCCGGCAGGTGTGGGTACGTCCTGGGGCTCAGAGAGGGGCTTGGAAGGCCAAAGGCAAGGCGGCCGGACCCGTTATCGCAGCACATAGCATCCCCTTGACTTGCTGGGAGAAGCTTGCGCCCTCATAGTTAGCAATTCCATGGCCACTGGAGGCCAGAGTGGGAGCTGGGAGGCTCTGGACACCATAGCTTTGGGCCCCCCGGCCCTCTCGGGCTGGTGTTCACCTGTAAATGCTGCTTCCGCTGTTCAAGCGCTGATGCTCCTCGTCGCTCACGGGTGAACAGCTGCTGCCCACCTCCAAGACCCCCCGCACCCTGCACGGCAGGTGACCTCTTGCGTCCCTTCTGGGCCCTCCCTGTGGATTTAGAATGTCGCACCTGCCTGCCGAGGCTCACAGCTGGGTTCCTTTCACAGACACCGTATCCGGACAATCCATTTGTTCTGTCTTTAATCAGAAATGGCCATAGCGAACTACCGTGCGTCCAACCTGAGACACCTGGGGATGGTGGAGCCAGGGGAGATGCCGCGGGCCTGAAGGAGGATGCGAAGCTCCAGGGTGCCCCCTGCTGCCTCCGGAGCGTGCTGCAGTCATGGCCGACGTGGACCTGGCAACCTGCTCCGATCTTCAGAAATATTATCCACGAGACCTGCTTTCTCCCATAATGCATTCGGCTGGCCACCCATGGGAAGCTACAGAATAAAGAACATAAAGACATGCTCCAGAATATGTTCCCAATGCTTAAAATTCCCCCAACTCCCAGGAATCTAGAGTCTTTGAAATATAGATCATTGAGTATCTTTTTGATAACCGAAGTAAAACTGTTTATGTGAGATGCTTTTTCTCTGCAAATAACAACTGAAGAAGAGGCCAGAAACTATAGTCAGAAGGGATTCTGGTCCTGGGGGTCCATTTCTTGCCTGTGCGGTCTAGGTGGGTTGTGGTCTTCCAGTTTCTGCCCCTAAATCCACATGTGATCGGCTCCACTTCACAAGGCCGTCACAACACTTCACAAGAGAAATGCAAGAAAGCACACTTTTCAAGCAGTGTACACAGTTGCTGTTTTTAATGCCATTATCCATCAGGGAATTTCTCACTTGTCTCCCAGAGGCTCGAGTGGATTGAAAATATAAGGTCTATTTAATGAAAATTATCAAGGAAGTTCCTGGGGAAAAATCCTTAGGCGTAGTCAAGTATTAGTCAAACCACAGCTCTGCAGTTCCAATAAAGCACAGACTTTAGAAGTTGTATGAGTGAATTCCATGCAAGGCCTGCCACTTATTGCCTGGGTCCCTGGACAAGACACTCAGCCTCTTGAAGACTTTGTTTTCTCATCCATAAAATGGAGCTAATACTGTTCACCGAATGAGGTGAGGTGAGGACTGGAAATAATGCCTGACGTACAGTGGGGGCTGAATACAAGGTTGGTTCTTTTTTTTAAGATGGAGTCTCGCTCTGTCACTCAGGCTGGAGTGCACTGGCATGATCTCAGCTCACTTCAACCTCCACCTCGAGGTTTCAAGTGATTCTCCTGCCTCAGCCTCCCAAGTAGATGGGATCACAGGCTCGTGCCTACCCACACCCAGCTAATTTTTGTATTTTTAGTAGAGATGTGGTTTTGCCATGTTGGCCAGGCTGGTCTCAAACTCCCGACCTCAGGTGATCTACCCACCTCAGCCTCCCAAAGGGCTGGCAGGAATTACAGGTGCGAGCCACTGTGCCTGGCCATACAAGGTCGGTTTTATCCCTTAATAGATCCCAGAAGGAATTCAAATCTGTATAATCTGTGATTGGTTGAATTGTGCTTCTCAAAATTTGCATTGAAGTGCTAATCCCCAGCACCCCAGAATGTGACCTTATTTGGAACCAGGGTCATTGCCGATGTGATGAGTTCGGATGAGGTCATACTGGAGTAGGGTGGGCTGAGATCCAGTATGAATGTGCCCTCATAAAACAGGAGAAATTTAGACAGAGACACACAAAGAAACAACACCATGTGAAGATGAAGGCAGAGATTAGGGTGATGCTTCTGCACACCAAGGAACATGGAAGATTGCCAGGAAGGTCCCAAAAGTGGGGTAAGGGGCCTGGCACAGATTCTCCCTCACTGTCTCAGAAGGAATGAACCCCACCGACCCCTCTTCTCAGACCTCTGACCTCCAGCACTGTGACACGCTCCATTTCTCTTGTTTAGCCACCCAGTTCATGGCATTGTGTTAGGGCAGCTCTGGCAAACTAATACATAATCCAAGAGAGACTGTCATAGATTTACTATCTTTACTGTTGAATAATCCTTACCAATGGGCCCAGGCCGGGCATGGTGGCTCACGCCTGTAATCCCAGTACTTTGGGTGGCCAAGCAGGGTGGATCGCTTGAGCCCAGGAGTTTGAGACCAACCTGGGTAACATAGCGAGAGTCCATTGCTACAGAAGAATAAACAAAATTAGCTGGGTGCGGTGGTACACACCTGTGGTCCCAGTTACTCAGGGCACTGAGGTGGGAAGATCACGGGGCGCAGGAGGCTGCAGTCAGTCGTGATGGTGCCACTGCACTCCAGCCTGGACGATAGAGGGAGAGCCTGTCTCAAAAAAAAAAAAAAAGCCCAGGAAGGTAGGGTCAGAGCCTAGACAAGAACCCAGTTCTCTGGATTCTCAATTCTGTGCTCTCTGCACTACCCCTGACAATCATATCTTAGGCGTTAACATGATTGACCAGGTGCAGTGGCTCACACCTATAATCCTAGCACTCTGGGAAGTCAAGGTGGGCAGATTGCTTGAGCCCAAGAGTTTGAGATCAGCCTGGGCAACACAGTGAGACCCTGTCTCTACAAGAAAACACAAAAACTACCCAGGCATGGTGGCGCATGCCTGTAGTCCCAGCTACTTGGGAGGCTGAGGTGGGAGGATTGCTGAACCCTGGAGTTGGAGGCTGCAGGGAGCCAAGATCATGCCACTGCATTCCGGTCTACTCCCTAAAGATATGCAGTAGACACGGGAGGAAGCACGTCCGTTCAGACTTTTCTCATGCATTCAACTCATATTATAATAACAACACCAGAATCAGACTGCATATACCACTTTGCAACACGTTTTGTTATTGTTGTTTTATCATGTTTGTTTTGCTTAACATTATATAGATGACATCTTTACAAGTAATAAGTATAGTAAAGATACCACAAGTAACATAACCAGTCTTCTATTGATGGAATTTTTTTTTTTTTTTTTTGAGACGGAGTCTTGCTCTTTTGCCCAGGCTGGAGTGCAGTGGCACGATCTCAGCTCACTGTAACCTCCACCTCCAGAGTTCAAGCAATTCTCCTGCCTCAGCCTCCCGAGTAGCTGGGACTACAGGCATGCACCACCATGCCCGGCTAATTTTTTGTACTTTTAATAGAGATGGGGTTTCACCATGTTGGCCAGGTTGGTCTCGAACTCCTGACCTCAGATAATCCACCCGCCTCGGCCTCCCAAAGTGCTGGGATCACAGGCGTGAGCCACTGCACCTGACCCTTGATGGACATTTAGATTGTTTCCTTTTTTTTTTTAACTAACACAAATAACACTGCAGAAAATAGCCTCAAGTAACTTTGCACATTTGTATGTTTTTTTGCAGAATAAATGCCTAAACATGGCAAATCTAATATGTTTGTGATGGTTTTAAATAACCTCTATAAATTATTTGATCCTCCTCCCATCAAAAGTGGAGTTTAATTCTCCTCCCTTTGAATATGGGCCAGTATTCATACTTGTTTCTAATAAACAATGTGGTAGAAGTGGCACAGGGTGGCTTCTGTGGTTAGGATAGAAAAGGTGACACTGCTTCCACCTGGTTCCCTCTTTGTCAGTTCCTCATCCTTGAAACACAGCCACTTCACACTGGAGAGAAGCCCAAGCCACATGGAGGGGCCGCAGCTGGCCGCCAGACCCACCTGAGGTCACAGCCGACAGCTGGCATCAACCTCCAGCCTTGAGAGTGAATGAACCTTCGGATGGCCAGGTCCCATCTCATTATTTTATATCGAAATGATTTACTCTCAAAAGAAAAATGAAAGAAATACAAATTATAGCAATGTTATCTTTAGCAAGGACTGCTTGCAAGGTTGGCCCTTGGTTCGTATCTGGGAAATTGGATTTGGGGAGGGTTCCCGCCCTTCCCTGATATGAATGGCTCACTGCCCCTAAACTGTGTAAACACTGTGGTTTATGTCTTCGTACTGGGAGTCCAGAATTTTGGTACATGCTAGGCAGAGGGGGCCTTTGTGACTAGCCTGCAGTAAAACCCTCGGTGCCAAATCTCTAGTGAGTGTCCCTGACAAATGACATTCCACACGTGTTGTCCCAACACACTTCTGGGGGAAGTGGGCGCGTCCAGCATGTGAGAGGGTCTTGGACCCTCACACTCCATTTCCTCTGGACTTGACCCATGTGCCTTTTTCCTTTGCTGAATTTGCTTCATTTCCAGTTGTCGTAATACATCATAGCCTCGAGTATCACTGTATGCTGAGTTCTGCGAGTTCTCCTAGCCAATCAACAAACCCAGGGTGGTCTTAGAGACCCCAACACGCCACAGCAACAAGACAACAGGGAAGCCGGCGCTTCCTGTATGTGTATACATTGCTGGTGGTACCTGGGCACTGTGAGAGCAACACAGCCTGTCTGTTGAGAGCCACTCAATGTCCACTTCCTCTGACTCAGTAATCCCATCTGGGAATGTGTCCTTTGGCAACAATTCCACAGCAGGAAGCAGAGGCTTGAAGATATTCATCACAGCTTGTGCTAAACCTGAACAAAACCTAAATGCCCAAGAAGAGAAAAAATTGGTTAAACACATTATCATGCATCAACTCTAAGAAACTGGCTACAATGAGATGTGTAAAGATTATAAAGCACCTGTGGTCCCAGCTACTCAGGAGGCTGAGATGGATCTCCTGAGCCCAGGGAGGTGGAGGCTGCAATGAGCTACGATCATGCCACTGTACTCCAGCCTGGGCGACAAAGTAAGACCCTGTGTCAAAAAATATATATATATATAAAGAGAAACATGAAAAAATATTGCTGATACATTAAAAAAAAAAATTTGGCCAGGCATGGTGGCTCACGCCTGTAATCCCAGCACTTTGGGAGGCCAAGGCAGGCAGATCACTTGAGTCAGGAGTTCAGGACAAGCCTGGCCAACATGGCGAAACCCAGTCTCTATTAAAAATACAAATATTAGTCGAGCACGGTGGCACACCTCTATAATCCCAGCTACTCAGGAGGCTGAGACAGGAGAATCGCTTGAACCCGGGAGGCGGAGGTTGTAATGAACAGAGATCGCCCCGCTGCACTCCAGCCTGGGTGATAGAACGAGACTCTGCCTCTAAATAAATAAATAAATAAATAAACAATTTTAAGCTGGGTACAAAATGGTAGGCACATTGACAGCAACTGTACAACCAACAAGTAAGACCCAAAGCGGCTACTTAGAAGTGAAAACGGTTGGGGCTACAAGAGGAAGGCCGGAGCGGATTTTTCCATAGATAAATTGGGCCTTCCTTTAATGTTGCTGTTCTGACGAACCCGGAGCTTTCTGGGGACGTGGTGGGAGCAGCTGACAAGGCAAGAACTGTGGCTCTGGGTGCTTCCTCTGCGGTCACCGCCTGGTAGGATGCCTTCAAGGTGTGCGCGTGCGGGAAGGAGAGAGAGGGTGGTAAAGCCAACGTTTTCATCCAAAAAGCAGAGGCTTACGGGACAAAGGGGACGGAAAATATCCCCTGCAAATTAAAAAATGCAGACACACATTTCCCCTGCCTTCGCCTCCCACGGACCCGCCCCTTCAGCTCCTTCCCTCGCGCTCCCAAGCTCCGGGGCCCCTGAGCCCTGCGCCGGCGGAACGGGGCGGAGCTCGCGACCCTCCCTCGTCCGCCGACCCGGGAAGGGGCGGGGGCCTACAGGAAGTGGGCGGGGCTGGCTCGCAGGGCGGAGCCTCGCCTCGCTCTGTGCATCGCAGGTGTGCTTGCTCCCGGGCTGGTGGGGCCACCCTGTGGCTGCCTGGGCTGGAACGTTCTGCCTCGCCCAGCTGAAGGCCCTAAACTTGCTACGCCTTTTGGGGTGAGGAAAACCCAATAAAAGACAACTCCAGCAACCTCCCAAACGCAGGGATTCTTGTGCTCCCCTGGAAAGTCTCAGATAAAGTTAGACCACAAAATGTGGGTGTGCCCTGAGCCCTCGCTCAAGGGCACAGAGCAAGTCACTGGCAGAGCAGGGACTGGAACCCGGTGTCCTGATCCCCAGGTGAGGCCAGCCTCAGAGCTGGCGGGAGGGGCAGGGCGGGGTTGGTCCTCCCAGGCTGGGGCGCAGTGAGGCTCACCCAGAGTGAATTTGGATGTTTTTCCAGGCAGAAGGACATGTAAAAAGAGACTGGCAGTGACTGACCTGGACTGGCAGGTGAGTTTTTTTTTCCCCCTCAACATTTTATTTTGAAATTTTTCGGACATACAGAAAAGTTGAAAGAATGGTAGGGCAGACACCCAACATATGCCCACCCATACGCCCACCACCTAGATTCTGCAGTTACGTTGTATTGTATTTGCTTTGTCACACATCAGTCCAGCCCTCTATCAACTCTCGGTCTGAAATGGTTTTTAAATTACATTTTAATTTTTAAAAACCAACCTCCAGCCGGGCGCGGTGGCTCACACCTGTGATCCCAGCGCTTTAGGAAGCTAAGGCAGGTGGATCAACTGAGGTCAGGAGTTCGAGATCAGCCTGGCCAACATGGTGAAACCCTGTCTCTACTAAAAATACAAAAGAAATTAGCTGGGTGTGGCGGTGCACACCTGTATTCCCAGCTACTCGGGAAGCTGAGGCAGGAGAATCGCTTGAACCTGGGAGGCAGAGGTTGCAGTGAGCCAAGATCATACCACTGCACTCCAGCCCCAGCAACAGAGTGAGACTCCGTCTCAAAAAAAAAAAAAAAAAAATCCGTTGAACTATTCAGCCTCTACATACATCAGGAACTCAATCAGTTGTGATGGTTTGTCACAGATGCCCTTGCTGGCCTTTTTTGCCCTGGTCCCTGTGTCTGGAGCCTGTGGCCAGGGCTGGAGGTATCTGAGCAAACTGCATGGCTGTTCCCAGCTGCTCAGGGCCACAGCCTGCGGTCAGCCTGACAAAGCCTCCCAGGACACACAGCAAGGACCCCCCAGGACACACCGTCCTCTCTAAAGACACTCACGGGATGCCTTCTGGGGGTTCAGGGAAGCCAGAACCGCTGCTCCTTGGGCATGGCAGGAACCTGTCGTCGCAGTGCAGGGAGCACAGACACCTCCACGAAAACAGCACTCAGAAAAGCCTGACCCAGGGTCCTAGCTCACAGAGGCCCACCCCGCCGCACTCCTGCTGTGCTCATCTTTACCAGGAAAATTTAAGTCACTAGATGCCACCCTGTGTCATCCCAGCTCCAAGGGGAGGAACAGAGGAGAGACAGAGTCCCAGGCCTGCAGCTCTGATTTTAGACTAATGTTTTTCCAAAAGGTCCCATCCCTCAGCTCCGTCCTCATGCAAGTGTGGGAAGACGAAGCTGGCAGCTCTTTCTGGCCTGGCTCTCAGCCCTGTCTTCTCCACGCCAGCCCTCCGCCCGAGCCCAGTAGGGGCTTCGTTGCCACTGCTCACCCACACCACGCCATGGCAATGGTGACCTCACCTGTTTTTTGCCCCTGTCCTGATGGTTCTGTTCCCTGCAGCTCCCTTGGGGCTCACAGCCCATCGGTATCTCCCCACTGGGTGCAGGATACCGTGGAAAATACCCCGGGGCCTGCCCCCATGTGCCCTGCCACCCCCGTCCTTGTCTCCTCCCCCACATCTCCCAAAATACCAGGCTCTCTCTTGCATCCAAGCTTTTGTGGTCACCCCAGTTTTTCTACCTGGCAAGTCCTTTCACCTGTGAAGTCCCAACTCCTTGCTGCCTCCCTCATAGAAGCAGAATCCAGCAGGGGCACACAGGACTGGCTACAGTGCGAGCTCAGTGGTTCACTGGCTGCCCTGCTGCCCTGCACCCCGGGCACTCTGCGCAGGCCTCTATTCGTCAGGGCTTTGTCTGCACTTAGCTCTTCCCTTACAAAGATAGGAAGCAGCGCGCCAGCTGAATGGACCCACAGAGAAGCTGCGTGGAAGGAACTGTGAATCTGCCAGCACCTACCGGAACAGCACAAAACTCAGAGAACCGGAAGCAGAGAGTGCAGGAGGCAGAAGTGATGAGAGCAGCGGGCGTCCATGGAGCTCAGCTGAGCCAGACCAGGAGAGGCTGCCACGGAGGGAGCCTGGTTGTACCCAGTTAGAGCAGAAACAGGGCTGAGGGCTCGGACCATAAGCCCTCAGATTCTCACTGTTCCTTTCAGCTGGTGACTGACTGTGTGACCGTGGGCGGTCACTTAATCTTGCCGGTAAGGGCCTCAGTTTCCTCATCTGTAGAATGGCGTTGGAAAGGCATGGCTGGGAGGTCTCAGATAAAGCAGAGTGCTGTGTGAACGCTCTGGGTTTGCAGACAGAGTGGATGTTCCTAGTGCATTGCACTCATTTTCCTCGCCCAACATAAGCTCATGACTTCCGCCATCGTTCCCAAACAAGCAGGAAGCTTCACACTGATGCCTGATCCACAATTCCCAAAGCGCCCTCAGGGCCACCATTTCTTGCGAGCCTCGCAGCATCCACGAGGGGGCAGCACAGGACTAACATCGCCCCACGGCCTGACGGGCTGCCGGAAGCAAGTGCAATAATGGTGGGGGTGGCCCCCAGGAGCCCCAGCTTTGCTCCCTCCCCCTCCCCCACCCTGTGCGGAGGACTCCGGCCTTGGGGTAGGGGGCTGCTGAACTGGGCGTGGCATCTAGTCAGGAACTCTCTGCCCCCCAGCCCTAGGGCTCAGATCACACACACACACACACACACACACACACACACACACACACACACGGGGCCCGCCCCTTTCCTAGGAGCTGTCCGTTCCCAGGACAACAGTCAACACAGCACAGGCGGGAGTTCAAAACGAAACTGGGCTCAAATGCTCTCCCCAGCCCGGAGAGCCCTGTCCCCATCGGCCACTCTGAGCTCGAGGCCTAAAGGGACAGTGAGGAGGACCCTGCCCAGGCTCTCCCGGGGTTAGGAGGGACAGAGTGTTCCAGGAGGAGGTTTGAGCTGAGCTCAGGCACAGGTCTCTCTCTCTCTCTCTCTGACACAAGCGCACACACACACACACACTTGCACCATGGGGAGCCACCCCACCCCTGGGCTCCAGAGAACCACATCAGCTGGGTACCGATTGCCCCCCACCAGGCCACCAGCCTCGGTCTCCCCAGCTGCCCGGGGTGGCCCTATGGCCAGCAGGGGTCTTGCTGGTGGCTGCCAGGCCCCCCAGGCTCTGAAGGCGCAGCGGGTGGCTCAGGGAGCTGCCTGCGATGGCGTGCAGCAGGACCAGCTGTGGCGGGAGCTCCTGGAGGCCGAGCGGCGGGGCCAGCAGCGCTGGTGAGTACCTGCCCTCCCTTTTCCACCCTGACTCCGCAGCCTGACTGCAAGTTGGGGAAGGTTTTGGAGAAAGGGAGATGGGAGGGCAAATGATCTGGCTGAGGGACAGAGGGCATGGCATGCCCGGGGGAAGGTGGGTCACCAGCCCAGCCCAGAGCCAGACCCGAGCCTGAGCCTAAGAAGCGAGGAAGATGGAAGCCAAGACCAGATGCCGCTGGGTCAGAGCAGCCCCACCTCGTTCATTCCGACTGCGACGCGGCCGGTAATCCCTTGAGCTGGAGCCTGCTGGCCTAGTCTGGGTTAGAGGAGCTGGCTGTCTGACCTGACTCGGGGAAAGGATGCTCCTTCATGCATTCATTCAACCAAAAATACCCATGAGCCGCTCTGAAACGAGACCAGACTGCAACAAGGGACTAGACAGACCTGGCCATGGCTCCACCGAGCCTTCATACTCAGGACAGGGCAGCCAAAAAGCAAGCAGAGAAGCAAACAAGTACAAATCTGTATGAAGTGTGACCAGCGGTAAGAAGGAAACAGTTCAGGGTCGGGGGCAGAGCCGGCTGAAGGCCTCTCTGAGGAGGAGACATTTAAGCTGAGACATGAAATAGGAGAAGGAGCCAAGAGTTTGATGTATCTAAAAAACAAAACAAAGAATTCGTGTAGCTGAGGCACAGGGAGTGAGGAAGGCCACAGGATGAGGGGGAGCAGCGGGGGCCACCCCAGCCCTTATAAAAGTCTGGATGCATTTTTTCCAAAGGAGACACCATCCAGGATTTTAAGCGGGAACATGGCATGATCTCGATTACATTTTTAAGTGAGCAGCCTGATAGATTCTAGGATGCATTCATCTTGCACCACTGAAACTTCATACCCGTTGATTAGCAACGCCCCATTCCCCCTCCTCCCAGCCTCTGGCACCCACCATTCTAGTCTTTGCTTCCAGGAGTCTATTTTCAGTGCCTCATAGAAGTGGAATTGTGCAATATTTGACTTTCCATGTCTGTTTTGTTAGTATCCTGTCCTCCAGGTTCATCCATCTTGTTGCATATCGCAGAATTTCCTCCCATTTTAAGGGTGAATGTATATATGTGTGCAGTTTCTTTATTCATTTGTCAATGGACTTTTAGGTTGCTTCCACATTTGACTATTATGTGTAGTGCTACAATGGGCATGGGAGTGATTTCAGTTCTTTTGGAGAAATTCTCAAAAATGGATATCTTAGTCCATTTTGCATTGCTGTCAAGGAACACCTGAGGCTGGGTAATTTATAAAGAGGTTTATTTGGCTCACAGTTCTGCAGGCTGTACGAGCATAGTCCTGGAATCCACTTGGCTTCTGGTAAGGGCCTCAGGAATCTTACAATAATGGCAGAAGGTGAAGGAGGAGCAGGCATGTCACATGGTAAGAGGGACCAAGAGACAGAGAGAGAGACAGAGAGAGAGGAGGTGTCAGGTTCTTTTTAACAACCAGCTCTCTCCTGTGAACTAATAGAGCAAGAGCTCATCCATTACCGCAAGGATGGCACGAAGCCATTCGTGACCCAAACACCTCCCACTAGGCCCTACCTTCAACACTAGGGATCACATTTCAGTATGAGATTTGGAGAGAACAAACATTCAAACCATATCGGAGGGATTGCAGGATTATACGGTACCTCTATTTGTAATTTTTTGAGGAACCTCCATTGTCTTTTGCATAGCAGTGGCACCATTTCGCATTCCCATCAGCAGTATCTCAGCATTTCAGTTTCTCCACACGCTGGCCAACACTCATTGATTGTCTTTTGTTTTTTGATAACAGCCATCCTAATAGGTGTGACGTGGTATCTCATTGTGATTTTTTGTTTTGTTTTGTTTTGAGATGAAGTCTCACACTGTCACCCAGGCTGGAGTGAAGTGGTGTGATCTCGGCTCATTGCAACCTCTGCCTCCTGTGTTCAAGCAATTCTCCTGCCTCAGCCTCCTGAGTAGCTGGGATTACAGGTGCCCTCCACCATGCCTGGCTAATTTTTGTATTTTTAGTAGAGACAGGTTTTTACCATGTTGGCCAGGCTGGTTTTTTTTGGGGTTTTTTTGGTTTTTTTTTTTTTTGACAGAGTCTCACTCTGTTGCCCAGGCTGGAGTGCAGTGGGGTGATCTCAGCTCACTGCAAGTTCTGGCCAGGCTGGTCTTGAACTCCTGACCACAGATGATCCACGTGCCTCAGCCTCCCAAAGTGCTGGGACTACAGGTGTGAGCCACCGTGTTTGACCTCATTGTGGTTTTGATTTGCATTTCTCTGATGATGAGTGACATTGATCATCTTTTAATATATTTATTTGCCATTTATTTATCTTCTTTGGAGAAATATCTATTCAAGTCCTTAACCCATTTTTTCAATTGGGTTATTTGGTTTGGTGCTACGAAGTTGTAGAAGTTCCTTATATATTTTGGAAATTAACTCCTTATCAGAAATATGATCTGTAAATATTGTCTCCCATTCTGTGTGTTGCCTTTTCACTTCATTGCTTGTTTCCTTTGCTCTTCAGAAGTTTTTGAGTTTGATGTAATCCCATCTGTCTATCTGCTTTTGTTGCCTGTCCTTTGTGTGGCATATCCATGGAATAATTGCCAAGACCAATGTCATGAAGCTTCTTCCTATGTTTTTGACTGGATTGGTATGTATCATGTTAGAAAGGATCCAATTTCATTCTTTTGCATGTGAAAACTTCTGCACAGCAAAGACAACAATTAACAGAGTGAAAAGGCAACTTACAGAATGACAGAAAATATTTACAAACTGAGTAAATGTGGGAGGAAAGGTGAGGAAGGAGTAAAGGATGACAGGTCTCAGCTTGAATAATTAATAAGGAGGAGAAGAAAATGATGAAGATGCTGAGTTCTGGTGAGTTTTAAATGCCTGAACCACGTCTAGATGGAGCTGCCCAGGAGGTAGTTGAGTGTGAGAGTCAGGAGTTGCGCATTAAAAACCCATCCAGAAGGGGAGGATGAGGACTGACTGCAAATGGACACAGGTGTTTTGGAGGATGAGGACTGACTGCAAATGGACACAGGTGTTTTGGGGGTGATGAAATGTTCTGGAATCAGAAAGTGGTGATGGTTGCCCAACTCCGTGAATATATTAAAAGTCATTTAATTGTGTCCTTTAAAAGGTGAATCTTATGGAATGTGAATTCTATCTCAATTTTAGAAGGAAACGGGTGGGCATTGGCCCCAGCGATGTGAATAAGCTCTCTCTGGAAGAGCACAATGGATCAGAAGAGGCGAGGATGCAGGACAGAACTTGTAACATTTACTAGAAGGGCAGAGACGCTGCCAGGAAACACCAGAGAAGAAAGCCAGGGGCACAAGGAGGCATAAAGACCAAGGGGAAAGAGTTTTGCAAGGCCTGGAAAGCCCAAAGAGGAATGTGCAAGGCAGTGCTGCCCAACGGAAATACAATGTGAGCCACACACATAGCTTAAATTTTCTAGTAGCCTGCTTATAAAAATGAAACAAGAGGTCGGGCACAATCGCTCACACCTATAATCCCAGCACTTTGGGAAGCTGAGGTGGGCAGATCACCTGAAGTCAGGAGTTCGAGACTAGCCTGGCCAACATGGTGAAACCCCATCTCTACTAAAAACACAAAAATTAGCCAGGCATGGTAGTGTGCACCTGTAATCCCAGCTACTCAGGAGGCTGACGCAGGGAGAATTGCTTGAACCCGGCAGGCAGAGGCTGCAATCAGCCGAGATTGTGCCACTGCACTCCAGCCTGGGTGACAGAGTGAGACTCCATCTCAAAAAAAAACAAAAAACAAAAAGAACTTGTAGAAATAAAAATATATAAAGTTGAAATATAAGACATAACTGAAGTGAGACTTCATAAACTCAAGACAGGAGAAATTATTCAGAAAATCAAGACAGAAAACACAAATGACGAATTAAAAACGTAGAGAAACTGAACAAGAAGGTCCAACCTATCTTTAATCAAAACTCCCAGAGGAGAGAATGGGAGAGAGAATGTCTAAAGAGAAAGTAAGTGAGAATTTTCCAGAACCAAAGAAATGCATGAGTCCACAGATATTGGAGTAGGTGCTCCACAAAAACAGGTGCATTAACAAGAAAGTGAGACATGGAATTCCCAAAGAGGGGGATGCCAGTGTGTTGGTGAAGGAAAAGACCAGCCTGTGATCTTGAGGCATGGCTAGGCCAGTGGGAGCAGGAGGATATGGGGCTTCTGAGGAGGTGTCTAAGAAAGGTTTTATTTTATTTCTTTCTTTCTTTATTTTGAGACGGAGTCTTGCTCTGTCACCCAGGCTGGAGTGCAGTGGTGCCATCTCGGCTCACTGCAAGCTCCGCCTCCCGGGTTCACGCCATTCTCCTGCCTCGGCCTCCCAAGTAGCTGGGACTACAGGTGCCCGCTACCACGCCCGGCTAATTTTTGTATTTTTAGTAGAGACGAGGTTTCACCGTGTTAGCCAGGATGGTCTCGATCTCCTGACCTCGTGATCTGCCTGCCTCGGCCTCCCAGAGTGCTGGGATTACAGGCGTGAGCCACCGCGCCTGGCAGAAAGGTTTTAAAGGAATGTTTATTATCTGATGCACATGACTGTGTAGAAAATAATATTGAGAGGGACTTTTCAGTTTTGTTGGAGCATGTGAAATCAATGATCAGTACATAGAAGCCTAAATAAAATTGGGAGGAAATGTAATTTCTCTATTAGCTCTAGAAAGAATACAAGGTTGTACAAGAACAGAATTGGGGTATATTGCACTCCTTAGTTCACCAGGGGATAACATTTACATAATCATAAGAATCAAAACGATACATATCAATTTAACTGAGATCTATAATGATTTTGAAAGAACAAAGGGAAGGGCAGGGGTAAGAATGATAACTCTTCATCTCCCATAATAGAAAGTCGATAGATAAGTTTAAATTTTAAAAAATATTAAGAAACAGCAGTGGATATGGTGTGGATCTGTGTCCCCACCCAAATCGCATGTTGAATAGTAATCCCCAGTTTTGGAGGTGGGGCCCGGTGGAAGGCGATTGGATCATGCGGGTGGCTTCTCATAAATGGTTTATACCATCCCCATGGTACTGTCCTCACAGTAGTGAGTTCTCACCAGATCTGGTTCTTTTAAAGTGTGTGGCACTTCCCTTCTCTCTCCTTTGCTCCTGCTCTGGCCATGTGACCTGCCTGCTGCCACTTTGCCTTCCACCATGATTGTAAGTTTCCTGAGACCACCCCAGAAGCTAAGCAGATGCCAGCATCCTGCTTCCTGTACAGCCTGTGGAACTGTTAGCCAATTACACCTTCTTTTTTTTATTTTTATTTTTATTTATTTTTATTTTTTGAGACAGAGTCTCACTCTGTCACCCAGGCTGGAGTGCAGTGGCTTGATCTCTGCTCACTGTAACCTCCACCTCCTGGGCTCAAGCGATTCTCCTGCCTCAGCCTCCCTAGTAGCTGGTATTACAGGCGCCCGCCACCATGCCCGGCTAATTTTTGTATTTTTGGTGGAGACAGGGTTTCACCATGTTGGCCAGGCTGGTCTCGAACTCCTGACCTCAGGTGATCCACCCACCTTAGCTTCCCAAAGTGCTGGGATTACAGGCGTGAGCCACCGCACCTGTCCTACACCTTCTTTATAAATTACCCAGTCTCAGGTATTATTTATAGCAAGGCAAGAATGGCATAATACAGCAGTAGAATCCTATTATTTCAAAATATGGATGCAAAGGCCTGAAGAAACAGCTAAAAGGCTGGCAAAGGTTTGACTCTAGGATGTGGGGCTCAGGGGCTGTGAGGATGGGGACAGAGAAGGCTGTTTTTATTATGTTTTGTAGAATTGTTTGACTTTTTAAGATTAGATTCAAATAAAACTAAATGGCCAGTGCAAGCTAATACTATCCTTATGGTCCCTCCCTTTTCCTACCTCTCCCTAGCCTTCCTCTATCACTCACATTGGAAAGTTACAAAGGTTTGGGGATGTGAAAACTTTTTTCTTCAGAGAATGCTTGCCTACTGTAGCCTTCTGAAATGCACAGAGGCAGGGCGAGATGGTAGCCTTTGCTTTCCTTAGGCAGCCCCACCATAGTGACATCATATTTGTCGTTCTAGGAAAAGTCATTGGAAATTGAAATGTTTGTTCCTTTGGTAGGATACACCATAAATACCTGCTTGACACTTGGCATTTGTTTCACTTAAAAATTATTTTGTTCTGGCTGGGCACAGTGGCTCATGCCTGTAATCCCAGCACTTTGGGAGGCCAAGGTGGGTGGACCACCTGAGGTCAGGAATTCAAGACCAGCCTGACCAATATGGTGAAACCCCATCTACACTAATAATACAAAAATTAGCCGGGTGTGGTGGCATGCACCTGTAGTCCCAGCTACTTGGGAGGCTGAGACAGGGGAATTGCTTGAACCTGGGAGGCAGAGGTTGCAGTGAGCTGAGATTATGCCACTGCACTTCAGCCTAGGTGACAGAGCGAGACTCCCTCTCAAAAAAAAAAAAAAAAAAAGGCTGGGCGTGGTGGCTCACGCCTGTAATCCCAGCACTTTGGGAGGCCGAGGCGGGCGGATCACAAGGTCAGGAGATCGAGACCACGGTGAAACCCCATCTCTACTAAAAATACAAAAAATTAGCCAGGCGCGGTGGCGGGTGCCTGTAGTCCCAGCTACTCGGGAGGCTGAGGCAGGAGAATGGCGTGAACCCGGGAGGCGGAGCTTGCAGGGAGCCAAGATTGCGCCACGGCACTCCAGCCTGGGTGACAGAGTGAGCCTCCGTCTTAAAAAAAAAAAAAAAAAAAAAAAATTATTTAGTTCTTCCACGTGATACATTGTTGCATTGACTTGACACAGTGAAAGTCATTGGTAAAAATGTCCTGGAAGGAACTCACACAGCCAACATGTTTTTCCTTTCCAGGATTCAGAACTGGAGTTTCCTGAAAGACTATGACCCAATGGTAAGGTAAAATATGTTCCTGCCAAACATACTTGCAATTGAATATTACTCATTCTTTCCATCATTCAACTAACATTTATTGAAGATCTACTCTACACCAGATACTGGATGTGCAGCGATGAGTCAAATACACTCTTGTTTCAAGGAATGCAGGGTCCGTTGGATAGAAAACAGTTACATGAAGCATTTAGAAATGTGTTTCCCTCAGTGTTTCTTAATTTTATTAAGATGAACCAATTGGAAATGACAGGCATCTGTTGCTGAAATGTCTCCCCTGATTGAGGATGGCAGCAATATGTAGTCATATCTGTGTGGCGTGCCCGAGAAGGACAATGAGATTGGGTAAAAATACTTTGTAAACAAATTCCCTGACTCTGGTATCACCACCTCCAATCCATCCTCCACATTGCCACCAGACTAATTTCCCTAAACGGCAGAACTGGCCATGTAGCTCCCCTGATTAAAATGCTTCAGTAAGTCTGAAATTTTCAGGTGGCTTACAAAGCCTCCTGTGATCTAAACCATCTATCTCCCCAGCCTCATTACCCACCCCACACAGACCCCACAACACACTTTTTTTTTTTTTTTTTTTTTTTTTGAGATGGAGTCTTGCTCTGTCGCCCAGGCTGGAGTGCAGTGGTGCAATCTTGGCTCACTGCAATCTCCACCTCCTGGATTCTAGTGATTCTCCTGCCTCAGCCTCCTGAGTAGCTGAGATTATAGGTGCACACCACCATGCCTGGCTAATATTTGTATTTTTAGTAGAGAGGGGGTTTCACTATGTTAGCCAGGCTGGTCTCGAACTCCTGACCTCAATTAGCCAACTGCCTCGGCTTCCCAAAGTGCTGGGATTACAGGCATGAGCCACCACACCCAGCCCCCACAACACTCTTTTATCTATGCCTTTGGGCATGCTCGTCCCCTGCTGGAATGTCCTTCCACCTGGTCAGCCTGATGGACTCCTATTCACTCTTCAAGATCCTGCTCTAGTGCCCCCTCTTCTAGGGAATCTCACCTTCCTGGGCAGGCTTGACCAGATCACTCCTTCCTTTGATTCACCAGCATATCTCACCCGTTATTTTGGTATTCCATGTAATGTAATACTGCAATGCCCAATTTCACCAGCTGTGAACTCCTTAAGAGAAAGGATGAGGCCAGGAATGGTGGCCCATGCCTGTACTTGGGGAGGCTGAGGTGGGAGGATCACCTGGACCCATGAGTTCAAGACCAGCCTGGGCAACATAGGGAGACCCTGTCTCTACAAAAATAACATTATTTTTTAAAAAGAGAAAAGATGAATATGAATTCATCACTGCACCCTATCACAACCCTAGCATTTGCCCCATCCCCCAGAGACCATAAAAGAGTGAACATTCAGTTCATGCTGGATGAATGAATGAATGGAAAGATGGATCTCACTACAAAAAGGATGATCAGCTGGATGCGGTGGCTCACGCCTGTAATCTCAACACTTTGGGAGGCCGAGGCAGGTGGATCACCTGAGGTTGGGAGTTCAAGACCAGCCTGACCAACATGGAGAAACCCCATCTCTACTAAAAATACAAAAATTAGCCGGGTGTGCTGGTGCATGCCTGTAATTCCAGCTACTCGGGAGGCTGAGGCAGGAGAATAGCTTGAACCTGGGAGGCAGAGGTTGCAGTGAGCAGAGATCACGCCATTGCACTCCAGCCTGGGCAACAAGAGCAAAATTCAGTCTCAAAAAAAAAAAAAAAAAAAAAGATGGTCAAAGAACCAACCTGGAAGATGAGCAATATGGAAAGTCACTCGAGGGGGTGGCCATGCTTACCTGGACCCTGCCAGGTTGAGGAAAGTTTTAATGCCTGCATTGTGGACCTGCTGGACTTGTTGCTGTCTATTCTGGAGGGAAAATTCAGCTCATGGGACCTGATATCCCGACCTGTGCATCTGGTCTGGGCTTCCAGCCTGTAAGAGTCTCTCCCTGCTAAGGGCTACATGATAGCAACCTGACTACTGAAATCTGCATCATGGCCAAAGGGTGGAGCCACCTCGGCATGGACTTTGCCAGGTGAAAACCATGATCTCCTTACTTGACAGGTCATGTCATTTCTATTAGACACAGGGTAGCAGAAAGGTAACCCTAAACAGGGGCAGGAAGAGCTGAGGATGTTTTCCCACTTGTCAGATTTTTTTTTTTTTTTTTTTTTTTTGAGATACGGTCTCACTCTGTTGCCCAGGCTGGAGTGAAGTAGCATGATCATGGCTCACTGCAGCCTCAACCTCCTGGGCTCTAGTGATCCTCCCACCTCAGCCTCCTGAGTAGCTGGGGCTTACATGCACGTGCCCCCACACCCAACTAATTTTTGTATTTTTTTGTAGAGACGGGGTCTCACCATGTTGCCCAGGCTGGTCTGAATCTTTCCGCCAAGGCTTCTCAAAGTGCCAGGATTAAAGGCAAGAGCCATGGTGCCTGGCCATCAGATTACATTTAGTCATTCATTCATGCATGCATCCGTTACAGAGTTTACCCAAACGCACGTTCACATATGGCCAAAACAGCACTACTCATAAAAGCCCCAAACTAGAATCAACCCAAGTGTGATCAGTGGTGATACAGGTGAATAACTTGTGTGATATTCACACAGTTCACACCATGGAGTACAGTTCACACCATGGAGTACAGTTCACACCATGGAGTAACGTACAGCACTGAGAATGAATGAACGGCAGCCACACTCCAAAGCTGAATGAATCTCACACACATAATGTTGAGAGAAAGAAGCCAGACAGAAGAGCCATGATTCCACTAATGTAAAGTTCAAAACCAGGCAAAGCTAATGCGTGGCATTAGAGGTCAAGGTCAGGGTGCCTTGGGAGCAGAGACAGGGGCTGAGGGGCTGAAAGGAGGTGGGGGAGGGGATCATACCCCTTGATCTGGTTGGGCACATGGGCATCTTCACTTTGTGAACATTTGTCAAGCTGGACAGTGATGGCTTGTGCGTTTTCTGTGTGAATGTTATACTCTTAAGTACAAATTTACCAAAAAAAAAAAAAAAAATCAAAACCTCCCACCAGATGTAAAGTGGCATCTTAGTCCTGGGGATAGAAAGGGGAATAAGACCTGATCCTTCCCTTGATCTCTGCAGGTCGCAGCATGAAAGTTAAGGGATCTGGGAGGCACCTGGGGAAGGGGAAGTGGAGGAAGAGGAGGGACAAGCTTGGCAGAGGCTGTGGCATCGGGTCACTCTTGGGGGATCCCAAGTCCAAACCAGGATTGAATCACCTGGAGATGCTTCACAAAGAGAGGCAGCTGCTCTCTGCTCTGTTTTCTCCCATTCTAAGGTCCTCCTTTTTCCACGCTCTGTGTGACCCGAGCTGTCCCCTCTCCTCAGGGCAACAAGAAGGAGCCTGAGAAGTTGCCAGACCATGTGCCTCTCTTTTCGGACACAGTTCCCAGTTCCACGAACCAGGTTGTGGGCAGCAGGCTGGACACACCCCTGGGACAGACTCTCATCCGCATGGACTTCTTCTTCACAGAAGGGGCCCGGAAGAAGAAGCTGGAGGACCAGATGCAGCCCATCTAGGAGCAAGGAGGGCTGGGCTGGCCTTCCCCAGGTGGGTGTGGGTGGGGACAAGAGACCCAGCCCACAACAGCACCAGTCAGCTCCCCACACAAGGCAGCTTGGGTCTGCACTGTCTGTAAGCTGCAGGACACTCTTCCAGGGGACCCAAGGGGTCACTCTTACACACTTTTTACACGTAAGATTCAGAGGAGTCAGTAACTGGTCCACGGCCGTACAATCCCCAGCCCTTCCAGCTTGGGAACTCATGGGTGCCCCATGAAAGGGACCCTGCATTGTGGTCAGGAGCACTGAATGCCTGGGTTCAAATCCAGCTTGTGACCCTGATGAGCTGTGGGACCTTGAGCTGGCTGCTGCAACACTCTGTGCCTCCGTCTCCCCTCCTGCGATTCAGTGTGTTCACTCCTTGCAGCTGCTGTGACAAGTGAGCACAAACTGCATAGCTTAAAACAACACAAACGTATCATCTTACAGCTCTGAAGATCACAACTCTGACATGGGTGACATGTTGCAGAGCTGTGCTCTTTTAGGAGTATCTGGGGAAGAATCTATTTCCACATTTTTTCCAGTTTCTCAAGGCAGCCTGTATTCCTTAGTTGGCAGCTCCTTACTCCGTCTTTGAAGCCAGCATCCTAGCATCTTCAAATCAGTCTCTATCGCTTGCTCTCTCCTGCCTCACTCCTTCATCTTTTCTTTCTTTCTCTCTCTCTCTCTTTTTTTTTTAGAGACAGTGTCTTACTCTGTCACCTAGGCTAGAGGGCAGTGATGCAATTATAAATCATTGTAGCCTTGAACTCCCGGGCTCAAGCAATCCTCCCACCTCAGCCTCCCAAGTAGCTAGGGATACAGACACATGGCAACATGCCTGGCTAATTTTTTTTTTATTTTTATTCCAGACAGAGTCTCGCACTGTCGCCTAGGCTGGAGTGCAACAGTGTGATCTTGGCTCACCGCAACCTCCGCCTCCTAGGTCCAGGCAATTCTCCTGCTTCTGCCTCCTGAGTAGCTGGAATTACAGGCATGTGCCGCCATGCCTGGCTAATTTTTTGTATTTTTAGTAGAGATGGGGTTTCTCCATGTTGGTCAGGCTGGTCTGAAACTCCCAACTTCAGGTGATCCGCCTGCCTCAGCCTCCCAAAGTGCTGGGATTACAGGTGTGAGCCACTGCGCCCGGCCATGCCTGGCTAATTTTTAAAATTTTATGTAGAGATAGGGTCTCACTATGTTGACCAGGCTGGTCTTGAACTTTTGGGCTCAAATGATCCTCCCACCTTGGCCTCCCAAAGCACTGGGATTACAGGCATCTGGTTTCACTTCCTCCACCTTTTAAGGACCCTTGTGATTATATCACAACCTTTATATTTAAGCAAAAAAATGCAGAAAAGGCTTAGTTCCTCTTTGTTGGTTAAAACACAAATGGATTCATTCTTTCAAACATCCGCATTCTCCTCTTCTTCCTGGGTGCTCTGCCAGGCTGTGGTTTCCCTTGGTTTGGGTGGAGCATGTGACAGAGCCATGGCCAGTGGAATGGGAGCAAAAACCCTAGGTCTCCCTTCCAGGCCTGGTCCATGAGACACTCCAGGTATTGGCTTGTTCTCCTTTCCCCATCAGCTGAAGAAGGGAGAGGACTTGGAGGATGCAGGGAAGAGAGGGGCACAAGATGGAGGGAGCATGTCAGGACCAAGCCTGGAGCCCTGAGTGAGCTCGTGGAGCAGAATCTCCCGACACCCACACTGACACACAAACAAAATAAACAAAAACTGGCCAAAACAAAAACAATAGCCCACACTTCTAGGGTAAAGCATTTTAAATTTATTTTCTCAACAACCCAAGAGAATCAACAGGCAGGGATTTCGTATTCATTTAATACAGGCAAAACCTGAGATTCAGAGAGGTGAAATAAAATCCCGAACATACATTAATGCCAGGCCTCAAGCTTGAAGCCCAGTGTTCTCTGCAGGACCCCAGCCGTGGCCTCCAGAAAAGAGAGAAAAATGGGGCAGGGGCTGAAATGACTGCTCTGTCTTTGATGCTTGCTTGGGTCTTATTCGGCAGTAGCTAAATGTCACTGTTATTTGCATGCATTAACTCATTTAATCCTCTCAGCAACCCT
This sequence comes from Homo sapiens, assembly GCF_000001405.40. Lineage (NCBI taxonomy): Eukaryota > Metazoa > Chordata > Mammalia > Primates > Hominidae > Homo > Homo sapiens. The sequence goes on from NC_000002.12 coordinate 11,146,222, forward strand.
ATGAGATAGATACTCCTATAAATGAGGCAACTAAAGCGCAGAGAGGTTAAGTCACTTGCCCAAGGTCACACAGCTGGCAAGTGGTGAAGCTGGGGTTCAGACTCAGCAGTTGAGTCTGGCTCCAAGGACTATATACTTAAGCATTATGCTATATGGGTCCCCTTTAATCCTCAATGAATTGATTCCCCCAAATTTAGCAAATTACAGGATTTTTCTGCTTAAAGAAAGTCTCTTGATTCTTGAGAAAGGAAAAACTGATTTTTCCAATCTCTGGGATCCCTACTACCATCAAGAATAGATCATCGGTGTTTCCAGGAGTTACACAGGACAGGACACGTTATTTCCATGCAACAGCCCCTGTGTTTCATGCCATACCCTGGCCCTGAGCGACTGTGTGATGGAGCAGACCAGGCCCAGTGTGACTTGGCCAGGAAGAGGCCCAACCCTTCCTACTTGGATCTGGAGGCCACCGCCTTCTTTCTCAGTGTCTGACATGGAAGCTGGGCTCCCTCTCCACTCTGAGATCATCAGCTGGGTAAAGGTCAGTGGCCAGGACAGCCAGGGGTCCTGGTCACATCCTGGCTGCATCCCATGAAGGTCAAGTGCTCGTCCTTAGGCTGGGTGGGTACAAAGATGCTGGAGGCTCCTTAAAGACCCAATCTACGTTTTTGCCCTGAGCCTGCCTTATATTATTCTCACACTCAAAATAAAGAAGATTTCCATTTGAGGGAGGGAGAGGCACAAGAAAAGTCAAGGTTAAGGATGGCTGCAAGTGGTCAGGCCTGTGCAGAGGGGAGAGAATCACTGAGTGCCCTGGAGGGCAGTGAGGAGGGCCAGGGACCAGCGCCGGTTCTGCCACTCCTGGAAGCACAGCCACTTACAGACAATGCAACCTATAAGCACAGACTCTGGGCTTGGCACATTACCCACATTGTGTCTTTTGCACGTATTAGAATTGTCACCATTTGAGAGGTTTGGAAACTAAGCCGAACACTTCATTCAATCTGGTCAGGGTCTCACAACTAGTGAAGAGCCAGGATCCATCTCATGTGTGACTTCTCCATGCTGCCTTCCCCGCTCCAGGCCTCAGTCTCCACAGTTATAAAATGGCGCGGGAGGGAAGAAGACAGATTTAAGGGCATCTCCAGCTCCAGGATTCTCTTCTTTGAGCATTCAGGGAGTACTGAAGAAGAAAGGGGTTTGAGTTCTTTTACAGAGTGCATTAGTCAGCTGTGATAATGCTGTGTAACAAAACACCCCCTTCCTTGCTCACAGGTCTGCATGTAGCTGGGGCTCAGCTGATTTTGGCTGGGCTTGGCTAGACTTGCCTCCACACTTCAGGTTAGGTTCAAGTTTTTTGTGCATGTCTCTCATTCTCTTGGACTGAAAGCCTCCTGGGGCATGTTTTTCTCATGGCACATCACAAGGGTGCAAGGGCCCAACAGAACTGTGCAGGCACACTGATGGCTTCTGCATGCAGAACTGCTTTCTGTACTCTGCAATGACCTGTCATCACGCCAAATCCCTCACAACCAGCCCCACCCACCCTCTGCTCCTTGCCACATCTGCCTTCTTTTCAAGAAGACGCCTGCTTCTAACCTTCCCCATCTCACCCACTGGGAGCCCAGAAAACCAGGACAGAGGGGCATCTGCAGTGAAGTCCCAAGGCCAGCCTTTCAGCTCGTTTGGGCCAGAACAAGGGAGGGTGGATGGGCCAGGAGGTCATGAAGAAGTGGGCACCAAGCCTGCAGGGTCAGTGCCAGCAAAAGGAAATGGGGGCATTACCTATAAAGAGATGGGCACTTGGAGACCAAGGGCCAGGAGACAGCAGGGCTTCAGGAAAGGAAGAATCAAGACCTGAGAGCCATAGCAAGCCTGGAGGGATGCTTGCTTCACATTTTTTTTTTTTTTGAGATGGAGTTTCGCCAGCTTGTCGCCCAAGCTGGAGTGCAATGGTACGATCTCAGCTCACCACAACCTCCGCCTACCAGGTTCAAGCGATTCTCCTGCCTCAGCCTCCTGAGTAGCTGGGATTACAAGCATGCACCACCACACCCGGCTAATTTTGCATTTTTAGTAGAGACATGGTTTCTCCATGTTGGTCAGGCTGTTCTCAAACTCCCGACCTCAGGTGATCCACCTGCCTCGGCCTCCCAAAGTGCTGGGATTACAGGCATGAGCCACTGCGCCCAGCCAACTTTCCACATGATAAAAAATGACTTCTATCCACGGAAAGTACAAGGCGAGCCTGGAGCAACTTCCTGTGCCAGAAACTAAGAAAAATTCAAAAAGTGATGAAAATATGGAAAAGGGATACAAGGACCAGCCTAAATTTGGGACAATATGAGCATCGAAATGAAGAACAGTAATAGGCCACCCTGACCACGCCCATGCCCACCCCCAGCCAGTGCCACAAGCCCCACCAAATAACATTAATAATAATAACAATAACAAATAATCCATGGGTTCATACCAATAATTTTTTTAAATTTTAAGTACTAATGAAAACTCTTTTTTTTTTTTTTTTTTTTGAGATGAAGTCTCGCTCTCGTCCCCCAGGCTGGAGTGCGATAGTGCGATCTCGCTCACTGCAACCTTCGCCTCCTGGGTTCAAGCGATTCTCCTGCCTCGGCCTCCAAGTAGCTAGGATTACAGGCACCCGCCACCATGCCTGGCTAATTTTTGTATTTTTAGTAGAGACGGGGGTTCACCATGTTGGCCAAGCTGGTCTCGAACTCCTGACCGCAGGTGATCCGCCCGCCTCGGCCTCCCAAAGTGCTGGGATTACAGACATGAGCCACTGCGCCTGGCCATGAAAACTCTTTTCTATTGAAGAATGCAGAATAAATGATAACAGAAAAATCAGCATTTAATGACTCAGCAATAACTGACTTAGGCAAGAATCAATAAAAGACACTAAAACGACTGAGTGAAAGATTCTTAGAGAACGGTAAATGCTGAAATCTAGAAGATACTGCCTTAACCAAACTATTAAGCCAAACCTCACCAATAACAGGACAGCTGACACCGTGCTCCCCTGGTGTGGTTCACTGAGGACAACGCTACCTACTTACCTAGGAAGCACTCTTGCCAAAAAAAAAAAAAGTAACTAGAATATAATCAGGAAGAAACTCCTGGCAAACCCAAATTGAGAAATATTCTGCCAAAGAGTTGGCCTTGATTCTTCAAAAATGTCAATGTCTGCCAGGCGCTGTGACTCACGCCCATAATGCCGGCACTTTGGGAGGCCGAGGTAAAAGTATCGCTTGAGCTCAGGAGTTTGAGACCAGCCTGTACAACATGCTGAAACCGCATCTCTGCTAAAAATACAAAAAATTAGCCAGGTGTGGTGATGCAGGCCTATAGTCCCAGCTACTTGGGAGGCTGAGATGGGAGAATCACCTGAGCCCAGGAAGTCAAGGCTGCAGTGATTTATGATCTGATCACTGCCTTCCAGCCTGGGTGACAGAATGAGACCCTATCTCAAAAAAAATTAATTAATTAATTAAAATAAAATAAAAATAAAAAAAGTCAATGTCATAAAAGACAAAGAAAGGCTGAAGAAGTGATTCAGCCCGTGATCCTTGACTGGATCCTGGGTGAAAGCAAAAGCAGCTCTAAAGGACACTTTGCAGACTAAATGTTAGCTAACACCATTGTATCAGTGAGAAAGTGCAGAGTGTGGTGAGTCCATTGAGGCTCTGTAGAAGAAAGTCCTTGTTCTTTTTGTTTGTTTGTTTTTGAGACGGCGTCTCACCCCATTGCCCAGGTTGGAGTACAATGGCACAATCTTGGCTCACTGCAAACCTCCACCTCCCGGGTTCAAGCGATTCTCCTGCCTCAGCCTCCCGAGTAGCTGGGATTACGGGTGCGTGCCACCATGCCCAGCTAATTTTTTGTATCTTTAGTAGAGACGGGGTTTCACCATTCTGGCCGGGCTGGTCTCGAACCTCGTGATCCACTCGCCTCAACCTCCCAAAGTGCTGGGATTACAGGCGTGAGCCACTGTGCCCAGCCGAAAGCCCTTGTTCTTAGGAGGTGTTTGCTGAAAAGTCCCATGATGTATATAACAAACTTGCAAGTGGCTTAACGAAAAATTTGTGTTTAGGATTTTTTTTCTTTTTTTTTTGAGATGGAGTCTCGCTCTATCACCCAGGCTGGAGTGCAGTGGTGCCATCTTGGCTCACTGCAGCCTCCGCTTCCCAGGTTCAAGCAATTCTCCTGCCTCAGCCTCCCGAGTAGCTGGGATGACATGCACCTGCCACCATGCCCGGCTAATTTTTGTATTTTTGTAGAGACAGGGTTTCACCACATTGGCCAGGCTGGTCTTGAACTCTTGACCTCAGGTGATCTGCCAGCCTCAGCCTCCCAAAGTGCTGGGATTACAGGTGTGAGCCACCGTGCCCGGTGGTTTAGGAATTTTTTTTTTTAATGAAGGTGGGGGAATGGCCACTGTGAAAGAAAAATAAATCTCAACTCCAAAATCACTAAGCTAAGGGAAAAGTCAAGCTGGGAACCTGCCTCCCATTTTAATTCCTGAATAAGATGGCTATAAAGATAAAACAGCTACATGCCTCCCTCACAATTTGCCCACAAGGAAATTCCTTGTGGGCCTCAAGATCTTTACCCTACTCAGGATCATGCCAAGAATTAAAAAAAAAAACAAAAAACAAAACTTTACCCTGAAACATTTCTGTTGAATTCATCCTGGCAATGTAAACTGATAGCTGATCTTAACAGGTGCAGGACAGAAAATCATTCCTCTGCTCACCTGAGAGAAATGCTTATCTGATTGCTTCCTCAGACCTACTGTGTATGTAAAAATGAAGATTCACTGAGCCAGACTAGATTGTGAATTCACTGAAAGGCTGATCAAGGACTCAAAAGAATGCAAGCTTTTGTCTCTTATCTACCTATGACCTGGAAGCCCCCCTCTTCGAGTTGTCCTGTGTTACTGGATGGAACCAAAGTATATCTTACATATATTAATTGATGTCTCAGGTCTCCCTAAAATGCACAAAAGCAAGCTGTACCCCAGCCACCTTGGGGACGTGTCGTCAGGACCTGTTGGCAAAATAAACTTTTAAATTGCTTGAGACCTGTCTCAGATATTTTGGGTTTACTGCCACCACCAATGGCTCTCGAGTTCAGATCTCCTCTGTTGAAGAGAGTCAGGGGGTGAGGGTGGGGGAGGCATGGAATCAGTTTCTGCTCAATTCCATGTTCCCACGTGAAGGTGTAACCACCTAAAGGGCTCACCTTGCCCGCTGCCTAGACAGACCCCATTTATCAAGACAGGGGAAAGAGCAATTCACACAGAGCCAGCTGTGCGGGAGATTGGAGCTTAATTATTACTCAAATCAGTCTCCCTGAGCAGAGCATTCGGGGATGGAAGTGTTTTTGTTTTTGGTTTGGTTTGGTTTGGTTTTAGACGGAGTCTCGCTCTGTCACCCACTCTGTCTGGAGTGCAGTGGCACGATCTCGGCCCAGTGCAACCTGTGCCTCCTGGATTCAAGTGATTCTCCTGCCTCAGCCACCAGAGTAGCTGGGATTATAGGCACAAATCACCATGCCTGGCTAATTTTTGTTTTTAGTAGAGACGGGGTTTGGCCATGTTGGCCAGGCTGGTCTCTTACTCCTGACCTCAGGTGATCTGCACGCCTCAGCCTCCCAAAGTGCTGGGATTACAGGCGTGAGCCACCGCGCTCCGACTGGGGATGGAAGTTTTTAAAGATAATTTGGCCAGTAGGGGCTTGGGAAGTGGAAAGTGCTGATTGGTGAGGATGGAGATGGAATCACACGGGGGTCGAAGTGAAGTTTTCTCGCTGTCTTCTGTTCCCGAGCGGGGATTGCAGAACTGGTTGAGCCAAATAATTGGTCTGGGTGGTGTCAGCTGATCCATCCAGTGCAGGGGCTGCAAAATACCTCAAGCACTGATCTTAGGTTTTACAATAGTGATGTGATCCCCAGGAACAATTTGGGAAGGTTCAGACTCTTGCAGCCAGAGGCTGCCTGACCCTAAACTGTCATTTCTAATCTTGTAGCTAATTTGTTAGTCCTACAAAGGCAGACAGGTCCCAAGGCACAAAGGTGGTCTTTTCGGGAAAGGATTATTACTAATTTTGTTTCAGAGTCAAACCATAAACTAAATTCCTTCCCAAGGTTGGTTCAGCCTATGCCCAGGAAGGAACCAGGACAGCTTAAAGTTTAGAAGCAAGATGGGGTCAGTTAGGTCTGATTTCTTTCATTGTCATAATTTCCTGTTATAATTTTTGCAAAGGTGGTTTCAATGAGACTCCTTGGCCAGCTTCAGTCAGGGAGCTGATTCACTCTGTGCAGCTGTGGCCCAGGAGTGGGGTTAGGGTCCTGTAACAGATTGTGACCAGGGTTGCCATGTAGCTGGGGAGGAGGCAGAGGTCTCTAACATGGGGGCACTATCTTGTCCTGCAGAGATATCCCAGTGAGTGTGCACTGTAGAGACCCCCGTCCAGACACTCCCCAACCTCCTGAAGGGACAGAGGAGCCTCGCAGATCAGCTGTTTTGAGGCCATCCTCCAAGCAGAAGAGCTGGCATGCTCTTGAGATGTCCCGCTGGGCATGGGGGCTGAGACCCAAACGCCTTCCTGCATGGCCCAAACCTGGCTCCAACCTAGGACCGCCCCCATCCCCACAGCTTCAGGAGCAAAGCCAGTGCCCACAAATCCCAAAAAGGTTTTGCTAGTTTGCACCTGGTGGGGAATGACCATATACGTTGAGCACCTATTCTGTGCCTCTCAATAACCTTCTGAGCGGGATGGTTCTCCCCTTTTAAAAATGACGCTGAGGAACAGGGAAGTTAAGGTCTGTCCAAGATCATGCAGCCTGTAGGGGCCAATGCTAGGAGGACAGCTGAGGTCTGCCTAACCCCGAAGGGCCACACACCCACATCACTGCATCCTGGTCTTCACGCAAAGTAGCCAGGGAGGGGTCTAGGAGCCAGGAAGAAACCTCTTCCACAGCCCTGCCTCACCCAGCTGACCCCCAGAGCAGGCGGCTGCAGTGTCCTGGGCCAGGAGCAGCATTTGTTCCACAATGGAGGAGGCCACTCCCTGCGTGGTCCTGGGGGCACTCATACCTCTCAAAGGCCCCTCATGCTGCCTGCATCCCCAAGTGCTAGCGCAGGCTGACCCCAGGTGGGAGCAGTTCCCTCCTAAGGCTAGTCCTGGGGGCCCAGATCCTGGCCAACCCCTGGAATAAAGGCTGGGGCAGAAGGGGAAGAGGAGGGAGGGGGATTCCACTGCCATGTGGCAGGAACCAGGCACTTCCAACCAGGACCACCTCCTTGCATCAAGGGACCTATCACATGGCATGATGAAAGTAAAACACCTGGCACGCAGGAGGCACTCAACAGGTTCTAGATGTTCCTATAGTCATTGCTGCTGATGCTTGTTAAAAAGCTCTTTACGCTGGGCGCGGTGGCTCATGCCTGTAATCCCAGCACTTTGGGAGGCCAAGGCAGGTGGATCACCTGAGGTCAGGAGTTCGAAACCCCGTCTGTACTAAAAATACAAAAATTAGCCGGGAGTGGTGGCACATGCCTGTAATTCCAGCTACTTGGGAGGCAGAGGCAGGAGAATCACTTGAACCCCGGAGGTGGAGGTCGCAGTGAGCAGAGATCGTGCCACTGCACTCCAGCCTGGGCGACAAGAGTGAAACTCCGTCTCAAAAAAAAAAAAAAGCTCTTCTCTATTTTCTTCTTCAAAAAATTTATATACATATTATTTATTTATTTTTGAGACAGGGTCTGGCTCTGTCTCCCAGGCTAGAGTGAAGTGGCGCGATCTCGACTCACTGCAACCTCCGCCTCCTGGGTTCAAGCCATCCTCCTGTCTCAGCCTCCCGAGTAGCTGGGACCACAGGCACGCGCCACCACGCTCGGCTAATTTTTGTATTTTTAGTAGAGGCGGGGGTTTCCCTATGTTGCTCAGGCTGGTCTTGAACTCCTGGCCTCAAGCAATCTTCCCGCTTCGCGGGGTCAATAACGATCAGTATCGATCTAGCCAGGGCAGGTCCAAGCCGTTTCCTTTAAGGGTTCCCTTCTGAACATCCTTTTCTCATTTAGACTTGGGAGGCAGGACTCAGCACCTGTTTTTTTTTTTCCATAGGCGGAGGTGATGGGCCGGTGAGGCTGGAGAGAAAGAGCCTCGGCCAGAATTCCGAACTCCGAAGCTGACCCAGCTCCCGTCCCTCACACTTCCCGGCTGAGATTTATGGCACAAAACCAGGGATCGTGGATTCTGGCATTGCATTTTGGTGCTTTTTTGCCTGCTTCATAACCAGGCCCTAATACACAGGCGATTTTCAGAGGTTGGAAAATGCGTCCTTCCCTTTCCCTCAGTTTGTGGCTTAGACGGCCACGTCCAAGTTACTTTATCAGGAGAAATCCTTAAGAAACAGTTTCACTGTGAAGTGCTCAAGTTCAAGGCTTCCGGTGGCCCCTCAGGGCCCACGCCGCTAGGAGGGAAGCCTTCAGTCCCAGGCTGGAGACAGGCCGCGTGCTCTGAAAGGGCACAAATGAGGCGACCCTGGGGCTCTGGTCCCAGAAAGTCTCTCCAGCCTGGTTCCCCACCTGTAAGTCGGGAGGGTGCACTCAGCCCTTAAGCAGGAGGCTTTAACTCCTGAAATGCTTAGTGAGAGAAACTAAAACACTTGCAGGGAGGGAAAAATCCCGGCAGAATGGCCCATCCCCCGGGGCCATTTGCCTCTCGGTCCACCCAACCCGTGGAAAAGCCGGACTTCCAGGGCGGCTCCCGGCGGCGGCTAAACTATCGGGTGGCAAGAACGCGGAAATGCGAAGCAGCTGCTGGTGGAGCCCGCAGGCCAGGGTGGGACTGTCGCCCGGGGCGGGGCTAGGAGGGGAGGGGCGGGGCGAGGAGGGGCGGGGCGAGGCGAGGTTGGCCACGGGATTGGGCTAGGTGAGGCCGACCGGGAGGGGGCGAATCTGGGGGCGGGGCGAGATGAGGGTAGTCCGAGGACTGAGCGAGCCCGGGCGGGCCCGTAGGCGAGGCGAGATGAGGCTGGCCAGGGGGCGGGGCGGGCCCGGGCGGGAGGGGCGGGGCGGGGCGGGCCCGGGCGGGAGGGGCGGGGCGGGCCCGGGGGCGGGGTGCGTCCAGGGGAGGGGCGGAGCGAGGCGGGTCCGGGGCCTGGCGGCGCGCGGAGGGGCGGGCCCTGGCCGGGTGGTCCCGGGCGGATCCCGGGAAGGCGGAAGGCTTCGGCAGAGCTGCGCCGCCGAGGCTGAGCGGTCCCTTCTCGCTGCGGCCGCCCAGGTGCCCGCGCCCGTGGCGCTATGGAGGCGGCGCTGCTGGGGCTGTGTAACTGGAGCACGCTGGGCGTGTGCGCCGCGCTGAAGCTGCCGCAGATCTCCGCTGTGCTAGCGGCGCGCAGCGCGCGGGGCCTCAGCCTTCCGAGTTTACTTCTGGAGCTGGCAGGGTAAGGCCCGGGGCGGCCGGGGCTGCCTCCTGCCCCCTCGCAGCTGCTGCCGGCTGGGAGCCCAGGAGAGCCTCGGCTCGAAGTAGGGCGGGGATGATCCCCGCGCGCCGGCGTCGCAGCTGGGCGGCCGAGGGTGAACTAGGGAGCCTAGGGGCTCGGGGTGCTCTTCCCACGGCCACCCGCCACCCGCGTACATTGTTTCTCACCAAGCCCCGCGTGGCACGAATTGATTGCGCACGCCCATTTTACAGATGAGAAAACAGACCCAGCGGAGGCAGCCCTTGGTGCGCTAGTGACAAAACCTGCTGGCCCTGAGCAAGGCCATTTGCACCTCGAGGCTGTCATATTCATTGTCCCTAAACTCACCACGCACCGTCAACCTCGTTCTCGGGCCTCGGTTTCCTCACCTGTGAAATAAGGGGTTGAACTAAGAATGTATGAATCTCTTCTCTTCTCCCGGTGATTGGTGGGGAATCTTTCCTGGTTATTTAATGAGATTCCTTGGGAGAGGGTCTTAAGACAATTGCATTTCTTGTAGAAAGAAGTTTCCTTAGTCATCTGTAAGGAAGTTGGAGAGTCTCTGCAGTTGGGAAGGGGTGACGGAAAGGTCGTTAAATCCTTGATTCTGAGGCAGCTTCTAAGGCTTTCCTATTCAAAGTATTCATCATGCCAGAGCGCCAAACTTTTGGGGTATCATTTTTGAGCCCCAACAATAGGAAAACACATACCTCAACCTAGTGGTCTCGCCCCTTCCCCCTGGCCAGGCCAGGCCTTCCCCTTTGCCCCCCGCCATCACCCAGTGGGGTCTGAAGCCTGGTCCTCCACACAAGCCTTCCTGGTGGGCGGGGTGGGGGGTGCGGCATACAGGATGGGAAGAAGCCAAGGGGTGCGGGGGAGAAAGAGGAGACCTCAGGTGTGGGAGGGTGAGGGGTCCCACTCAGGCTTTGGACCCCGCGCCGGCCCTATGGAGCCCGGCCCTGGGCACAGTCATCCAATAGGGGGCTTTGAGGGGAAATTTTTGGGAAAGGCTTGCAGTGGGAGGGACTGTGACCTCTTCCAGGCTTGTGAGTGACTCTACCCTGCGGGGTGGGGAGGGGGGGGTCCCAGGCTGGATGGCAGGGTTGAGAGGCACCCAGGGGAGGTGGGCAGCATGCGTTTCAGGTTGGTGCCACCACCAGGCTGGGAGCAGAGAGGCTGGAGCGATGAGGTTGTGGCAAAGGACACAGGCTGGAAGTGGCTGTGGTGACTGTTCAGGTGGGAGAGGGGACAAGGGCATGAAAGCCAGGAGTGGGATTTGGCCTCGGCCCCTTGCTAGGTCCCTGAGCTGGGGAAGCTGAAGCTGGACCCATGAAGGAAAAGAAGCCAGGCTGTCTGTAGAGTCTATAGATTCCCTCCTGCCGCCAGCCCCTAGGCCTGCATTTCCACCACTTTTGCAGCATTGCTTGAAAAATGCAAACCCTCAGAGATACGCAGGTGAGGGCTCCTATTAGATCTGCCAGCTGTCACCTCTCCCAGCTCACCTTAGTGAAAGCTAGACCTCTGGCAGTGGAAGGATCTTCCTGGGCATGGGAGCTCAAGGGTTGGGTGGGGCAGCAGCTTGCTGCCATCCCTGCTGGCCTGTCTAAGGGTCTTGCAGTTGATCACGTGCAGGTAAAGGGGGCTCTGTCGGGGCTGGTGCACCAGCTCTGCAGCCTCCAAGCCAGGGCCAGGGCCAGGCACACAGACTTCTGTAAAATGGGCTTGGCTGTGTCAGGACCCATCCTCCTGGCCCTCCTGTCTCCCTGCCTGCCTCCCTCATGCCCTTCCCAGCCTTGCCTGGGAGGCCCACCTGGGGCTGGCCATGCTTGCCAGCTGGGCCCCCGGGCCCCTGACCAGATCAGGCAGCAGCCGGAGTTAGAGCAGAAGGAACCCCAGGGCTGTCGCAGTCAGCCACCTGGAGGGCACGGGCCCTCTTTGGGTCTCCATTTGAGCAAACTAAGAGCCTGGTTTTGAGAGCACTGAGTCAATTGGAGCATGAAGTGTGTCTTAATAATGCCAGAAAAGCCTTTTTAGTGTGGCTTGGTGTGAAGGGCAGGAGCCTCTGCCCAGGGACCTGCCTCTGCCACCCAGGGGCATTCCTTGTAGCTGGAGCCTTCCCCCTCGCAAGTTCCCAACCTTGCTGCTTCTCCTGCCTCCAGGGCTCTGCTGGGCTCTGCCTCCCTGCTCTCTGCAGCCAGGAGCCTCCTGGAGCACAAGATTCATCCAACCTGCCCTGCCTGCAGCCTTCCATGGACTGCGGCCCTCCCACGGTGGACCCTTAGGCTGTAGAGCCTTGGCCTCTGGGTAGGATGCCTTTGGAGCCCACCCCTTGCTCCAGGTCACTTGTCCCCCAGCCTGGGTGGGGGTACGTTTTGTTTAACCCTCTAGTAGGTGTTGAGGGAGAAAACTCCAATGGCTGCATGGAGCAGATGGGAATGGAAACAAATGGGGCTGTGTCAGATGCCCGGCTGGCATGATTTTATTATGATAAGCACTATAGCGATTACTTATTAAAAGAAACTTTAAAGGGACAGGCATGGTGGCTCATGCCTGTAATCCCAGCCCTTTGGGAGGCCGAGGCGGGCAGATAACCTGAGGTCAGGAGTTCAAGACCAGCCTTGCCAACATGGTGAAACCCCATCTCTACTAAAAACACAAAAATTAACCAGTGTAGGCTGGGTGCAGTGGCTCACACCTGTAATCCCAGCACTTTGGGAGGCCCAGGCCGGCGGATCACGAGGTCAGGAGATCAAGACCATCCTGGCTAACACGGTGAAACCCTGTCTCTACTAAAGATACAAAAAATTAGCTGGGCGTGGTGGCTGGCGCCTGTAGTCCCAGCTACTTGGGAGTCTGAGGCAGGAGAATGGCGTGAACCCGGGAGGCGGAGCTTGCAGTGAGCCGAGATCGTGCCACTGCACTCCAGCCTGGGTGACAGAGCAAGACTCCGCCTCAAAAAAAAGAAATTAGCCAGGTGTAGTGGCACACATGTAGTCTCAGCTACTCGGGAGGCTGAGCAGGAGAACCGCTGGAACCCGGGAGGTGGAGGTTGCAGTGACTGAGATCGCGCCACTGCACTCCAGCCTGGGCGACAGAGCAAGACTCCATCTCAAAAAAAAAGAAACATTAAAAACTAAAGGAAAGACACTGTCCCCACCCCACCTCCCCAGGCTGCAGGGATGGGGGGAGTTTGAATCCCAGGGAAAGCAGGGAGTAGACGGCAAAACCTGCAGGGGCAGCAACGGCTGCATCCAGATCAGCCTCGGGAAATCCAGGCTCTTCATCTTGTATGTTCTTGGTGTCTATGGGCCTCCATTTCCCCAAGTGGTCTGTAAGTTGTGGAGGCCAGCATGGATGACCCCTGAAGGTGAGAACGGGCTCTGACATCCCCAGGTTCTCAGGCCTGGCCTGTGGACTGTGGCTGCGTCCCAGGGGTCAGCACACACTTACTTCGATGGTGAAGACCCCCATAGCTTTTGTTCTTCAGCACTCAGTGGCTGGCTGTGGCCCCACAGAGGGGCTGGGGTGCAGCCTCCCCCTCTGCCAGCCCCCCTGGGCTCAATCTCCCAGGGGAACAGAGGGGGCTGCTCAGGAGGCTGGCAGGAGGAGAGTCCCTGCGGCAGGGCAGGGCAGAGGCACCGCTTGTCCCTGAAGCTGGGAGGTGGCTCAGCTGCACAGCACCCGGAGGGCCTGCAGGCAGCTGGGGGTGGGGACCCTGCTGGGCACGGTGGGGGCCCGCACTCGGGGACCAGGCCTGTGGGAGGCCCTCGTGCTCAGGGCAACACTGTGACCTCCTCTGACTCCGCCCCCAGCTAAGTTGTGCACTGTCAGAAACAGGCCAGGGAGGCACAGCCTGTTTGTGAATCGGACTTTTCCAGGATTCCTTCCCAGCTTAGGAGATTGGAGACCCTGGGGGGCCCCTCCTGTGTGTTGAAGTCCCATGGTTCCGGCTCCCCTTTCTTCCTGACCTGAGTGGTCTGAACACACAGGTGAGAGGGAGGGAGCCAAAAAGCTGGGTGATGAGACAAACAGGTAGCCCCAGGAGACCACAGGGATTCCGGTCCTGAAGGGAGATGGCTGGGTGTGAGGGGGAGGCAGGAAGCTCTGCCTTTTCTTCTGAGAATGTGGGACCCTGTGGCCTTCGCAGCATCCTCACAGCCGGAGTCTTCTTAGCGAAATTGAGGGTGGTTCTTCACGCTTTCCCCCACTGCCCTCTCAACCGGGCAGCTCTTCTGGAAGGCAACTGGACCATCCAGGTGCTGTTCTAACTCTAAAAACACGGCCACAGACCCCCGCATCCAGGGATGGTTGCGGCTCCTCGGATCCTTGCGCCTCTGCAGCTTCTCAGAGTGGAGGGCAGATGTGTGCAGCAGCTGAGGGGCAGCTGCCGGGGTCAGTGGGAGCCCAACATGGCAGGCAGGCCAGAAGCGTGGGCCCAGAAGGCCCAGTCTCATATTCTTGCTCAGGGATTTGCCTTCTGTAAAAATCCTTTGTAAGCGACCATCTCAAGGCACTCTATAGAGATCGTGGGTATTGCACTGTGGCCCGGTGCCCAGTAAGTTCTGGATGCTCCAAAAATTGTACAGATGATTCAACTGAATTCCATCTATTTTGTTCTAAACCTTCCTCTTTGACACTGGCGTGTCCACACCCCCACTGCAAGGATTCGGCAAACTGACCTCAGTGTTCTGGTGCCTGCCAGGCCCCGACAGCTGCGTTTTGGGGCAGCCGTGTGGACATGTGCCCTTCTCTCTCCAGATTCCTGGTGTTTCTGCGGTACCAGTGTTACTATGGGTATCCGCCGCTGACCTACCTGGAGTACCCCATCCTCATCGCGCAAGGTAACAGCCCCTTCCCTGTCCAGCGGACTGCCACGGGTCTCCCCTTCCCCCCTCACTCGGAGCCTCTCTCTTTCAGATGTCATCCTCCTGCTCTGTATCTTTCATTTTAACGGGAACGTGAAGCAGGCCACTCCTTACATCGCTGTGTATCCTTTCTGAATCTGAGCCAGAAGTGGGAACGGGGATGTTATTTGTGAATGGTATGCATTGTGAAGCAGGCTCCTTTACCAGATGTGTATTTTTTGGTTAAACTAAAAAAAAAAAAAAAAAAAATCCCAAATGCAAACGTGTCCATGTACACCAGAGATGCCCTCAGTACAGCCCCTGCTGCTCCTCCGAGACCAGCATGCCCTGGGCGGTGCCAGCAGGCCGAGTGGAAGGCAGATCGGTAGAGTCCACCCCTGCTAAGAGCAGCATCGTCCAACTGCATTAGTTCATGTGAGACATTTCTTCCTGCCCTGATAATGTCCTCCGAGGATTGGAAGCAATAATAATGAGAGTATCCGGCGCCTCTCAAGACGTTAGCTTAGAGGCTAAACCTTGAGGTCTGAGGGGCAGTTGTTGGCCCAGAGGCTTGCAGTGGGAGCCTGGTCAGCTCAGAGACCTGTTCCTGCTCAGTGGCACTTCCTGTGAATGAGGGTGAGGCTTCATTTCAGTTCTCTTTGTAAAGACTCACTAGTTGAACGTCACACTCCTTAAAAAGCCAGGAGAGTGTTTTTTTTTTTTTGTTTCATTTTTGGTTTTTATTTTGAGACGGTCTCGCTCTGTGGCCTAGGCTGGGTTGCAGTGGTGGGATCAAAGCTCACTGCAGCCTTGACCTCCTCGGTCAAGCTTGATTGCCTTGATCAAGTGATCCTCCTGCCTCAGCCTCCCGAGTAGCTTGGACTATTGAAGAATGCCACCACACCCAGTTAATTTTTAAATTTTTTGTAGATACGGGGTCTCACTATGTTGCCCAAGTTACAAGATGTTTTAACCTTTTTTTTAAGAGACAGGGTCTCACTATGTCACCCAGGCTGGAGTGCAGTGGCTGGATTAGAGCTCACTGCAGCCTTGAACTTCTGGGGCCAAGGAATCTTCCCGCCTCAGCCTCCTGAGTAGCTGGAGCTACAGGTGCATGCTACTATGCCCAGCTAATTAAAAAACATTTTTTTTAGAGATTGGGTCCTGGTATGTTACCCAGACTAGTCTTGAACTCCCGGACTCAAGCGATCTTTCCACCTTGGCTTTCCAAAGTGCTGGGATTACAGGCATGAGCTGCCACTTCTGGCCCAAGAAAGTGTTTTGAATGGCACTAGCTGTCAGCCTGTCCTGCCACATCTGTGAAATGGCTTGAGCTGTTTCTTCCCATGCCCTCTTCAGAGTGGAGGAAGGAGGGCAGAGCCAGGCCTGTGGCCCGCAGGCCATGAGAATGTGGGTGTGGAGTGGTGGGAAGCAGTTGGCCTGGAGCCAGACAGGACAGGTCCCTGCCACCACAGGGGTGGCTTCAGCATACACCATAAACTGTGCGTCCCCCATCTGTGACATGGGATCATAATGCCTATGTTTTAGGGTTACTGTAAGAGCTAGAAGTACCAGAAACACAGTCAAGCAGAGTAAATGACAGGGCCATTGTGGTGGTTTTACTAGAGGCGAGGCTCTGCAGCCTGTGTCTATGGAGGGAGCTGGGTTCTGGCTGAGTCCTGACCCTCTGCTGTTTCCCCGAGTGGCAAGCTCTGCTGCCTCAGTTTCTGTCTGCGGAAAGAGGGATCGCACAGCTGTACTGCACCTCAACACTTCACGGTCAGTCCCAGCTGGTTAAAGGTTTTGGTAAACAGTACTTTGAAGATGAAAAGAGTTACATAATTTACTTTTGAAATAAAATGCAACAGCTTTGTGAAGATAGTGAGGCTGCAGATTAGAAAATTTGGGTGCTGGTGGCACTGGGAGATACCACATGGCTGGATGCTGATGGCGAGTCTGTAGTATCAGCAAGATGCTTATAATCTCCCATTGGTTGTGACTTACGGAGAGCGAAAGAATAGGGTTACCATATTAATGAATACTTTTATTTTTATTTTATTTTATTTTATTTTTGAGACGGAGTCACACTCTGTCGCCCAGGCTGGAGTGCAGTGGTGCCATCTCAGCGCACTGCAAGCTCCGCCTCCCGGGTTCACGCCATTCTCCTGCCTCAGCCTCCCGAGTAGCTGGGACTACAGGCGCCCACCACCATGCCCGGCTAATTTTTTGTATTTTTAGCAGAGACGGGGTTTCACCATGTTAGCCAGGATGGTTTCGATCTCCTGACCTCGTGATCCACCTGCCTCAGCCTCCCAAAGTGCTGGGATTACAGGCGTGAGCCACCGTGCCCGGCCTAATGAATACTTTTAAATATTGCTTGGGATATACTTCTACTGATAATTATTGGCCAGGTGTAGCGGCTCATGCCTATAATCCCAGTGTGTTGGGTGGTCGAAGTGGGAGGATCATTTGAGGCCAGGAGTTTGAGACTAGCCTGGGCAACATAGTGGGATTCCCTAGCGCTCCAAAAATATAAGAGAAAAAATGAGCCATGTGTGGTGTCTCATACCTGTCATCCCAGCTACTTGGGGAAAGTTACTTGTTTTCGACCTGAAATTAAAATTTAACTGGGTGTCCTGTACTTTTATTTGTGAAATCTGGCAACCCTACAAATAAATCATCTGTAGGATCTCAGGAGCTCCTACTATTGGTCAAATTTTATAAAATGTATATTCAGAATACACAGAATGAGGTGGGATAGAACAGAATTGGTGGGGGGAGGAGTCACAAAAATTAGATTTAAAAATTGAGTTAGTGTTTTAAAAACAGGATTCTATCCAGCCAGCTTCGAGCTACCTTCTGGTGTTGATCAGGCTGTGAGTATTTAGTTCCACTGACTTTTAGCACAGGGCATTGTCTGTTTCAATATCTTCATTTAATTAATGTTTGAAATTATAATAACAGCAGTCTCTTGAGTCGGTGCTACGTGCTTGTAGGCATTTTACAGATAAGCAAATCAAGGTGGAAAGATGGAAAGTGACTTGCCCAAGGGCACTCCAGAGACTCTTGGCTGTCCCCTTCCAGCCCTGGCCGCTGTCTCCTGGGTGCTTGTTCAGCTCCCTAGCTGGCCTCTATTCCCGTGGCGTCACCGAGCTCGGTGCACATGCCTGACTTCCAGCATTGCCCACCCCAGCTGTATCATTTTTACAGTGGAGTTTGTGGGGAAAGGTGGAAGTCAGTAAACAGAAATTCACATCACAGCAATTTTGCAGAACATTCCTGCTTTATAATGTTGGACTTCTCCTTTAAGTGCTTAGCTTTTGACCATAAATCAGAGAAGTCTGCATGGTCTAGAATTCAGTGGGCAGTGAAACCACTAGGAATGTTCCCAATCCTAGGGAGCAGTCCATGAGCGTGGGTGTCTTTGTATTTCTCTTCTGTAACCTGTTTTCGTTCTTTTGAATTCTGAGCAGGTGTTCACTTGCGACCCTTTTCGTCCCTTCCAAATCCGGCAGGTTCTGGTAGCATGTCCTCCCCTCCCACCCACCTGGCTTCTGCGTGCCGCTGTCTGTGGTCTTGGTTTGTATATGTGAGATGGGAGGGTGGCGCGGATGTGGGTGACCCACTGCTGTGTCCCTTAGCACTTGGTAAGATTGGTGTCTTCTTGGTTCATCCTTGCCCTGCAGAAGTGGATCATAGACCTGGCCATGGTAAGTATTATGCTTGAAAAGAAAGTAGGAGGAATAAGCTACCTTGGAGAGAACTTGATAGATATTTATATATATATATATATATTTTTTTTTTTTTGAAATGGAGTTTCACTCTTGTTGCCCAGGCTGGAGTACAATGGCGCAATCTCGGCTCACCACAACCTCCACCTCCTGGGTTCAAGGGATTCTCCTGTCTCAGCCTCTCGAGTAGCTGGGATTACAGGCATGTGCCACCACACCCAGCTAATTTTTTTTTTTAATTGATTCATTTTTGTTTTCTTTTTTTTTTAGTATTTATTGTTATTCTTGGGTGTTTCTTGCAGAGGGGGATTTGGCAGGGTCACAGGACAATAGTGGAGGGAAGGTCAGCAGATAAACAAGTGAACAAAGGTCTCTGGTTTTCCTAGGCAGAGGACCCTGCGGCCTTCCGCAGTGTTTGTGTCCCTGGGTACTTGAGATTAGGGAGTGGTGATGATTCTTAACGAGCCTGCTGCCTTCAAGCATCTGTTTAACAAAGCACATCTTGCACCGCCCTTAATCCATTTAACCCTGAGTGGACACAGCACATGTTTCAGAGAGCACTGGGTTGGGGGTAAGGTTATAGATCAACAGCATCCCAAGGCAGAAGAATTTTTCTTAGTACAGAACAAAATGGAGTCTCCCATGTCTACTTCTTTCTACACAGACACAGCAACAATCTGATTTCTCTATCTTTTCCCCTTTCCCCCTTTTCTATTTGACAAAACCACCATTGTCATCATGGCCCGTTCTCAATGAGCTGTTGGGTACACCTCCCAGACGGGGTGGCGGCCGGGCAGAGGGGTCCTCACTTCCCAGAAGGGGCGGCCGGGCAGAGGCACCCCCCACCTCCCGGACGGGGCGGCTGGCCGGGCGGGGGCTGACCCCCCACCTCCCTCCTGGACAGGGCGGCTGCCGGGCGGAGACGCTCCTCACTTCCCAGACGGGCTGGCTGCCGGGCGTAGGGGCTCCTCACTTCTCAGAGGGGCGGCTGCCGGGCAGAGGGGCTCCTCACTTCTCAGACTGGGCGGCGGGGCAGAGGCGCTCCCCACATCTCAGACGATGGGCGACCGGGCAGAGACACTCCTCACTTCCTAGACGGGATGGTGGCCGGGAAGAGGTGCTCCTCACTTCCCAGACTGGGCAGCCGGGCAGAGGGGCTCCTCACATCCCAGACGGGGCGACGGGGCAGAGGCGCTCCCCACATCTCAGACGATGGGCGACCGGGCAGAGACGCTCCTCACTTCCCAGACTGGGCAGCCGGGCAGAGGGGCTCCTCACATCCCAGACGATGGGCGGCCAGGCAGAGACGCTCCTCACTTCCCAGACGGGGTGTCGGCCGGGCAGAGGCTGCAATCTCGGCACTTTGGGAGGCCAAGGCAGGCGGCTGGGAGGTGCAGGTTGTAGCGAGCCGAGATCACGTCACTGCACTCCAGCCTGGGCAACATTGAGCACTGAGTGAACGAGACTCCATCTGCAATCCCGGCACCTCGGGAGGCCGAGGCTGGCAGATCACTCGCGGTTAGGGGCTGGAGACCAGCCCGGCCAACACAGCGAAACCCTGTCTCCACCAAAAAAATACGAAAACCAGTCAGGCGTGGCGGCGCACGCCTGCAATCCCAGGCACTCGGCAGGCTGAGGCAGGAGAATCAGGCAGGGAGGTTGCAGTGAGCCGAGATGGCGGCAGTCCAGTCCAGCTTCGGCTCGGCATCAGAGGGAGACCGTGGAAAGAGAGGGAGAGGGAGAGGGATCCCCAGCTAATTTTTGTATTTTTAGTAGAGACAGGGTTTCACTGTGTTGGCCAGGCTGGTCTCGAACTCCTGACCTCAGATGATCCACACGCCTCGGCCTCCCAAAGTGCTGGGATTACAGGTGTGAGCCACGGCAGCTGGCCACTAGCAGTTTTAGAATGAAGAATTGAGCATCAGTTAACTAGCTTCTTCTTAGGTTCATAATGGCATGTTGGCCTTGTCCTGGAGAGGGGCTGACTTTTTTTCATACTTGGCTCAGGGCCGAAAATTTCCAAGGGCTCCTGAGGGTGGTTCAGGATGTGTTTGACCACAGACCTCTCCAAGGTGACAGAAGTGAACGTTTCTACCCAACGAGAAAAGGAGGAGAACTAACTGGTGGTCACAGGGCACTGCCTGCCACACGCAGACTCATGAATTTCTTTCCCCTTTCCCCCAACATCTTGTCTGGAAAGTAGACTAGATTCTCTGTTACATTTCTGTTACATTTCAACCCTGTGACTTGGGAGAGCAAATAAGTAGGGTTGCCATATTAACAAGGAACACTTTTTCAGTACGTGTATGTCCAAAATACTGCATGGGTCGAGGTGGGGTGGCTCACGTCTGGAATCTCAGCACCTTGGGAGGCCGAGGCAGGCAGATGACCTGAGGTCAGGAGTTGGAGGCCAGCCTGGCCAACAGGCGAAACCCTGTTCTCTACTAAAAGAAAATACAAAAATTAGCCATGCATGGTGGCGGGCACCTGTAATCCCAGCTACTTGGGAGACTGAGTCAGGAGAATCGCTTCAACCCCGGAGGCGGAGCTTGCAGTGAGCCAGGATCACGCCACTGCACTCCAGCCTGGGTGACAGAGCGAGACTGCATCTCAAAAAACAAACAAAATATTGCATGGGACATACTTGTACTAAAACATTATTTGTTGTTGTTCTGAAATTTAAATTTAACTAGATGTCCTGTATTTTTGTTTGCCAACTCTCACAACCCTGTAAATGAGCCATCTCTATGTTCTCAGTAGGTCTTACTACTGATGAGTTGGGGTGGTTCTAGTTCTATTAGCCCCCATACAGCAGCTGTGAGCCTTCACCCCTGAGGAAACATCCTTCTAGCAGTGTTGAGATACAGGCTTGTCAAGAATGGAGGGATGTGGTGGCTCATGCCTGTTATCCCAGAGCTTTGGGAGGCCGAGGCGTGCAGATCACCTGAGGTCAGCAGTTCGAGACCAGCCTGGTCAAAATGGCGAAACCCCGTCTACTAAAAATACAAAAATTATCTGGGTGTGGTGGCGCATGCCTGTAATCCCAGCTACTCGGGAGGCTGAGGCAGGAGAATCGCTTGAACCCGGGAGGCGGAGGTTGCAGTGAGCCAAGATCAAGCCATTGCACTCCAGCCTGGGCAACAGAGCAAGACTCCATTTCAAAAACAAAACAAAACAAAAGAATCAAGTTCAGGGGTCAAGGGCAACAACAGCTTTTAGGTGTTTGTTCTGTGCCCTTAGCAGTAGTCATCTATTCTAACTATAACATTGATGATATAACATTTCATGGAATATAATTTTGATTCTTTCCTTTATCATGCAAGGGCTGAACACCAGGCTCCGTGCTGTGTCTGCCCATAGCCCTCCTTCACTGACTCAATGAGTGTTCCTCACGCACCTGCTCTGAGGTACCAGGGTCCGGGGCACAAGGTGGCCCAGATCTGAGGGTCGTGGAGCCCCAGTGCAGGAGAACGAGCAGGGCCTTCAGAGCTCACACATGGTAGCAAAACCCCAGAATCCTAGAGAGGAGCGGGTGCTGCTTGAATCAGTGGAAAACCTCCATTGTAGAATGTTCCATTTTTTTGGCTTTCAAATGCAGGTACCCGAGATCGTTCCCCCAGAGGTCCTAAACTGTGCTTTCATGGTTAAATTGATAATTCATATACTCATAGTTTATTCACAAGAAAATGATTAAAGTACTTAAAAATGATCTGCAAGGCCGGGTGCGGTGGCTCACGCCTGTGATCCCAGCACTCTGGGAGGCCGAGACGGGCGGATCACAAGGTCAGGAGATCAAGACCATCCTGGCTAACACGGTGAAACCTCGTCTCTACTAAAAATATATAAAAAAAAATTAGCCGGGTGTGGTGGCGGGCACCTGTAGTCCCAGCTACTCAGGAGGGTGAGGCAGGAGAATGGCGTGAACCCGGGAGGCAGAGGTTGCAGTGAGCCAAGATTGAGCCACTGCACTCCAGCCTGGGTGACAGCAAGACTCTGTCTGAAAAAAAAAAAAAAGCTCTCCGTGACAGCTAAGCATCCCTTCTTTCCAATCCTGTTCCTGGATTAGACTGTTTTACAGAAAAACTTCATAGTCTCCAATTGAATTAATGTGATAAGACATTCCAGGGCTTGGTTGGGGCCCAAACCAACACTACTTCAGGACTGTAAAAATAGCTTTGTTCCTGAAAGATGAATCTGGTAGAATATCTAGCAGGCAAGCTTGTGTTTAACACGAGTGTGTTGTAATGTGGTCTGGGACCCTGATGTGTGTGAACAAAGCCAGCTTCCCCAGCTCTTCCCATTCCGCACCGACTCCTCGCCACCCCGCCGAGCCTGTGTTCTGGCTGGTTCTCTGGTGCGAGCCCTCCCCTGCAGTCCTCCCTCCTCTGCTCTGTCCAGGTCTCCTGATTGCACAAGAGCCCCTCTCCTCACAGGTCTCCCTGCCTGGGGCCAGCCATCCTCCGAGCATCTGCACCCAGCTCTCAGGGTGACTTTAGTCCTGCCACAGGCCTGACCACAGGTTCTTGGTCAACTCCTCTGCCCAAGAGCACTCCCTGCGGTTCCCTTCTCCATAATTCCTTTTTTTTTTCTTGTGAGACAGAGTCTGACCCTGTTGTTCAGGCTAGAGTGCAGTGGTGTGATCTCGGCTCACTGCAACCTCTGCCTTCTGGGTTCAAATGATTCTTGTGCCTGAGCCTCCTGAGTAGCTGGGACCACAGGCACACGCCACCACGCCTGGCTAATTTTTATATTTTTTGTAGAGATGGGGTTTCACCATGTTGGTCAGGCTGGTCTCGAACTCCTGGCCTCAAGTGATCCTCCTGCCTTGGCCTCCCGAAGTGCTGGGATTACAGGCTTGAGCCACTGCACCCTGCCTCCCTTCTCCATAATTCTTCCTTGTCCAAGTGACGCCTTCTCTCCTCCCAAGTCATCCTGGATGCACCTTTATCATCACGTTTGCCAGACTGCATTATTATTAAGGATTTATTCCCTCAGCAAGGATTTGTTGAGTGCCGGCCAGGTGCCAGCACTGTCACAGGTCCTGGGGACCCAGCAGGAAACAGACCGAGTGTTCCCCATGAGCTTTCCTTCTCCAGGGGAGACAGAAGGTAAACAAGCTGCTCTTGTCAAGGCCAGCGGCTTTCATTCGCGCCAGAGCCTGTGGCCAGTTCTCATTCCTCTTCTTCATTCATATCTCGGTAGCTTTTGACACCATCGATCAGGACTCCTTCTTGAATCACTGCCCACCGGGCTTCCAGGAAGCCGTGCTCCCCAGTGTCCCTTCCCCTTGATCCTTTCTGTGTCCTTGCTGGTTCCTCCTCAGCTCCCTGACTTCCGTGTTCCCAGGGCTCCAGCACACACCGCACAGCCAACCACTGGCTACCCTTGCCTGACGACTGAGCCTCTCCAACCTCGCGTGTCCAGAACTGGGTTTCTGATCTCCCACCCTGCCCCTCTCCCACCTTCATCTTAATGTGTCTCAGTTAATGGGAACTCTGTTCTTCCACTGCAAAGGCCAGAAACACCGGAGATTAGAATCACCCTGGATTTCTCTCTTTTTTTTTTTTTTTTTTTTGAGACAGAGTCTTGCTCTGTCACCAGGCTGGAATGCAGTAGCATGATCTTGGCTCACTGCAACCTCCACCTCCTGGGTTTAAGTGATTCTCCTGCCTCAGCCTCCCGAGTAGCTGGGACTACAGGCACGTGCCACCACACCCAGCTAATTTTTGTGTTTTTAGTAGAGATGGGGTTTCACCATGTTGACCAGGACGGTCTCGATCTCTTGACCTCGTGATCTGCCCGCCTCGGCCTCCCAAAGTAGTGGGATTACGGCGTCAGCCACTGTGCCCAGCCAGATTTCTCTTTTTGCCACATCCCATTACCACTCCCTCAGCAAATCCTGTTGGCTTTGCCTTTGAAATATATCCGGAACCTGAACACTTCTCACCTCGTCTGTTTCTACTGCCCTCGTACAAACCCAGGTGACTGCACTAGCCTAACTGGTCTCCCAGGTGTCACCTTGTCTCCCTTCGGTCTACACTCAACCCAGAGACTGGAGTTTCAGCTGCTGAAGAGGCTGATGCTGGCAGGGCTGGTGGTGGTCAGCGTCGAGGATGCTGTGCAGAGCAGCAGGCTTATTTGTGAGGATCTCTTACCTCACTGTATAGCAGAGGCCTGAGCGCACCACCACACAGACTATCAGAATAGCCAGAAATTCAGGGCTGAGGTGCCGCGGCTTGCTGCTGGAGTTTGTTTGTCAGTTCAGAACAGCATAGATTTCCCCAAGCTCTAAAACACAGTATCTCAGTACTTTTTTTTTTTTTTGAGACGGAGTTGCACTCTGTTGCCAGGGCTGGAGTGCAGTGATATGATCTCAGCTCACTGCAACTTCTGCCTCCCAAGTTCAAGGGATTCTCCTGCCTCAGCCTTCCTAGTAGCTGGGATTACAGGCGCCCGCCACTACACCCAGCTAATTTTTTTGTATTTTTAGTAGAGACGGGGTTTCACCATGTTGGCCAGGCTGGTCTCAAACTCCTGACCTTGTGATTCGTCCGCCTCAGCCTCCCAAAGTGCTGGGATTACAGGCCTGAGCCACCGCACCTGGCTCCTCAGTACTTACTTCTCATTGGAGGTGTAGATAGATGAACCTCTGTGGCCAAGCATTGATTCTTTCTCATTCCCAACTTCAAACTAGCTCTGGCCATTAGTTACCCACTGCACGGTGGAATCTGTGAGTTATAAATAAATGTCTTAGTCTGGGCATGGTGGCTCACACCTGTAATCCCAACATTTTGGGAGGCTGAGGCAGGCAGATCACCTGAGGTCAGGAATTTGAGACCAGCCTGGCCAATGTGGCGAAACCCTGTCTCTACTAAAAATACAAACATTAGCCAGGTGTGGTGGCACGTGCCTGTACTCCCAGCTACTTGAGAGGCTGAGACAGGAGAATTGCTTGAACCTGGGAGGTGGAGGTTGCAGTGAGCCAAGATTGTGCCACTGCACTCCAGTCTGGGCAACAGAGTGAGACTCTGTCTTAACTAACTAACTAACTAAATAAATGTCTCACTATTCCATTCTTTTTCACCAAACTTAGGTTTCAACTTTGTACAAATCCATTATTATTTTGACACTCCAGCCTGGGTGACAGAGTGAGACTGTCATAAATAAATAAATAAATGTCTCACTATTGCATTACTTTTCACTAAACTTAGGTTTCAACTTTGTACAATTCCATTATTATTTTGACCTGAAAATTTGGCTTCAAAAATGCTTTGAGTATCTCGTGCTCTTTTGCTTTTTTTTTGAGATGGGAGTCTCACTCTGTCACCCAGGCTGGAGTGCAGTGGCACGATCTCAACTCACTGCAAGCTCCACCTCCCGGGTTCATGCCATTCTCCTGCCTCAGCCTCCCGAGTAGCTGGGACTACAGGCGCCCACCACCACGCCCAGCTAATTTTTTGTATTTTTAGTAGAGACGGTGTTTCACCGTGCTAGCCAGGATGGTCTCGATCTCCTGACCTCATGATCTGCCTGCCTCGGCCTCCCAAAGTGCTGGAATTACAGGTGTGAGCCACCGCACCTGGCCTCTTTTGCTTTTTTAACAAATCGACTCGTGACTTTCTCACATTTTATCTGCAAACAGAATCTATGTACTTTCATCAGCGCGGCCAGTAAGTTTGCACAGCTCCAGTGTCTGTGGAAGACGAGAGACTCAGGAACTGTGAGTGCGCTGACTTGGAGCCTCTCTTCCTATACCTGTGCAAGTAAGAACCGGACTCACATGGTGGGGAGGCCTTTGGTAGCACCAAGTGTCTACGTAGTAGGGTGTTAAGTTGGTGTTGAAGTAACATGGTCCCTGGCGCTTTACTACTTTACAAATGGCTACTCAGCTAGAACCTCCTAAGTGTATCCATGTTTACAAAGATGATTTAATGCAAACTGCTCTCCATTTTCTGTAAAATCCAAGTTGCCAAGAAAAAAAAAAGTGAAAGCCTATTTTTCTCCAAAAACCTGGCCTGATATTAATTAGCTCTGTCTTCTTTGAAAGGATAAAGAGGTTGATTATATTGAATGTACTAATTTATCTTAAGAATTTGAATATAACAGGTTTTAAAATATGAAAATCATACAGTGGCTTTTGAGAATGAATGAAATGTGTAGTGATGGAGATTTTCGGCAGCCACATTGTTTGGTCTCAACTTTAGAATTTTCACTCTTCATTTGGATTCTTACAAAAACTACCTAAAATACATATATGGTATATGTAGGTAGAAACATTTTTATAATTCAGAGCTATCACATTAGTTGGATTTACTAGTTTTAGATATTTTAAGTAGACTTCATCATGGTTCTTCTGCATCTTAAAGGGCTAATGTCTCCATCCATGGTTGCTGGTCTTTATATTCAACAAGTTACTTGTCTTAATTATGTCTTAAAATCAAGACTTTCTTTCTTTTTTCCTTTGACAGGGTCTCGCTCTCTCTCACAGGCTGGAGTGCAGTGATACGATCTTCACTCACTGCGGGTTTCCAAGTAGCTGGGAGTACGAGCACACACCACCACACCTGGCTAATTTTTAATTATTATTATTATTATTTTGAGACACAGTCTCGCTCTGTCACCCAGGCTGGAGTGCAGTGGTGCAATCTCGGCTCACTGCAACCTCTGCCTCCAAGGTTCAAGCGATTCTCCTGCCTCAGCTTCCTGAGTAGCTGGGATTACAGGCACACGCCACCATGCCTGGCTAATTTTTGTATTTTTAGTAGAGACGAGTTTTCACCATGTTGGCCAGGCTGGTTTTGAACTCCT
Source organism: Homo sapiens (assembly GCF_000001405.40). NCBI lineage: Eukaryota > Metazoa > Chordata > Mammalia > Primates > Hominidae > Homo > Homo sapiens. The sequence goes on from NC_000002.12 coordinate 11,173,091, forward strand.
GACCTCAAGTGATCCACCCGCCTTGGCCTCCCAAAGTGCTAGGATTACAGGCATGAGCCACCGCGCCCAGCCAATTTTTTGTAGAGAGGGGTCTCACTATGTTGCCAAGGCTGGTCTCAAACTACTGGGCTCAAGTGTTCATCTCACCTCAGCCTCCCAAAGTATTGGGATTACAGGTGTGAGCCACTGCACCTGGCCCTGTATGTTTTCTTTGGAGAAATGTCTGTTCACATGGTTTGCCCATTTTTTAATTGGGTCATTTGAGTTTCTTACATATTCTGGTCATTAACCCTTGTCAGATGTGTGGTTATTAACAGCCTTTTAAAAAGTTTGTCTGAGAGTCCTTTGTTGGCCGCCTTCCTAACTGAAGTCTTCTGTCTACTTATATGATTGAATTCTTTTATTTAAATGATGATTTAATCAACAACTATTTATGTGGTGTCTGTGTGTAAAGTCTTGGTTTATCAAATGTGTCAACAAAACATTTTATAGGATTTGGCCTCTGCCCTTCAGGGGCTTGCAGTTTAGTTGGAAGGTAGACCAAAAAACTTCTATGTCAATATGTGCTAAATGCAGAATGTGTTAGCAGAGAGTTTTGACAGGCTGGTTTTGGGCTAGGAAAGGCATGCCTTGAGCTGCAGGCAGTGGTCTTCTCTAACTCCCAAGTCACGCCACTCCCTGCTCTTGTGTGTCGGTTTAAACTGTTACTCCAATTTCCTAAATGTTTACTAAGTAAAGGGCTATGGCACACAAATAAACTAAACAAAATAGTTCTAGTTAGACCCTTGGAAAAATCTTCCCCTTTTCTGGGCCTCAGTCTGTTTATCTATAAAATGCAAGGATAGAAACCAGTGATTCGAAAACATTTATTGTTTGTTTTTTGAGACAGAGTTTCGCTCTTTCGCTTAGGCTGGAGTGTAGTGGCATGATCTCGGCTCACTGCAACCTCAGCCTTCCGGTTTCAAGCGATTCTCCTGCCTCAGCCTCCCAAGTAGCTGGGATTATTACAGGTGCCCGCCACCACACCCAGCTAATTTTTGTATTTTTAATAGAGACAGGGTCTCACCATGTTGGTCAGGCTGGTCTCGAACTTCTGACCTCATGATCCACCCGCCTCAGCCTCCCGAAATGCTGGGATTACAGGCGTGAGCCACTGTGCCTGGCCAAAACATTGTTTTTAATTAGTGGGAGCCTTTCTTTAAATAAAACTACCCAGATGCTCAATTTGTAAATGAGAGTTGCTTTTGGAGGGTTGGGGGTTGCAGGTTAGCACAGAGACAGTGGAAGGGAGCTCAGTCTCTCCGGCCTTCCGCAGGCAGCGCTCGAGTACCTTCTAGGTACCTTCCCTCATGAGCAGTTTCAAAACCATTGGGCCATTGGGGTAGGATGCATGGCTGTTTTTTGTTTTGTTTTGTTTTGTTTTTGAGACGGAGTCTGGCTCTGTCACCCAGGCTGGAGTCAATTGGCGCAATCTCAGCTCACTGCAACCTTTGCCTCCCAGGTTCAAGCGATTATCTTGCCGCAGCCTCCTGAGTAGCTGGGATTACAGGCGCCCGCCACTACACCTGGCTAATTTTTGTATTTTCAGTAGAGACAGACAGGGTTTTGCCATGTTGGCCAGGCTGGTCTCGAACTCCTGACCTCAGGTGATCCGGCATGGCTAGTTTTTATGTAATTATGAAATACAGCACTATTTGGTTTTCTGTACTACCAAACTCTGTCAAGAATAGTTAATATATGTTGTTAAAAAAAGAATAAAAATAATTTAAAAATAATGGTTAATATATATTGGGATATTAAAAGGGAAAGACATTATTAGCTAAGCCCCAAAATGTCCGAGAGGCAAGTTACTTATTGCTGCAAGTTTTCTTTTACAGCAAGAATAATCACAACCTTAATGACCACCAATGATTTTACAAGTAAGCAAAATATCTTCTCACTTCCTTTTTGAGTTTTGTGCTATTTGTGTCTCCTTCATTTGTAAACTGTCTTAGGGTTTAATGGATGGACTTGGCTCTGTTGGATTATAGATTTAGAAGATGGCAACAATGTATTCCTAGTCTTATTGGTCACCATTTTTATTGTTAAGCCTCTCCTTCTTATAGTACAGGGGATAGACTATGCACAAGACAATAGATTCCTATCTCCATGGAACTTCCACTTAAGCAGTGGAATTGGACATGAGGTAATCACACAATTCCCTATTGAATTCTAATGGGACATGGTTTGGAAGAGTAGGGCAGGATGAGCATCTAAGGAGAACCTGGCCTAGTTTGCAGGAGTTGGGCAGATTAATTTGAAGAAGAGTGATCGTAAGGATGAGTAGAGGTTTAGCCAGAGGAAAGGATGTGGGCGGAGGCCAGACTCTTAACAAGGAGCAGCATTGTGAAGGTCATGAGCGAAGGACAAAGGGCTAGAGTGCGGAGAGCAGGGGGACAGTGACAAGCGGGTTTCAGGAGAGGAAGGATGCGAGACTGGCAGTGGCCCAAGTATCCAGGGCCTACAAGAACTGCCTACAAAACAGTAGGAAGGCTCTGGAGGCTTTGAAGCAGGGAAGTGGTGTCACCAATGGACTATGTTTTTGTTCTGTTTCTTTAAAAGAAAAAGCTGTCATGGAGGAGGAAATACTATGGTTAACCACAAAAGAATTTAGTAATTCCTTAGGCTGTTTTCAACTCCCAAATCAAGCATATATTATACATCTTTGGAAAATGATTAGAACAGATGGTGTCACCTGTGAAGATCAGAAAATGTCCCCAGCATGTAGACCTTTTAAATGAGCTAATTATTATTTGAGAAATAGTGCTTCAGAACAGAGATATGTTTGTTAGTCTCTTCCTGGAGGTTATACCTTTGCTCGAATACTTTTTGTCAGCTCTGATGATAGGACTAAAATTGTTCTGGTCAAAGCATAAACTTTGATCAAGTGGGAAATGGGAAGGAAGACAGGCTTGGGTCTTTCCACAGGACTTGAATTCTCAGCATGGAAAGGAAAGTCAAACCACAAGTAAACAGCAAAACCTATACATTAGAAATTAAAAGATCAAGATTGTTCTAATTGTGATTTATTTCTTATCTATGACAGCTGTTCTTGAAAGTGATCAGTATATCCAGGAATAACTTTTTTGTTGTTGTTTTGTTTTGAGATGGATTCTCACTCTGTCGCCCAGGCTGGAGTGCAGTGGTGTGATCTTGGCTCACTGCAACCTCTGCCTCCCGGGTTCAAGCAATTCTCCTGCCTCAGCCTCCAGAGTAGCTGGGATTACAGGCATGCGCTACTATGCCCAACTAATTTTTGTATTTTTAGTAGAGATGGGGTTTCACCATGTTGGCCAGGCTGGTCTCAAACTCCTGACCTCAGGTGATCCGCCCACCTCAGCCTCCCAAAGTGCTGGGATTACAGGCGTGTGCCACCGCGCCCGGCCTGGGAATAACTTTTTTTTTTTTTTTTTTTTTGAGACGGAGTCTCGCTCTGTCGCCCAGGCTGGAGTGCAGTGGCGGGATCTCGGCTCACTGCAAGCTCCGCCTCCCGGGTTCACGCCATTCTCCTGCCTCAGCCTCCCAAGTAGCTGGGACTACAGGCGCCCGCCACTACGCCCGGCTAATTTTTTGTATTTTTAGTAGAGACGGGGTTTCACCGTTTTAGCCGGGATGGTCTCGATCTCCTGACCTCGTGATCCGCCCGCCTCGGCCTCCCAAAGTGCTGGGATTACAGGCGTGAGCCACCGCGCCCGGCCAGGGAATAACTTTTTAAAAACAGTTCAGCTAAAATCTTACATGTGTTTTTCAAACACAAAGATATCTTAAATCTCATTAAACCTATTTATCAGGAGTGTATCCGTACCTTAAAGTAGAAGTTAAGTCACTGTTAAAGTTATATATATTTATTTATTTATTTTTCCACAAAGAGACACATTTTCATGGTTACTTGAATATAAAATATGCCTTGTCCTGTGGGCCAGTTTTTCAGGATGATCTTAACAGAGTATGTTAAACCACCCTTGCTTAATATGGAACGTTCTGAGACAGCAGCACCCTCAGGACGTCAGATGAGTAAAGGGATTTTTAAAAGTTATAACCCTTCTTAGGCTGGGCACAGTGGCTCACGCCTGTAATCCCAGCACTTTGGGAGGCCAAGGTGGGCAGATTACTTGAGGTCAGGAGTTTGAGACCAGCCTGGGCAACATGGTGAAACCCTGTCTCTACTAAAAATACAAAAAATAGCCAGGCGTGGTGGTGGGCACCTGTCATCCCAGGTGCCTGGGGAGCTGAGGCGGGAGAATCACTTGAACCCAGAAGGTGGAGGTTGCAGTGAGCCAAGACAGGCCACTGAACCCCAGCCTGGGTGACAGGGCAAGACTGTCTCAAAAAAAAAAAAAAAAAGTTAAAAGTTATAACCCTTCTTAGCCAGAGCCACATTACTGTCAATTGAGCACTTAAGATGATAAATTATTATTTATGAAGTTGGGCCAAGGGGCCAAAAATTGTCATGATAGGGAGATCATTTCCCCAGAAATAACTGGAACCAAAATTGTTCATTTCGGAGGTTGGGGGTGAAGCTTTATTTAGGCTTATACTTTGAGCAGGAGGTGGTTTTGGTCTGTATTGTAAAGACAGTTTTTAATACACTTTTTTTTTTATTTCAGTTCTTCTACGTTTTGTGATCATGCTGGCTTTAAATATATGGGTAACAGTGACAGTACTTCGCTACCGGAAGACCGCTATAAAGGCTGAATGATGGATACATTATTCCTTCACACAGTGGATTTTGAGTAACTGAACCAAAGGAAAAAGAAGCTCTTTGCTAAATTAAGGTCTTTTATAAATTTAGTAAATCAGTTTATAATCTTTAAAGCCAAAGGTTTTTTTAGACTTGAAAGAAAGAGCCACTTAAATTCTTGTTTAAAAATACCAATTTGCCTCCTCCTTCCTCACTTCGTTAGGTTATGGTAGTGCTCAGACATCTGCAGTGTTGAGGCCAGTCACTGTTGGAAGTCATCCAAGAAGCCCATTTTGAGGCCATTTTGAGCCTTACTCTTAAGTTCTCTATGAAGAACTACATTGATTTGTTGGCTTTCAGAATCTTTTAGGAAATAAATCCTCTCCAGGACAAAAATGAACATGAATGGAGTGGCATTTTGTTCCAAGTCAGAGGTGGGCACCTATAATAAATGACTAGGGTTCACTTTCTGGGACTGATGTTTAATTGTAACACAGATACAACAGGGTGGCCTTGTTGTGTATAATACGGTATTATACCCGCATGTGCTCTAGCAAGGATACCAAGGCAAGCATACATGTAGCTGGCTTGAGTTTGTACCAAAACAGTCCTTCAACTTTGCACTGTGCCTTAAGTAATTACTAACAAAAGGTACTAGGATTAGCTGCAATCTCTACTTTCGATGAGGAAATCCCAGTAAGCTTTCTGATTCAAGTACAATGCTGCCATTTTTTAAAGGGCCACAACTATAGAATTACCACTGTTGGAATTTGGTACAAAATATGTTTTGTCTATTGAAAACATACACGGTAAATGGTGTTGTTAGGTAGGTTCTGTCCAGTTCTTAGGGACTTTTTTCACATTATAGCATTTTTACCCTAAACATGATGTTGAGATTATTATATACTGTATTTTCTTCTAAATTAACCCTAATGTTTAAAAACTCACTTTCCCCCTTTAATTGAAGGCATTGTTTTGTTAGATGCAGTAATGATGTTTACCAGAGATTATTGTTTCCTATGCAAAATAAATTTTCATATTTTGAATTCTGCTGAGTCTTAAAACTGTCAATCATTAATATGACTATTTTATGTAAGGTATAGTTTTTAAACAAACTGGTTAATCCTTTTAGAACTACTGCTTGGGACCAACAGGAAGAGAAACATGGTATCTAAAGACAAAATTATTCATTCTGTAGTTGTTAAAATTACAGATGTCATATTTTTAAACATGCAAGTTAATCTTTTTTCATTTGCAGTTATAATCTGACCATTAGCATCAATACAAATTATATGATTTTTAGTCCAACAAATGTTATATTTAGATAACATTAGTACTTTATCACTGCTTAAAGCAACTCCTTTAAGAGCATACTTAGGTGACAGGGTCTCTGTTTTTCCCCCTTTGTAAGGCAACAAACACTCGAGCCATCTCAGACATTCTACACACATCATACTTACTTAATCTGCCAGTGATCCTGTAAAGTAGACACAATCTATATCTCCATTTTACAGATGAAAACACGGAGGCTCAGAGTGAATAACCTGCCCAAGAGCACATAGCAAATAAGTGCCCTAGAAAAGGTTCCACTGATTGCCAGAGAAACACTTTCTAGAAAATCACCTATCAATCAATCAGCACACTATTTCCTGACAAAACAGACATCCTGCCTCTTTTCCCTATCCTTACCAATTCAAATGAGTTTGTTCTATTATTTGCGTGCGTCTTAAAACACCCAAATCAGATCAGAGACAGGCTCCTGGTTGAAATTTGGTATTTCTCCATGAATTAAATCATAGGGCAGAAGAAACACAAGTCTACAGCCTTAGTTCTAAGACTTATTTACTATCCTCATCCCACTGTTTATACCCATCTTATAGAGAAAGCAAATGTTTTGGGTAAACTTTAGAAGGTTGCCGTATTCCAGGACTATTTCACAGGAGAAGTATGAAAATGCTTATGTCTCCATTTATTTTATTTTATTTTTTTATAAAAAAGCAGGCATAAAATACAATTACATTACTACGAAGATGCAACAAAATTTTAAAAAAGAAAAAGGGGTGCAATTTTTTTCAGAGAGGACAGCTGATCAAATATTTATAATTTTCTAAACCATGCAGTTCATTACTTATTACAATTCCAAACAAAACTCATTATTATGGGGATGGGAGTCAGGGAGAGGCCCCCCCCCAAGCATGATATCCAGCGCTGTCACACAGTGCTTATGTTCAAAGTGCTTACAAATGGTGTCTTCACAGCATAGGGAAGCTGAAGCCTTATTCCAGGGAAGGAGAGGTGAGTCAGTAGCAGTGTCAATGCAGACTCAGAAGCTCGGCAGTGACTTGCTCAAATCAGATTTTAGACACGATTTAAAGCATGTTTCAGTAAGGTTAATATAGTGTCCGAGTTTCTCTACTTTACCACCAGAATCCTAGAAGAGAGTAACAGCAGCAGCATAACTTCTTAAAACTGTGGTGTGGCAACCTAGAGTATTTCTGTTTAAGATCTATATATAAATGGATGCAAAATAGATACTTTAGAGCCAGATTCATGTAACTCTAACACAGGTTAGTTTTAAAGGCACTAACCTTTACTTTGGCTTTACTGGTATGCTTATCCATTAGTTAGCTGGAACATTTTAAAACTTTCATATAGATTTTTAAAACTTGTTTCTAGAGAACATGGTTTTTTAAAATTAATACTTTAAAAACATTCACTGTACATTAATTTCAACAGTAATACCGGCACCAGTTTTCCTTTCACTTCTGTCTCGTTATCCCCACAAAACAAAAGTAAAAAATCCAATAAGAAAATCCCAGTATTCATGATTTCTTAGTTCCCCATAGGAGGTATTTATGGTTCTAGGAGAAATCAGGTGTGAAGGAACAAGCAAATTTTAGTCTTATATTTATCTTGGAAGCTTCAGGGCCTCAAGAAAAACGAGAAACGAGCACAAAATCAGGTTGTTTTATATTTAATAAGTGTTGGGAAGAAAACACATTGATAGGTGCATGCACTCATGTATGTACATGAAAGCGGCAATGCGGTAAAAAGCGAATTCTTACCCAAGGTCAGAATTTTTTATTAAGCGCATTTTCATTAGTTGGACAAACAACCTTATAAACCCTTATGTCAAACCATATAATGTGAAGAATCTCCATGGGAGAGATTTTTTTTTCACCCTTCAGAATTATCTTTTTCCCCTAAGACCTTCATATGAATCTTCCTTGTACAGTTGGTCACACCATGATTCCCCATATTCTCTAATATATACAGCATTCCAAATTTAAACTTTTGCCTTTTTTACTCAAATATTTCAGTTACTCATATGTAAACTTGAAATTATTTCACCTTAATAAAGTTTATTAAAAATATATATATATATATATATATATATATACTCTCCAATTCAGAATAGGATAGAACCTCCCATAATGTAACAAAATCTTTATATAAAATATTAATTCAGTCTCCTTTTAACAACTCTAATGAATGGAAATATTTATTCTATATAAATTTATATATTTTTCATTTTTTAATCTTACTTAAAAAAGAGCTATCCCCCAAAACCAGAGCTGCAGAACACACCTGCAAAGGAAACGGCATGCACGTCTAGTCTGAGCACAGACAGCACAGCAGAGTGCAGACTGGAGAACGTTAAGAATAACAAAACCAGTTTCAGTCTATCAGTAGGCCAGTAGCTACTCTTCAGTTTCCACAATAGTATCTATTATGGGGATCTAACTTTTTAAATATCTCTAACTGACATCAGAGGGAATCAATGAAAAATGTCTATTTCCTTCATCGAAATATTAGATGACTTTTTTTTTTTTTTTTTTTTGAGACGGAGTCTTGTTCAGCTGCCCAGGCTGGAGTGCAGTGGCTCGATCTTCGCTCACTGCAACCACCGTCTCCTGGGTTCAAGCGATTCTCCTGTCTCAGCCTCCCAAGTAGCTGGGATTACAGGCCACCACCATCATGCCCGGCTAATTTTTGTATATTGGTAGAGACGGAGTTTCACTATGTTGGGCAGGCTGGTCTTGAACTCCTCACCTCAGGTGATCCGCCCGTCTTGGCCTCCCAAAGTGCTAGGATTACAGGCGTAAGCCACCATGCCTGGCCAGATGATGTATTTAAATATCATACCAAACTCTGTGTATTTATATAAAGAGAGACTGTTAAAAGACTTCATAATATAAAAAAAAACAAAAACAAAAAAAAAACTTTACGCTTACCATTGCTGCATATTGTTGCAGTATAAAACACACACTTATCTGGGATCATGAGAATACGGCAAGAATGTCCTGCGTAAACTGTAACTTTGACAGCATTTAAAAAATAAAAATCAAATTAAGTGCCTTTGAGGCCACTTCTTCCCAGTTGCCAGTTTTCTTAACCCGGTACTAAAATACTGCCACACACAGCTGCATGTCTGAGGATCATATTTAAATATTTAAAATGCATCTACAGTCTGTCTTAGTTTTCTTTATATTTGGGAAAAATTTTGAATCTTAAGTGTGAAAATGTAATCACAAATGTCTTTACCAGGAATAAAAACACATCTAGGGTAGCCAGCAAATTTAAAGCAAATAAAATATTTTGTAGTCACAGACTAATACTGAGGTCTGTAAAAAGAGTTGAATGAATAATAGACAGACATCAAGGATATATTAGTTCCAACACCATCCATTATTGTTTCTATAACCAATAATACTTTAAAAACATTTGTTAATCAAAATAGGCTGACATTGATATAACTATTTATGTGTAAAAATAGTGCACGATTTATCTTCCACAAAGCTAGTTTACATCCTAAGAGCTGGTAAACGCTTTTTTTGTTTTTTAATACAGACAGGGCTGAGACTTTGAAAAAAATTAAATTAAGGCATTCAAAATGGGTAAAGTTGCCTATCATGAAGCATTAGGAAACTGATATAATTAACTTTAAACTTCTTGTTACAGTAACTGCTTAAACATGAACATGCAACTTCCATCAGGTACACAGGAATGAGTGATATAAACTCCAACATTATGGCTTTATACAAGTGCATAGTTGCAACTGCAGCAAGTAATGATATCTGATTAATGTGTATAAAAAATAAAGTGGGAAGTTTAAAAAACCTTCTTGCAGTATTAGAGTACTATATATATATATATATATGTGTGTGTGTTTATATATATATACACAGTATAATGGTCACTTCTTAAAGATGCAGTCAATATCACTGTAGTGGAATCCATTCCCAGATTCTTCTGGTAAATGTGCTGGTGAAACCTCTCTGTTGAAGCTAGAAAAGATGTTTTCTTTAGCCTTTAACTCTTCTCAATCCTTGTGTGCATTGTAGTGTGAGCGACTGCCGAGAGAGCTTTATGGAAAAGTCTGGAAGAGTTGCATATATCCTTAGTCTATCAACCAATCATTGTTGGTTCAACCTGTTGCTTCAAAGGAGCCCAGATTTGTAATTTATATTACAGGGAAAAGGGGAACACATATATGTATGAGTGTATGTATCAGTCTCTCAGGAAAATATAGCTTTTTAATAAATTTTGGGCCATCATATTTCAGTCTTGTTTTCACTGGAAGAATACGATCACCTTGAATAATGACTGCTTTCATAGAAGGCAGTTAGCTGAAAAGAAAGGAAAAATAAAGTTAGTTGATACAGTGAAATAATTTAAGAGTGTTAAATTCCTAGAAAAAGCATTCCATTCACATTATTAAACTATATAGTCTTCCAGCTACTATATTTTTTAACACTAAAATCATGCATAAACATACTTACTGTATTACTTTTCCTATAGGTACAACATGCAATTATATTCTTTCCCAAAACAACTTGGGATTTTGGAATATTAGCTACACACATTACACACACATTTTAATATGGTTAACAAGCTATTAGGGTTAAACAATATACCACAGAATAACTTAGAAGATAAAAGTTTGATTTGGGGTTTAACTGCCAGCTGCCTCATGTAGCTGAAAGGGAAATGGGCCTATTGATCAGGTTCTACTTGGCTGTTCAACCCTAAGCCACATTTTGTTTTTCTATAAGATAGGACCAACTACATTGTTGTAGTAAATATATACAAGCTACTCTATGAAATCTGATTATAAATAGATACCAGTACTACCTGATTTATGTTTTGCAACTTGCTTACTTAGACTAAAACACACATTATTTCTTTTAAATCCTTCTATGTAAAAGGTTTAACTTGAGGCTCAACTTTCATTCAAATCTCCTTTAGCCACTATTAACCAAACTATTTTACATTTTCTAAAAGCACAATTCTCACAGCGTATCACTGACATTCTTCAGCAAGGGTAACATTAAATTCTCACAAAGCAAACATTTCACAGCACCACACACAAAAATGCCAAATCAGAAATAGCTATTTCACAGCACTTATTAGACTTATAAAGTTTTTATGCTTTCAATTCTTGCAAGTTGGAAATAAAAGGAGAGAGATGGAGAAAGGAATCTCATGCTATGTTCACAAACTAATATAGCTGTAGGAACTTGAAAACGTTGTAAATTTTACTTCTCTTCTGAATATGGCTTCTTTGGAATGAACAGAACGTATCAGAATTAACTCCTTTTGTGATTTCTACATCTCATTCCTAAGATAAATTCTAACTGTACTAAAAATTTATAGCCAATAAAGAATCTGAACATAGCATTTCACTTTTACACTTAACATGTAAATTTCAGTTAGCAACTTTTCGAAAACTACTTTTAACTATATACTATTAAAAACAAGTTTCAAAAATAAAAAATAATGAAAGCCCAAGTGGCAAACCACATGCACTACGTTGAAGTACTAAAATAACTGATTTTTCATTTTTTGATTTACCCCATTTATTTCTTCAGAAATCAAAAACATCGTCATCATCATCACCACCACCATCAACATCATCAAATGACCAATCCCAGTCTTTAAATGCCAAATCAAGCAATCTGCAATAGGAGGTTTGTAAATTTATACTCTAACACTCTTTAGAAACTGTAACTTAATGTTATGACTTAGAAATCATACTTTGAATGTGCTTGTAAGCATTTTAATTTTCCCTTCATGGATAACAACAAGATTAAAATTAAGACGGACGCACATAGGGAAGCCTTGCCCTTTATATATAAATGCATATAATCATGTTGGCCAAGTACACTTTCCAGATATTTGAAGACAGCGATCATATTTGGGATAATAAGAAACAATCTGCTTCTCCCTCCTCACTCCCATACCCCAGATAAACACATAACCATCCTGATGCCCAGTTTGATTTGAGAATTATGAAAGCACATTTGTCAATGTTCCCCTTCACCAAAGTGGTCAGATTGTCAGCTCAGTTTTTCCATCATAGCACCAAAAACCATGGGGTAAAAAGGGAGTAATAGAATAAGAAAGCAGCTTTCTGAATTCCAGTAGGACCCTGCCTGCTCAATGTGTCACCAAGAGCTTTGTCCTGCATATGAAAAACTAGGGACAAGGGAAAAGCCACAGGTACATAAGTAGCATTAGCAAGTCATCTTGGCTAAATTGGACTTAGAGTTGGGATATATGTGGTCTTTTCTTTCTAATTCAATAACCTAAACTGTAATATTGCTATCATCTTTGTTTTTAAAAATAGCCACCTGGCCAGATGCGGTGGCTCACGTCTGTAATCCCAGCACTTTGGGAGGCTGAGGCGGGCAGATCACCTGAGGTGAGGAGTTCAAGACCAGCCTGGCCAACATGGTGAAACCATGTCTCTACTAAAAATACAAAAATTAGCTGGGCATGGTGGCAGGTGCCTGTAATCACAGCTACTCAGGAGGCTGAGGCAGGAGAGTCACTTGAATCCAGGAGGCGGAAGTTGTAGTGAGCCGAGATCGTGCCATTGCACTCCAGCCTGGGGAACAAGAGTGAGACTTCGTCTCAAAAAATTAATAAATAAATAAAAATAAAAATAAATAAATAATAAAAAAAAGCAGTAACTTTTTCATTTTTAAAACTGTGGTGTTCATGAATCAACTTGTGCCAAGGAACTCATCTGGTCCCCAAAGTCTCACCTGTAATCACTATTGTCAGTGGTTCTTATTTACACACTTCTAAAGTAAGAAACTTTAGTGTATATGATTTACCTACTGCTCTTTATAAGGCCTCATTCCAAGAGATTTAGATATGACTGAAAAGGGCCCAAATATTTGCATTTTCAAATAAAAAACCTGAGGCGATTTCTGATACAGCTGGTTAACTTTGAGAAACACTGACAGAATAGGTTAATGGATGATTACTCTAATTTAAAATAAACACAGCGACTCAAATTACTCTTTTAAAATGTGCTAAACACAGCACAACATTTGAGAAAACACACAAACAGATATAATTACTCACTGAACACATATCGCAACCTGGCACACACTCACTTCTCTAGACTTATATATAATGTAACTTATAGCCATAGTTTCAGCTCTACTGCTTGGGAGATTGTGATCAGCAGGCCTTCCAGGGCATCCAAGCCTCAGCTTTAGCATAGGTTAGGAGAAAGCTGCATTGCATACCCTTTCAAAACCTTTGAAGTGTGTGCCAGTGTCACAATCTCAAATTTAAGTCTAATCGCTAGATGCGACTGTAGTGTATGACGAGACTTCCCTTACAACCCTCTCCCTCATCCCTTCGAATCAGTCATCTAATTCTAGTTATTTCAACTGAAGAAATCTTTCCAAATCCAGGTTTATTTTCTTCGTTTTCATTGTCAAGTACTCAGTTCAGGATCTCATTAAGCCTGAATACCAATCCCTTACTGAAAGACTTCTACTTATAAATCAAAACTCCTGAGCACAGTGTACATGGAGCTTTTCAGTTGGGTTCAGACTTTCTCTCTAGTGTCACATCATCTTTTACCACTCCCTACCCTTGCCTTCTCCCAACGCCAAGCCAACACAAAATTACAAATACATAAGTAATTCTGATGACTTTGTACCTCTGCACATGACATTTTGCTTGGAACTGATTTTCCCTTATTTGTCTGCTTGTAAAATTATCCATCCTCCATTGTTTGAGATCTTTCTTAATGTCCTCAGGCAGAATTCTCCATGCTTCCCTCGTTTCCCCAAGCGCTCTGTTCATCCCTATATTATAAACAGCATTTTACATAGTACTGTAATTGCCTGTTGCTTGACTGTCTCCACCATTAACAGGGATATAGTTCAGGCCTGCGAAACTTATTGTCAAAGATGCTTTGGAAAGAGTGCATTTAATTTGGAGTTCTACCAGCAGTCCACAAAAGTACCCATTTCGTTTCTTAACCCGTGCCAGTTTGGCAGGTGAAAAATGGTTTTATGTTATAGTTTTAATTTAATGCTAATTTCTTAATACAGTAGTCCCCCCATATCCTTGTCTTCACTTTCCATGGTTTCAAGTTACCAGTGGTGAACCACAGTCTGAAAACATTAAATAGAAAAGCTCAAAACAACTTAGAAGTTTTAAACTGCCCAACGTTGTAAACAGCGTGATGACATCTTGTGCCATCCCACTCTGTCCTGCCTGGGATGTGAGTCATCCCTTTGTCCAGCATATCCATGCTTGTTAGTCACTTACTAATGGTCTTCATTATCAGATTTTAAAAAATTGTATGTGTACGGTCCAGTACTATTCGTGATTCCAGGCATCCACTGGGGGTCTTGGACTACATATCCCTTGAGATAAAGGGGGACTACTGTAATCAGGCTGATCACTTTTTTTTACATTTAACAGCTATTTCCATAATAATGCCTGCATGCGCCTCATTAATTTTGTATGGGGATGAGGCAATCTTTTTTCTCAATGATTTATAAGAACTTTTCGTATGTGAAGATACTAACTCATCTTTCTCATATATTTTGGAAATACATGGTGTTTTTTAAATTTACAAGGCTTTACTTTTGGGGTAGTTGATCTTTGGCTTTGTTTTCTTTGCTTTTATTATTTGGAAGTTCTTCCCCAATTCAAGATCAGGTATATATTCACCTATGGATTTATTTTTGACACTTCAAATTGTATATAACTTCATTATTTTCCCAAGTAGACTGTTAATTCTTTAACATTTAGAAATGAGGAAGAGCAAAGATAAGATAATAATGACACAATAGCTACTTCCTCCTTTAAGTTTTAACTGTGCTGCCATGTTTTACACTTCTTAAAACTCGGTAAGTGAGCATTTGTTACATTTTTGCTTTATACTTTTCTGCATGCATTAAATACTGCGTTAAAAAAAATCTTTAAAAGAAAAATAATTAAAGAGAAATACCCTCTAGCCAAACTGGTATATAATTTTTTTTTTTTTTTTTTTTTTTGTGTGACGGAGTCTCGCTCTGTTGCCTAGGTTGGAGTGCAGTGGTGCGATCTCGGCTTACTGCAACCTCCACCTCCTGGGTTCAAGCAATTCTCTGCCTCAGCCTCCCCAGTAGCTGGGATTACAGGCGCCTGACACCACGCCTGGCTAATTTTTGTATTTTTAGTAGAGATGGGGTTTCACCATCTTGGCCAGGCTTGTCTTGAACTCCTGACCTCAGGTGATCCACCTGCCTTGGCCTCCCAAAGTGCTGGGATTACAGGTGTGAGCCACCGCGCCCAGCCCAGACTGGTATATTTTTATCTTGCATTGAAACAAATTAGGACTCCCCAAATTGTCTTCATCAAAAATTAGCATTTTATTCACAAATTTCCTACTTTTCCAGTATGGCATTTTAATTTTAATTCAAAAGTACCAAGAAAACATTCCTGTAGAATAGCATTTCTATACATTATTTTTATGAACTGTCAATTAATTTCTAGTCTTATTTTATTTTTATTTTTTTATTTTTATTTTTTGAGACGGAGTCTCACTGTCGCCCAGGCTGGAGTGCAGTGGCGTGATCTCGGCTCACTACAAGCTCCGCCTCCCGGGTTCACGCCATTCTCCTGCCTCAGCCTCCCGAGTAGCTGGGACTACAAGTGCCTGCCACCACGCCCAGCTAATTTTTTGTATTTTTTAGTAGAGATGGGGTTTCACTGTGTTAGCCAGGATGGTCTCGATCTCCTGACCACGTGATCCACCTGCCTCGGCCTCCCAAAGTGCTAATTTTGTAGGGTGCATGTCTGTAATCCCAACTACCCAGAAGGCTGAGGCAGGAGAATTGCTTGAACCTGGAAGGTGGAGGGTTAGGGTGAACCGAGATCACGCCACTACACTCCAGCCTGGGTGACAGAGTGAGACGTCATGTCACAAAAAAAAAGAAAAAAGAAGAGAAAAAGATGTAATGATGTAATGGCAGATGACCACAAAGAAAGACACAGAGGAAAAGTTACCAAAAATGGTTAAGTGAACATTTATGGGTTCACTTTATATTTGATGTATCTAACAAAGCCAAACTTTGTTTTAAGAAGGATACCATGTCAAATTAGTTCAACTAAAGCTAGATTGACTAATGCTAAGACTAATATTAAACAAACTCAAATGAACAGCTAGATGTTAGATCACTGCTGAGACACACCAGCAATTCTGTGCCTCTGTTTTCTTGGATGACCCTTTACCATTTCCACCCATTTGTATACTGAATGGGCTTTAGTCCAGTAGAATGTTAAAAACCATCCAGCCTGAGGCTTGATTCCTCCCTGGAACCATGCTACTCAATGAGATTTACAATTTGCCTCTCTGATTGGTTCTTCTTCTAATACATCTTCCAAGGAAAAGGTCTTTAACTGTTTAGTGCTATTTATGATCTCTCACACTTTCAAATAATGTCTTTAGAGAACAAAATATCCTCAGTTCCTTCGCTTGCTACATAATACTTTCAAATGACATACTGCAACCTCTGTTATTCTCATCTATATACCATTCAATTTGTATAAGTGACTCTTAAAATGTGACATTCAAAATGGAATACTGGCCAGGCGTGGTGGCTCATGCCTGTAATCCTAGCACTTTGGGAGGCCGAGGTGGGAGGATTGCTTAAGGCCAGGCATTTGAGACCAGCCTGGGCAACATAGGGAGACCCCCATCTCTACAGAAAATAAAAACAAAAAAAAATTAGCCAGGTGTCATGGTGCATGTATGTGGTCCCACCTACTCTGGGAGGCTGAGGTGGGAGAATAATCAGTTGGGCCTGGGAGGTCAAGGCTGCAGTGAGTCATGATCGTGCCATTGCACTCCAGCCTGGGCAACAGAGTGAGACCCTGTCTCAATAATAATAATAATAATAATAAAATGCAGGTTGATTGATTCATGTAAGAGATACAGACACAATGCTAGGAGTACATGAAACAATGGAGACTCAAATGCCAAAAACAATGGAAATAATGTTGCAGATGTACAACAAAATCCAAATTATATTATAAATGTGACCACCTTTATGTTTAGAATTTCAAAGAATGTATTAAATGAATTTTTTCACAAAATATACACTACACATTTTACAGTCAATTTTGATATTAGTTTTATTTACATGCAGATATGAGGGAAAGAAATCCTTACTACTTACCGTTGCTATGACAAAATGTGTTTTTTAAAAAAATCAATGAAGAATGATTCACAGGGCAAGGCCAGAAGTTTTTTAAAAAAAAAAAAAAAAGTAACAAAAATCAAAAGTAAATGTACTCTCAAATAGACCATAATGCTGATTTGGACTGGGAAAGGAAGGTATTTGTAAGTCAGTGTACATAAAAACAGCCTGTTACATAACTGGGAGCGTGCCTCATAAACTAATTCCATATATGTTATCGTATGTAGTGAAATCATTAATGTGTCAAATAGCACAAAAGAAAAAAATGTATCAAAAGGATATTTGGAGTTATTATAGTTCTAGATCTAGACAAACCCCTTCTGGAGTCTTAATCAAAAACAAATATAACAATACCTATTCTATTCCATAGGACTATTTTAAAGAGCAAATGAGATAATATATAAGAAGTTAAATGAGAGAAAAGAATACACAGAGAAGTACTTTGGAAACTGAAATCACTACACACTATAAGGTATTAAAATACCATTTAAGCATTAATAGTTCTACAATATTAATAATAGAAATTTAATTTTCAGATGTTTTACAGAAGGCACTTGAAATGGCCTTCAGTGTCTCTGAATTCTGAGTTTCTTTAGCTTTAGTCAATAATCATTAATTTTGTTTAGTTTTATCATACCTCACACAAAATATTCAACATTTTCACTGCTGAAACACCAATTCTGCCTTTGTCATTCTAAATTATTTCCTTGAGAGATTAGTTTCAGAAAGTTTCATCTAAGATGTTTGTGATTAGAATTTCTGACAATACAGCCAATGCTATCAATATTCATATACTGAAGGTCCTGTGTTAGGGAACCAAAAGGATACCTGAAATCAGATACCTGATCAAAGGATATGCTTTTTCCTTTAGCTAACCAAATTCTTGTGTTCATTTCATGTTCAATGGATAGCAATGTTTATAAATGCTGAAGTAGTTAGTAAGCCAAGAAATGGCTATTGTGAATCACGATATTTAACTAAAGGACTTTCACATAGCTATCCGAAAATGGCTCCATCAAAATGTTTTTGTGCATAATGATCATCCCTGACCTTACTCCATTTTCCTAACTCTACCTCAATTCCAAGGAATAACCACTTTACCCATTAGCTAATATTTGCATTTTTAAAGCTGGTCTATGTTGCTGTTAAAATCACACTCAAGTTACTGTTTTAAATTTATAGATTTGATTTAAAACTTAAGCTGATTTTAAACCTGCCTCCCAAGTCACCCAACATAATAAAAGCTTATAATATGAAACACAGTGTGTGCACTTGACAATGTGAGGTCTGTGTACAATGTTAATTCTATCTTTTAAGTTATTAAATTACTCAAGTGCTTATAAAAGCTGAAAATTATATTATTATACAGTAAGTCCTCACTGGACATCATCGACAGGTTCTTGGAAAGTATGACTTTAAGCTAAATGAAGTATAACAAAACCATTTTCTTCTCATCAAGGTTATAACAGAACAATTTTGAAGGAAACAACTTAATTCCAGGACCAGCCATTATTTTGCTTAAAGTTGTAAGTTCTAAGAACCTATGGACAATGTTAAGTGAGGATTTATTGTACAAATAAACATAACAAAAATCTTTAAAGATTTTTGGTTGAATTTACTGTATGTGTGTGATTTAGTAAGTAAGTTTATATTACTTTCATCTGAATCGATGAACATGACATGCACATTAAGACAGTTCCAACATTTGGTATTCCATAGTTAACTAAAATACAAAGCAAAGGAAAACTAATTAGGAAAATTTGTAGTTTGAACATAAATAGCAAAATATTTTAATAGACTTTTTTTTTTTCCTTACCACATTTTAGTTTATTACCTAGGTTTGTTTGGGGCAAGCTGTCGACTTGGCCGTCTAATAGACTGGTTTTGCTGTATCTTCATTGAAGTTCTAGGAGATGATCGGGCAAAAGGGTCTGGAGCTGGGGGCTTTTTAGGTATCTTTTTCACCAACCGACTAACCCACTTCTGCTGCTCTTCTGTAGAATTTGCTAGTAATAACAGATTCTTTGCCGTTGAAATATCATAATATACTATAAAGAAAAATTAGAAAAAAAAATTAATGTGCTTAAAATGATCTGAACATAACCAATATCGATGGAGCAAGTAATTTATCATTTACCTTTGCAAGGTGCTATAATCTCCTCCTTTTTGTCCATATGATCTTTATGACACTTAATATGGCAACGGCGGCACTCCAAAGCAGGAGGAGGCTTAAACATGTGCCACAGGGGCTTCATACAAGCCTCACAGTTGGTTGGGAAATGATAAAGAGTAGGAATAAACTCATGTCCCTTGTGGCAAATATAATTAGATTTTTCTCCAACTGGCTCCACTGGAAATTCTTGTTCCTTCTTACTTTCTCCTTCATTGGCATACAGAATCTATGAATGCCAAAAGAACAATAAGTGATTTCCAAACATGCTATTTTTTTATGTAGGAACAATTCTGATAGTGTAAGTAAAATAAAATTAGCCTAAATTATTCAAAGAGAAGAAAATGTATCTGAAGTACAAACTTAAGCTCTTGATTACGCAAACTTAATCAAGAGCTTATATAAGAAAAGTCATCAGACAGTCACTTTGGTTTGCATTTCAAAAGAACTGATCCTGTTCAAATGCTGCCTCCTTATTTTCTTTATAACACCCATGCTTTAGCAGCACTATCAGAATAGGTCAGCAAAAGGTAACTTCATAGGTGTTAGGAAGTTTTTCTGGGAGAGACTGTTCAAAATAATCACTTGAAGAAATGTGGCAATCACACTAATTGGTGTTTTGTAATACTTAACAGAAAACTGGGTAACAGCTATGAGCACAGCTTCATTTTAAAAGTCCTATATTTTGAGAGTTGAGAGAGAAAAGAAAGAGGAAAGGATGTGTATTAAACTCCAAATAAACATGACAAGCATCCAGAAAACAAGGAGCCAACTTCCACACAGTACACCAAGCACAACGACTCTTACATAGAAGGAAATCAGTAAGTCATTGTTGGTTTGACTAATTTTAAAATGGAAGTAGTAAAGGGAAGAATGTGGCTTCACTTTAAATCGGAGGTAAAAGGGCTACAAGGTACAAAATTTACCTCCATAACTGACTTTTCTAACTTTCTAGAGAGCTGAGATTAAACAAAAACAGAAAGGGAAAAATTCATGTTTAAAAAAAAGTCATAACCAACCTTAAACAAAAATATAGCAAAGACCAGAAACATGATACAAACACACCGCAAGCTTTAACAAATAAAATGGAGAAAGGAATGAAAACGTTCCCAAACAGAATTAAGCACAAAAGTCACAAAGCAACAAACCATCTTTAAATAGGACTGAAACATAAAGGTAACCTGAAGAGGGTCAAAGAATGAAGAGATTTAACATGTCATGTCACTTGAGAACTTCTAAATGTGAAAAAAACAAAACAAAGCCAACCAACCAAATATAAACAAAACTATGTTTACCTGGAATATCCTTGGAATTTCTTTAGCATCTGCTCTATACACATCTGTCTGTGTAACTGGTCGGACATGAAATAACTTGCTATAAAAAATTTTGAATAAAGGAATAAAATATCACCCAAGGATCAAATTATATATTAATTATTCTATACTTACATCAGACGTTAAACACTGACTACTTTGACCCATGTTAGGAACTCAGAATATTTTGTTCTATTAATTCTATAATTAATTAAGATTTTTAGAAACCTCTATGTCAGAAATTTTCTAATTAGTTTCAAAAAATAATGTATCAAAGGCCCATGAAATAAAGATGTTTTAACTAACCCTGTATCCCAGACTTTCATCTGTATGAAGCAAATCACAGGAAAATGTAACAATATTACAGTAGGAGCTATACTATGAGACTAATAAATTGCATTGTTAGTCTCTTATACTTTAAAAGATATAGTTTCTAAATATTCTAACAAAAACACTTACTCTATATCTAAAACCATGTAAGGATTGGATTGTTCTTTATCTTGTTCACTGTCATAGAAAAGAATCTTCTTACTGCTTACAATCACATACTGTTAAAACAGGGAGAAAAGAAATCAGTAATTCAAGTTTTTATATACCTTATTTATTGATTTTTTTGAAAATAAATTCTATATTAGCAATAAAAATCATAAAATACTAAGTAACTAAAAAGTATTTAATATATCTTTAGGACAGTCTTCCTTAAAATAACAATAAATTTTGTTTATATTAATAGATATTTTAAATAAGCAAACTGTGGGGAGAAGTAAAGTCAAATTTTTTTGGACTTAGCTTTGGGATCCAACATCATTAGTAACCTTCTCAAAAATAAACATAATAACATCAATAATCATAGTAACAGAGGAAAATAAATAAGTGGGTCTTTTTTACTATATTCACAGTTCTTTTCCCAACAAAACAGCAAAAGTATCAAAATCAACAATTTCCTAACAATAAAATCTGTCTTATTATTAACAAGGTATGAGGACAAAAATTTTTTACAAAGATAAATAAAATCATATCATTTCAAATCCTGAAGTATAAACAAGTTCTATGTGTCTAAAGGTACCAGTCATGTATATCCTACAACTACAAAAGCCAAATGACTAGAGTTAAAACAAAAACAAAAACAAAAGGCTCATATTCCAAAGTATCAATTACCTTTTTAACCCATCCAAATTTCTTAGTGTTGTTTCGTACAGGCAATGAAAGCCATCCTTCTAATCTTGATTCTACAAATAAGCACAACATGTGAGGCTAAAGATAACAATTCTCCTTAGATAACAAAGAACTTAATAAAATTTTAATATGAAATTTATAAAACAAATAAAATATATCCTTTAGAATTTATCACTATACATCATCTAGGATACAGTAATAGTACAGGATCAGTAGTAAAAAGTTATGCAATGCAAAACAAAATCCAGGTTATATCATATTGGAAACAGATAGTCTATACTTTTATAAAGTCAAATGTTCCATTGATTAAATTCATGCATTTATAAAATTCAGGAGAAAAGTTGCCAAAAAAAAAAAAAAGGCAGCAGCAGCAACTCTCTATTCTCACTGGTACACCTGCCTTAGACTCCTTTATTTTTCCTTTGGAAGAGGGCCACATTGTGCACATTTTCAAGGAGTAAATATTTTAAATAATTACGTGTTCAGAGAAAATGGACTTTTAGAATAACTATAATAAAATAAAATAATGTAAATTTTGTTTTATTTTATTTCTTTTTTTTGAGATGGAGTCTTGCTCTGTCGCCCAGGCTGGAATGTAGTGGCGTAATCTTGGCTCACTGCAGGCTGTGCATCCTGGGTTCCAGTGATTCTCCTAACTTGGCTTCCCAGGTAGCTGGGATTACAGGCACGCGCCAGCACGCCCAGCTATTTCTTGTATTTTTAGTAGCGATGGGGTTTCACCATGTTGGCCAGGCTAGTCTCGAACTCCTGACCTCAGGTGATCTGTCTGCCTCAGCCTCTCAAAGTGCTAGGATTATAGGCATGAGCCACCACACCTGACCAATTACGTACATTTTAGATAAAATTTGGTTAATAAGCAGCAAAATAATCAAAAGATTTCTAAATTCCAAAATATCAAAATCAGTAACATTGTAATTCAACTAAGGAATGTGTATGAATCCTCGGAATTTGTTTTAATGACATTTGATCAATGTCTTTTAATGAAATAAATATGTGAAATAGCATTTGGGGAAGTTATTCTAATAGTAAAAGTAGCTATCACTTATTTAACTTCTATTATGTATCAATCGTGCTGGATGCTTTACACAAATTCTCTTTAATCCTAAAAAAACCGCACAGAACAGGAATTATTTTCCTAATTTAGATGAGGAAACTGCAGTCTTGAAAGATCACACAGGGCTGCCTCTGACTCTGAATGACGGAACTCTCTGCTGTTTTCATTTAAACTGTAATCTCTTTCAGGGTAACGATCGGGCCAAATTCTTTCATGTTTCTTATGAAGGACATATGCCTAGGATAATGTCAGTAAGTACTCAGTAAAAACCTTAAGCATATCCTTTGAATCAGTCGAAGTACTTTTTCTGTACCACCACTCTTGTTATGAAACTTCAGGAAGAATTTCTTCTTGGTTGAAAATGGCTAAAACAAGCAGTGAAACCATGCGCTCTTAAGCAATATAATGTATTACTCCATTTCTCGCAAGTTGGCATCTATCAATTATAACAGCAATGCCATGAGAAAATACCTTAAAAACAAATTCTTTATTCATGCAGCAGTTTATTTTTAACTGAGTCTACAACAACATATTAGAGTTAGTGGTTATTAGTTAATGTTACATAAAAAATCTTCAAAAGGACTAAAATTAAGGGTAGTGGGAAAAACTCCAAAGATGAGAAGATTTTCAGGATATCACCTGTACCATTAGGTTCCGATGAAATGGGTAAGTAAGGCAAAGATTCTTCTTCTGAGTCAGAATCAGAGTCAAGGAGCGTGTGAGAACTGGAAGGCTTAGTGGCAATATTGAGAGAAGTAGAGGAACGCTGGTAGGTGAATGACATGGATTCCATAGTGTGTGACTGAGTGATATGAACTAAACACCCAACATAAAAGGAAGTAAGAATGCAGAAAGAAGAGAAAATGAAACGAAAGCTTAAAAATAGAGCTAATATAATAATTTAAAAACTAGACATGTGGAGTTTTTCTTTTGTATGTTTATGAAAAACTTTGTAAAAAAAATCAATAAATAAAATAAGTTTGAAATGTTACTTGAATCCTTACTCCAAGGAGTAGGTTTTCCCTTAAAGAAATTACAAACATTTTTCCTTCAGAGCAGTCAGTCGCAAGACTTAAAACAATCAACTGATTTATATTTAAGATAAATATTAGTGCTGAAAACAAATCCATACCTGGAAACCCATCATCTGCCTCAGCATCCCCTGGTCCACTGCCTATACTGGAACTATCCAGACCAATATGCAAGGCTTGGAGTTGTGACCGCAGCTGCTCAATGTCACTGTCTTTACTGTCCAATGTCATCTGCAGTTCAATTCGAATCTGGCTCTCTTCAGCTATTTGCTATAAGAAATTTAATTACAATAAGTTAATTGGATGCAACATAACTCAACATTTTGCTTCTTGGTTCAATAATAATTATTAAATAGAAATGGTCTATAACCAGTAAAACACAGACATGAAAATAATTCTACTTCTTAAAAAGAAGTCTTCAGTCTAGAGTCCAAAAAGTATTCTTACTGCCTGCATTTCATTCAGTTCTTTCTGATACTTGATCATCTGCTGGGTCAATTTCTCACGTTCAGATTTAAGCTCCATATGTAGCTTTCTATTCTCCTTCTCTTTTCTCCGCACATCTGTGTCATTACCACGCTTGACAGGTTCTTTTCGATTCATGATCTCAGCCAACTTATTCACAGCCTTAAAAAATGTAAAAATAAATATAATACATAAATAAAATAAATTACGTTTATGGTTTCTCAGTATCTCATCAAGAGCAACAAGTTATACAATCACAAATACTCTCCTTCCCTACATACAGGGCTACAAAGAAACACTTTCTATAATATTTAAATAATACACCTCCTTTACTACTCATCATCCTTCTCCATCCAATGAGCCATTAGATTTTTACTCGTGTTTTCTGAGAATTATAATTTAAATATTTATAGAATTGATCTGATGTTGCTTTCTACCATTTTGACTTTTTAGTTCTAGAGAGACTTTAATAGGCAGACCTTTCTTCTTTTATTCTGGAGGAAGAACATTTTGCAGTGACATCAAATTAATAAAATATTCTATGTGCAACAACAGTGAAGAGTATCTAGTACCCCACCTGTTCATGCAGTACATATGCAACTGTAGGAGTTGGCAGAGAGTGAACTAACTGACACTTTTCAGGTTGTCAGCAAATGGTCAATCCCAACAGTTCTTAAAAGTAGAAAAACACATTAAATTACAACAATAAATTGAAAGAGAATGTGATTCCAAAAGGAAATATTAAGAAAAATTTTAGTTGCTATAGAATTTAACAATATTAATCAAATCTAACTTCTCTCAACCTGGCAAAAATCAGGTAATTGTGACTTCACAAATATTGGTACATTCGATGACTACTGCTACCAATTTGTAATGCTAGAAGTAAAATGTAAAAGAGATAAACTGAGACAAAATTCAAAATCATATTTAGATTCTATTATACATACTTGAGTTTTGAGTGTTCTTTCTGTTAATAGCTGCTTCTCAAACTGTGCTTTAATAGCTGCTGCGCTTATTTCTTCATCTTTCAATCTTGACAGTTCTGAAACATGGAAAAAAGTTAAAATTACATTGGTAATTACAGCAGCTGATAAACATTAGGTATATTAAAAATAAACATTTTTTGTTAATACATACGCTCTTGAACATCTTTCAATTTGTTATTTAATTCTTCTTTCTCATTTGCAAGATTGGCAACATCACTAGTTAGTGTCCTATTAGTTTCCTCAAGCTAAGAAATGAAAGAGGAAAAAATAATCACATCCCAATTTACACAATTTATGTTATAAAATGATTCAAATGAGAAACATCCTAGAATATTGTTAAACCTCTTATTTTTCTTTTTTTTTTTTTTTTGAGACAGAGTCTTGCTCTGTCACCCAGGTGAGTCTTGCTCTGTCAACCAGGAGTGCAGTGGCGCAATCTCAGCTCACTGCAACCTCCGCCTCCTGGGTTCAAGTGATTCTCCTGCCTCAGCCTCCTTAGTAGCTGGGATTACAGGCATGCGCCACCACACCTGGCTAATTTTTATAGTTTTAGTAGAGATGGGGTTTCACTATGTTGGTCAGGCTGGTCTCAAACTCCTGGCCTCGAGTGATCGCCCGCCTAGGCCTCTCAAAGTGCTGGGATTACTTACAGGCATAAGCCAACACACCTGGCCTGAAGGAAGTTTTACTGTAAATTACGTGTTTTGCCTTTCCACCCATGACTGTATTTCATTATATACACATGAAACAATACACAGTGTGGCTTTATGTGATTTTCTTTTTTTTTTTTCTCTCTTTTTGGAGACAAGGTCTCAAGCTCTGTTGCCCAGGCTGGAGTGCAATGGCGTGCGATCACCACTCACTGTAGCCTCAGCCTCCAAGGCTCTAAGGATCCTCCCACCTCAGCCCCCATGAGTAGCTAGCTGGGACTATAGGCATGAACCACCACACCTGGATAAAAAAAATTTTTTTTTTTTTTTGGTAGAAACAGGGTCTCACTATGTTGCCTAGGCTGGTCTCAAACTCCTGGAGCTCAAGCAATACTCCCACCTTCAACTCCAAAAGTGCTGCAATTACAGGCATGAGCCACCATGCCAGGCTGCGATTTTCTATCTTACTGAATTTATCTTTCTGTAATTGTTTTCACTCAATAGCATATTAAGGCATTAAATTGCTGATACAAATGAAGATCTGATGTAATAGTTCCATCTTCTATTACATTTAATGCATGCATTCATTCATTCATGGACATTTGAGTTTTTGCTAAATATTTATGCTGCTATAAGCATTGTGCCTAAATTTCTATAGTGTATTTATCTTAATGTGGACTTTCTTCTGACTGCATTATGTGAATGCCTAAAATTTACTGGAAACTGTCATACTACTTACTGTACTATGCCATACTAAATTTATACTACCCATAGTGAATAAGAATGCCATTTTCTAGACATTCTTCAGACACTTGAAATTGTCAGCTACTGAATTTCTGCCAAAGTGATGGGTATGAAATGGTATTTCAAAGTTGTTTTACCTAGGCTTTTCCTGAACAATAGTGAGGTTAAGTACATGCTTATATATTTAGGTTTTCTCTTTCAGCTAAGTTTTCTTCCAAATTCTTTAATCTTATCTTACTGAATTGCAGACATTCTACATATACTCTAGATACAAATCCCTTGTTTAATAAATATATTACAAATATCTCCCTTCTGTCATTTGTTTATGCTGTCTTCTGTCATATGCAACTTTTAGATTCTGTTCTGATAGCTTAAAATTTTTATTTTTCATAGTCCTTAAGATAGCTAGAATTTACTTTTGTGTGTGATGTAGTGGGGATTTAATTTTATTCCTTTCCATATAAAAACACAGTTATTCTGAAACCATTTATGAAATGTGTCCTTTCCCAGTGATTTGTGTACTGCCACTCCCATCATATATACCAAGTTCCTGTATGTGCAGAAATCTTTCTGGCCTCCCTTTTCATTTCCACTGAACAGGATTGAATATCCCTGTTCTAATACCAGACTTTTTAATTACCGCAGCATTTCAATAGGTCTAGTTAATTGATAGGGTAAACCTAACTACTTGATATTTGACCTCTCTCTGAAATTTTTATTGCAATTTTTTCAACCTGCACGGAACTGTTTTCCTGGTAGTTTCAAGATTCTTCTGAACTAAGTTCTGTTTAAAAAGAAAAAAAAAAATGACCCTTTCACTTTAGACCTTTAACTTTGAATTCATTAACAGGTGAAGTCACTTTTAGTAAGCTCCTCTGACAACATTGAGAAGGTGGCAGTTAACTAGATTAAAAATCTTGTAGTCAGCATATATAATTTTTCATTTAGATCTGTGATACTTAGTATGTCTAAAGAAGGTTTAAGATATAGCAATTTAACTATAATCCAAAAAAGCACCAAGAATTTGACTTACAGAAGCAATTGTAGCATCTTTTTCCGTAAGTTCCTGTTTGTGTCTAGCCATCATCTCTTTGATCTCCAGCTCTTTCATGATCTTCTCTTTTTCCAAATCAGAATATTGTTCTTCAGCAATTGAACGAGCCAGTTGCTCAGAATCTGCTTTGGTCAAGGTGATCTCCAGTTGGGCAGCCAAAGAGTCCCTACATTTTAGCAATATATCATTTTAATGGTTCAGTTTTCACTATGAAGTGAAAGTTTTTGTCTAATTCACTTCATCAATAATTTTTTATTTGGTGATTACCAGGCATTGTTCTAGGAGCAAAGTATACAGCTATGAACAAAAAGAGACAAGGGTCTCATACTTACCGTTCATCCTGTAATTCCTGTTTCTTCTGCTGCAATTCTTTACCAAGTTTGGTCTTTTCTTCACATTCTTCTTTAAGCTCCCTAACTTGTGTTTTATAAAGGGTCTAAATAGCAAAATACAACAGAAATGCGTATCATCATCAGAAATATTACTTCTACATTCAAAAGCTATTCAGACAAAAAGGAGAATGAACACATACAAATATTTTCTTACTGCTAAGTCCCCGAGCAAATGAATAGTTTAATGAACTTTCCTATTTCTAGTCATCAATTAACTAATACAAGTTCAGGTAATAATTAAGAAGCATGATTTTCAACTGGATATCACAGTGATATTTCTCATTTAATAGCACAGATAGGTAAAATGAATAAGGAGGCAAGGAAAAACATTAACAATTTAGACAAAAAAATGTTATTGGCTTAAATCAATAAAACAGGAGTTTCTACTTCATATTTTTAAAACTGATCTCAAAAAAAGCACAACTATTAAAATGATAATTTTATTACAATTTTATTTCTTGCATTATGAAAATATTTTCTTCCTGAAAACAATGCTGTTAATCAGCTTCACCAGGTATGTTTTGTGCTTAGAATTATTTTTCTAGCAATGATAATAAATTTCTCTTAAACTATCTACATTCTTTTGCCCAGCTGCTCTTTTTATATGAGTTGTATGGTATAAATAAAATATCCCAACCAAAACTCTGTTTGCTATTTGCAAATTAATGTGTCTTGAACTTACTGAGAAATACTGTTCTGCTTCGAGCTGATCCTGGAGCTCTTTCATTTGCCCATCTGCATCCTGACGTTCTCTGTGAGGACAATGAATCAAAGGTTTAAATAACTTACACATATTTTAAACGAGCAGCTCTCAAAGTATGGTCTGGGGGAAGCCCTGGGAGTCTCTGAGGTTCTTCCACAGAACCCATAAGGTCAAATCATTTTCATAATACTGAGCACCATGGTTTTTTTTAAAACTCTCATTCCCTCGTTATATACCGTATGTACTTTTCCTGAGGCCACATGACTTGTAATTACATCATTCTGATGGCTAAAATAACGTGTTTGTGTGTTCCTGTGTTTTAAAGTTTTCTCAGTTTTAATTTCTAACACAATACAAATCATTAGATATAACAAACGTAAACAAAAACTCATTTGGAACCCTTGATGATAATAATAATAATAATTATTATTATTTTTGTTTTTGAGACGGAGTCTCACTCTGTCGCCCAGGCTGGAGTGCAGTGGTGCGATCTGGGCTCACTAAAAGTTCCGCCTCCCGGGTTCACGCCATTCGCCTGCCTCAGCCTCCCGAGTAGCTGGGACTACAGGCGCCTGCCACCACACCTGGCTAATTTTTGTATTTTTAGTAGAGACGGGGTTTCACCGTGTTAGCCAGGATGGTCTCGATCTCCTGACCTTGTGATCTGCCCACCTCAGCCTCCCAAAGTGCTGGGATTACAGGCGTGAGCCACTGCACCCGGCAGAACCCTTGATAATTTTTTTAAGAGTATAAAGGGGTTCTGAGACCAGTGTTATACTAAATCAACATTGAATCACACATTCACATACAGACACTGTGATCAGCCATTTATGCCAACAAGTAGAATCCAAAGAGCACCTCAAATCTGGTGATCTCAGTGGGGAGTGCAGAATGCCTGGGAGGGGGCTTCTGGGGAGGCGAGAAGTGCTGGCTTTAGATCTAAACATGGATGGTGGCTGCACAGATTTGTATACTTTGTAAAAATTCACTCAGCTCCACACTTAGTATTTGTGTACTTTTTCTGTATTATGTTAATCTTCAATAAAGGAATAAAATAATAAATAAAATAAAAGCAAGCCCAACAACCCATTTAAGAAGCTGGGTTGAAATGGTACATTAAATTCTGGCCTTATTTTAAAAACATAAAAATTATAGTTATCCGAAACCAAAACTAAGGAGGAATAAAGCAAGTTGGAGAACAATACAATTTGTATGATATAATTTAAAAACAAGCAAAAAATAGAATCAAATGTACAGAAAACTCAACCTCACATATATTTGTTCAGATATATAGATAAAGGCACAGAAAACAGTCTGGAAGGAGAAATAACAAATTGTTGATATGTTACCTCTGGAGAGAGGAAAATGTCTGCATTCATGAAGGAGAGCTTACGTACTGCTTTTTTTTTTAAATGTAGTCAAGTATTTTACAATGGGAAGCTATATGAACACCACTTGGGTATTTTTAAAAACTACAATGCAGGAAGACTCAGAGGGAGCACGTGATTTAACCCTAGTCTCTTCAGTTCGTATACTGCTTAGGAGGTTTATCCTCATTCCCATTTAACATAATTTGGTCACTTTGTTTACTCACTGGCTCTTAAACTTGTGGGTAAAAAGGGAAGTTATGACTCAATGTCACTTAACTGTGTCATTTCTGTATTTTATTGTTGATGAGTATACTGTAGAGAATTCATGATTCTTATTTCTCCATGAGTCAAAGATGTGAGAGATGCAATTTAACAAATATATGAAAGGTCAAGTTTTAAAACTGTCCGATCACTGTCAGCTAAGCCCACTTGTAGCAAACCACAGTATAATTTTAACATCAGGACCTTCTTCAAGAGCTGATATCTTTCATTTATATGTAACTTTTATAACCTAATATTTATTAGGTATTTAAGAAAAGTAATTTTCAGAAAGTATTATTTCAGAAAGAACCATGTAATTACATGATTACAAATGAGGAGTACAGAACAGAAGGAAGAAATTACAATGAGAAGTAGAAGTCTCCTCATTTGACACCTCTCCACCCCTACTAATCCTATTCGCCTAGAAGAAATAACTGTTTCATTTGTGTTTTATCTTTTGGTGGTTACCTCCACATCTCATAAGTTTTAGATATTATTTGCCCATTCCCTGTTGTCAGACTTGAATTTAGCTCTCTTGCCTTCCCCAACCTCTCCCCACCTCCCAATATAGTTGTATCACTCATCTAAGTGGTATAATGAACCCCCCATTTCCCTCTTATAGCAACCACAAACTATAATCTCCCCGGTTTACTAGATGAGAACTCTAACACTCCTATCCTGTCATTGTTTTTGAAATTTCATGAGAATATGTCTAGATATAGATCTTTTTTCATTTATATGCTGAGTCCCTTCAGTCTAAAGACATTTCTCCTTCAGCTAGGGGAAATTCTTCTCTATTATTTCTTTAATTTCCTCCTCTTGGTTTTTAGTTCTTGCTGGAATTCTTATTCGCTGGGTGCTAGATCTCCTAGAACAGTCCCTCTGGGCCTTACTTACGTCTTTCAAACCTTCCATGACATTTCTTCTTTTGTTCTACATTTTAGGAAATTTCTTTGACTTTGAACCCTTCCAACAAATTTATATTGGCAGTAATTATTCATCTTCAAGAGCTCGTTCCTATTCTGGCTGTTCCTTTTACATTGTGTCTGGTTCTCAATTAATGGAAGCAGTATCTCCTGAAATCTTTGATCAATACTAATTACCAGTAGCTTTTTACAGTGCTTTTGTTTTTCCAGAACTTTTAGCAGTTCTCTTCTACTCCTTGATATATGTTTCCTCCGGGGGCACTTTTCCTCTTTCATTATCATAATCTTCCTCTTTCAGATTGCAGGCTTTCCTCAAATGTTTAGTGATACTTGGTTATTTACTTGCAAAGGGGGTGGGAAAAACTTTAATCTCTATGTATGTAGGAGTTTTCTCACTGGCAAGCTTCAGTTTAAGATGAGAGGCTTTAAAAGCCAGCATTAAGCAAAGGGACCCCTAAATGCCAGAGTGAGAAAGGCTTTTCACCCCATATTAGCTGTTCTAATTACCCCAGAGGTTGTACCCAATTACTCTGTAGAGGAGAATGCTCTGATAAAAACCTTAGTGGTGGGAGGTGCCTGGCTGCAGACATATCTGCAAGGTTAATGGTAGAGTATGATCAGCAGATTAGTTCATTTAGTGTCACAACTTACTCCAGGCCTTATTTGCTCTGAATACTTCTTTTCCATCTATATCCCACTTCATGTATACCCCTGGCCTTATATATACTCCTTTCTTCTTTTGTTCTACTTCATCAGTCACAAGGCTTCCATCTAACTGCCATCTCATTCACTAGAGAACCTTCTTGCCCTCCAACCCATTCTCATTCTTATTTATTGTGGGTTTATATATTTTTTAATTCCTTTACTAGAGTTTTTCTGGAATCTTACAAGAAAGAAGAGATATACATGTTGGCCATTTTAAAAAGAAGCCAACATAGCACTTCATATGTAAATTCCCATTGCATGTATTTTTTTTTTTTTTTTACCTTCTATTCACTTATGTACCTGCCTTATCTTCCCCACTGAATAACTAATGATAAAATGCTAGTAAACTTCTCATGGGTAGGAAATGTATTTGGTTAATCTTTCTATCTTTCATAGTAACTACTACAATGCCTTACACCTAAGAGGGATGTAATCATTCATACAACATTTATTGAGGATGTAGTATATGTAAAACCTTAATCAAGGATTGGGGGCCGGGCACAGTGGCTCACACCTGTAATTCCAGTACTTTGGGAGGCAAAGCCAGGCAGATCACCTGAGGTCAGCAGTTCAAGACCACCCTGGCCAACATGGTGAAACCCTATCTCTACTAAAAATACAAAAATAAGCCGGGCATAGTGGTGGGCACCTGTATTCCCAGCTACTTGGGAGGCTGAGGCAGGAGAATTTCTTGAACCCAGGAAGGGAAGGTTGCAGTGAGCTGAGACCACACTATTGCACTCCAACTTGTGCAACAAGAGTGAAACTCCATCTCCAAAAAAAAAAAGGACTGGGGAGAACAAAATATAAATAAATGATTTTTGCCCTTCAATTTTAACCCTACAATGAACACTTCCTCTATAACCCTATTAGGTGGCTAAGATAGAAAACATGGGTGTCTTTGGTGGGGAGAGGTAAGGAAAAGAGGGACTAAGAAATAACAGAACGCCATTCACTTACAAAGAAAATAAGAGGCATATACACTAGGTATAAACAAAGCATTATTAGAAGTGGGAAGGAAACACAACCTAGATGATTAACTAGCTCTTACATCTGCATAAACACTATCGTTAGAATAAAAAGCTGGCCTGAAATAAGAGAGAAAAATAAAGCTAATATACAGAAAAAAAACCCACAAAAAACACAAAGACAAAGATGTCTGATTACTGTTCCAATTTCTAGTTCCAATTTTAAAAGTTTAAATCTCATGAAGTTGAAGGTCTAGGCTTACCCTGGCAATAAATAGATCAGCTCAGCAAAAAGAACAAAGTCTACTTGAATATTTTAAGCATCTTTTCTTAGATAGCATCAGTCTTACTGACCTGTCACAGGTATGCATAAAGCAGACAATTATAATGAGGATACATTAGTAGTAGCTGTAGTAGTTGTAACAGTAACAGATCTAGCAGTAATAGTCCCTAACACTTATCATATGATGGATGCTTTAAATAAACCATTGCTATCCTTTACAAGATCCCTAACAAGGAAGCTATTACTGCTCCCTTTCACAAGTGTGATAAAAGGCTTAGAGAAATTAAATCATTTGCCCGATGTTGGTTAGTTGGTAAGTAACAGAACCAATATTCACAACTCAGTCTGTCTGGATCCAAAGACTTTTTTCTTTCCACTCTATCACACTGTCTTTCATCAAACAACCGGGATCCAATATGACCTTTGGTCATGATTAGGAAGAAGTAATTCTCCTACTAATAGAATAAATGGGACAAATTTTAATAGTATATTTACTATATATTTTATCTTTTTTAGAGTTGAGTTCTTGTTATGCTGTCCAGGATGGCATGTAGTGGCTATTCGCAGGCATGATCACAGTGCAAAGCAATCTCACTTCACCTCAAGTGATTCTCCTGCCTCAGCTCCCCAAGTAGCTGGAACTACAGACGTGCACAATCGTGCCTATAATATTTTTAAAGTATTTTAACAATATGTTCTCCATTTTATAAGTAAATCAAGTAGACACTAGAGTACATCCTATGACATGATTAAAAATTTACATGCTGTTTATTTAACAGTCAAACATTTCCAAGTCTAAGAAACTAAGGAAACAAACAGGCACACGGACAATAAGCTTGAGAAAGAGCCCTGAGGAGGAATCTAAAAGCATGGTATGAAAATCCCAGATATTTTCTTCTGCCTCATCACCAACACTTCCTCTATCATCACATTGTAATTAGGTAGCAGCAGTAAAAACTGTTGGGGAAACGAATATAATCTCGAAGGACAACAGTGACACTCAACACATTACCTGTACAGAAATAAATAGAAAACATGGTCTAGAAAGTAAAATGCTCAAAAGAAAATCCACAGATACACCAAAATTAACTTATACATGGATAATTATGCATATTAAAACATCTCAATCAATTAACTTACTTTCGAAGTTCAGCATTTTGTTTTTCCAAGTTCATTTTCATTTCCATGAGATGGTTATTTTCTTGCTTTAACTGCTTTTCTGACATTTTTAGTGTGTTAACCTGTTGTGTTTGCATCTTCAGGTCATTTTGTGTAAGGCAGCGCTTCTGAGTTTCTTGCTCTATTTTTAATGTCAGGTTTCTAACCTAAGAAATAAATTGTGTACTTGGTATATAAGTAAATTATTTCCATTTTTCTAATCAATGAAGTTGGTATAAAATATGGTGATGTAAAACAGATTTTTTTACCCTTAGGTAGCTAATTCATTTCATACTAAAATTTTTTTTGTATTTCTAATAATATTATAATTGTATTTTTTAAATAAAATATAATAAGGTAAATATAACTTTAAAAATGTTTAAATTATGATTCCTTTAGTATATCATCAAAATTTAGTTAAACCAACAGGTTGCAGACTATTATAAGAAAAACTTTAAAATTATGAAACCATCACTAGACCTTCATGAATAAACCTATTAATTCATTAGTTTATTATTAATCATTAGTACACTTAATACTTACATCCTCATTTAGCACATCTTTCTGTTTAAGGAGCTCATTTATTTTCTGCTGTGACTGTTTGAGGTCACAGTCTAATAGAGAACATCTTTTCTCAGCTTCTAGCAATAGGTTCTCCACTTTCTGTTTTAAAGTTCTTTCCTCCAAGAGCTTCTTCTCCATTTCTAGTATAATAAAAATGGACACAATCATAAATTTACAAATAAAAGAAGCATATCATAAATTTGTAAGTAAAAGCACATTAAATGACACCATACTAATAAAAATTATAATAAATGATGCTGCCTTATATTCTATTAATTTTCTTTTTTTCTTTTCTTTTTTTTTTTTTTGAGACAGAGTCTCACTCTGTTGCCCAGGCCGGAGTGCAGTGACGCAATCTCAGCTCTTTGTAACCTCCTGGATTCAAGCAATTCTCGTGCCTCGGCCTCCAGACATAACTCGGATTACAGGCGTGTGCCACCACACCCAGCTAAGTTTTGTATTTTTAGTAGAGATGGGGTTTTGCCATGTTGGCCAGGCTGGTCTCAAACTCCTGGCCTCATGCAATCCACCCGCCTCGGCCACCCAAAGTGCTGGAATTACAGGCATGAGCCACTGCACCTGGCCTTAATTTTCAATTTAATATTTTCACTTTCATACTTGAAAATTAGGAGTTTCATTCACAGGGTGTAAAAATGTATCACACTCTGCAATATTACATCTATTCTAATGGAAGCAAGATAGTTCTACCTTTATTTATATTCTACAAGATGCTTACATCTTTAAACAAAGGTTTCTTATATTCTACTGCTTACTGCTATTCTATGTCTCTCAGTGTTACTATTTTTACCTTAAAACAATCCAGGTAGATTCTATGATCTCCATAGGACTTTCCATGTTAACACATTATTATGCAGGTGTTGAAAAATATGTTTTAGGGAGGTGGTAAAGGACAAGACTCTGGAACCAAACTTTCTGAGCTTAAACCCTGGGTCTAACACTGTTTGACTGGGCAAGTAATTCACCTCTCTGGACCTGTTTCCTTATCTCCAGAATAGGGATAACAGCACCTAGGGAGGTTGTGAAGATTTAATACATGTGTACCACTTAAATGCTGCCTGGCATATGGCAAGCACTTGGTAAGTGCTTATTATTTAAGCAGAATTTTTAATGACCAAGGAAACGCTCACAATGTCTTGTTTTTTAAAAAGCAAAACGGTATAGAAAGTGGAGAAAATTTACAAAATAGTATCCTAACTCATAGGATTATGAGTAATCTTTGCTTTTTTCTTTATACTTTCCTGTGTTTTCTAAATTATTTACAATAAATTTTTAATCTATTTTACTTATCAGAAGGCAAAGTTCCAAGTGATTTCAGTGTTAAATGTAAGTCATCACAGTTAAAGGATTATCTTGATATACTGGTTAGTACTTCAGTTCACATTCAATTAAGGCTCCTCTGCTTTTTCATAATTAATGCTCAACATCTAATTATCATCTATTATAAAGTTGTATTAGGTAAAAATTAAACCTATGAATATTTAGTGTTTAATGAATGGTCTTCAAAAGTGCAGAAAAATGAAACATTCCCCATGTAGTACTAATAATAGCATTTCTAAACACTTTACATGTTTTATTGCACTTGATTTTCACAACAACGTAACAATACTGTAATTGTCCCTTCACAGGAAACAAGACACAGAAAGTTTAAATAACTAGACAAGGTCACATAGCTAGTAATTATTTGGTGAGCCATGTTCTTAATCCAAGGAGCCAATGACATGCAACAGAAGGACCAAAGGCTTTAGCCTCAGATTTGAAACCATCTATAATATGTAACAGTTTTGTGTACTCATGTGTAAAATATGGAAGTCATCATGTATCTTACATTAGCGTTTTAATAGTTTGAAAAAAATGGTAGTTAATACTGAATTGGTTCATTTTTATCAATTCAGAGAATAATCACTAAACAAATGTCCTCATTTAACAAAAAAAACAATCACCATAATGTAGGCATTGAGAATAGAAAGAGGCATTACTGAGATAATGAAAATAGTCCTTTTTTTTTTTTTGAGATGGGGTCTTGCTCTGCTACTGAGGCTCAAGTGCAGTGATGCAATCATGGCTCACTGCAGCCTTGAACTCCTGGGCTCAAGCAATGTTCCTGCATCATTGCAGGAATACTGAGAGTCCTACTCCCAAGTAGCTCTGACTATAGGCGCACGCGACTACATCCAGCTAATTTTTCTATTTTTTGTAGAGATAGGGTCTTGCTATGTTGCCCATGCCGGTCTCAAACTCCTGGGCTCAAGAGATCCTCCCACCCTGGCCTCCCAAAGTGCTAGGATTACAGATGTGAGCCACCATGCCTAGCCTGATATATTCTTTATCTTGTTTTGAACAGTAGTTATGTGAGCATATCACGAAATGTCAAAAATGTTTACATTTTATTATTGCATGTAAATTATACCTCAATGAAAATAATTGAACTCTGTCTTCTAGGCCACAGACAAGGAAATATGGCCCAGTAACTTTCTCCCTTACAATTAGATTTTTGTAAATAAAGTACTCATTTCATTTCTTATCATCCTGATTTAGTGCCTTAAACTACACTGATTTTTACTAAGAAAATCTACCATTTTAATTACATGCAATAATTAAAAGGCTATTTTTTCTAAGTTAGTTACTCATGTAATGCTTCAATATGAAAATAAATTTCTGTTCAAGAGTTTTAAGCCTTTCACAAGAATAGCTTAAAGTACTGATTTTCTCTGGAATTTCAGAGTCATTATAAACAGTCAGTTTGGAAAAGAAAAAATTATCCTAAGACAATTCCAGGATAAAGTCTAGTTTATGGGAAGGTTAACTTTGTTATCTATTAGTATTATATGGCTTCGACCAAATCTGGCTAGTATCTTCATCATGTTAGAGATCAAAATACTCAGTGAACTTATATTCTAGTTAGACCAGCTATTACTTTTAAATTCTTACCTTGCATAAACTGGCAAGAATTTTATAATACAAAACTCTTGTATTACAAGAATTACCTGTATCAATAGTAACAGGTATACAGCGTGTGAAGTTCAGATATTCCTTCTTACTACTGATACACGTATACCGAGTGGTACAGATATTACCAGGTATATAATATTGAGAAATATTAATTTATCTCTGATCTAAAAATCTGATCATGTAATTTTGTGTTTGGGTCTTACTATCTTAGAAATGATTACTGTAATGATACAAAGGAAAAATAATAGAATATCTATGTAAAGCTTCCCTAATAGTTTTTTTCCCTCCAATTCCCAATATTTGACAATGAAATATAAAAAAAAATGTTTCAAAACCAAAAAGCTAACACAGAATCAATTCTTAGGAAGACGCTGCTGGAAAACCCTCTTTAAAAAATGCATACCTTTCATGGCTTCTGATTTGGCTTCTTCGATGGACTCATAGATCTTATTTTTATCTGCTAGTCGTGCCTTTGTGGCCTTATGTTCAGCTTCTTCTTGTTCTAGGCTCTGCTGTATAACTTTTAGTTGGTATGTCATATCTATTTCCATGTTGCTTTTTTCCTATTAAATATTTAAAATGCAGCTATCAACAAAAAAGAGACTAGCTCACAATTTCAAAAGCTTTCTAATTTTTTTTTTTTTTTGAGACAGAGTCTTGCTCTGTTACCCAGGCTGAAGTGCAGTGGTTTGATTATGGCTCATTGCAGCCTCAACCTCCCCAGGCTCAAGCAATCCTCCCACCTTGGCCTCCAAAGTAGCTGGGACTATAGAAGTTTGTCACCACTCCTGGCTAATTTATTTTATTTTATTTTTAATGTAGAGACAAGGTCTCATTAAACACTGCCTACACTGATCTTGAACTCCTGGGCTCAAGTGATCCTCCCGACTCAGCCTCCCACAGTGCTGAGATTATAGGTGTGGGCCATGGTGCTCAACCTTAACTTGTTTTTTAACAGGCTTAACTAGAATGTTCAGTATTTCCCCTCCCGTCTTCACTCAAACCTTTTAGAATAGTAATCTATATACTCTACTTCTCTACTTCCCACTGTACCCAACAGTCTACACCACCACTCTGCTGTTCTGAGATCTGTATCAAGCTCACTTAATCTCAACAAAAAGACCAATGCTATTCTCAATATCAAATTCTAAAGACCCTTTTCAGTCTTATTTGAACTCACTGCCCCCCTTAAAACTATCCCTTGGCATTGCCGACCTTGTACTTAGTTGGTTCTCTCCATTCTGCTTGCATCCTTTCTGTTGCTCCTGAAGCTTTCCCAGCTGTCCCTTAAATGTTGGTGATCTAAGCCCCAATACTCCTCCTATTTTCTACATAAACCCCAAAGGTTTTCTAATTCTTTGATTTTTATAGTTCATATCATAAATATGATAAAGGCTTTTTTCCAAATAAAGCCTTTCATACAAAAAATGATTTCTCAAACCACATAATCCACCAACAGAGTAATCTACTCTGTCCTAAAAAAGAAAAAAAAAAATCACTACTTCACACAGTCTTTTCCCAGATGGGCTATTCCACTCACATGATTTCAGCTACTTACATACCAATGACTCAAATATTTCTAACTTCTACTACTATAGCCTACTGCAGTGCAGACATGCTAATTTGGCTGTCCCATAGGTACCCTCAAACTTAAGAGGACTAAAGTGGGTTTATCACTGTCTCATGAGCTATTTTTCCTTTATTCTTTATTAACAGCATCACTATATATCTTGTCACAACCTACAAATCTGGGACTCATCTTTGACTGCTACTCATATGCCATATCTAATCAACTATTAAGTGCTGCCAAATATTCCTCTTCCAAATATTTCTGAGTCTTCCAATTTTTCCAACCTTTTAATGGCTGTACTAAGTCTCCCATTATTCCTTATCAGCATTACTGAAAAAGTCTACTGACCAGTCTCTCTACCTCTAGTCTTGTCCTCCTCAAATCTTTTCTCCACACAGTATACAGCGATCTATCTTTAATGTACCTCTAATAAGATCATCCAATTTAAAGCCCTTAAGTGGCTAGCCCATTACTACATTCAAAATTTCTTAATAGAGTATTCGCTATCTTGCATGATCTACCTCATGCCGAGCTCTGTAGCCTCATTCTGACCACTGAATTCCTCATGTCCTTACATAACAACCACATTGTGATCTTCAGGCCAATCTAACCTGATGCCTTTTTCTTTTTTAAGTTTCACTGGAACGTAGCCACATCCATTCCTTCATGAATCACAGCAGGGCTGAACAGTTGCAAGACCATATAACCCACAGAAGATAAAATATTTATTACCATGCCTTTAAACGATTAAAATTTGCTGACTCCCACTCTATACTCCAGAAAACAAACAATGCCTTTTTTATTTTCCATCTTCTATGTCTTTGCTCATGCTGTTCTCCCTAACTTAGAATGTGCCTTTGCCCTACGGACCTATCCTGCTGTCAGGTTAGGGATGCATCCCATACACCCAATACATATACCCTGTCCATAAGTCTTATCATTCTATTTGCCATACTGTCATTAGAATTATCTTTGTGCTTTATTATTACTTTTAAACTTAACTATTCAACTGTGACATTATTCAAGGCAAGGACTGCATCCTGATATTTCTACCACATATAACACACTGAATATTTAGCTGAGTAAATAAATAAGTGAATGAAAATAAAATGCTAACTGCATAGACTCTAGAAATCATCCCTTTCTTAGAGTATTTTAAAAGAAAAACTTCTAAATGCCAAAAGTCATGGTGACTTTATATATGGCATTTTTAAGACATGTTATGAGTCGAAATTTGAGTTTTCCTTGGGTCCTAGAGAGATCCTCATTATCTACACTCCAGGATGGGTCCCCTTACTTCATGAGCAACCAGCATGCTGAGGGCTGCTTGTACAGTGTTATGGTAAGCCTGCAGATACATCTCTTATCTACACATCAAGTCCAAATCAAAAGGAATCCATGAGCATGTGGAAATATTCCAGTTAGTGACTTCCCTTAGTTTAGAATAACTTTTCTAACCTGAAAGTCTACTGTCAATTTTCTTATGCAAAAATATAAAACATGTTTTACCTTTTCCAAATCAGTAAATCTCTCCTGAAGTTGTCTCTTCTCCAGTTCTACTTTCGCTAGTAAGATTTTGCCGTTCTTTAAATCTTCTTCTAGGCCACATATTCTACCTAAAAATTGCAACGTTTTTTTAAAACATTAAACCCACAAAGTATATACATTCAATTAGGAATAAAAAGTTTGCAAGCCACCTTCTATTTTGGAGCTGTTGTTTGTGAGCAGAAGTTTTATACTTGTTGGTATTGTGCTTTATAGTTAATTCAAATGGAATCCAATCTACTACCTGAAGAGTTTAATACTTAAAATCATACTATTTGAAATTAAATCTTTTGTTCCTAAAATTTTGTATCAGTGTATTTCTAATATTCTAACTTTACATAATAGTATATTCAGAAATGTCCAATCCAGCACACTATCCATCATCTAAAGTTATTTTTAAAATAAGAATCATCAAAATTAATTCAAGTGCAACCACGACTTCAATACCTTGTAAATCATTAATTATCTCTGATCCATGGGTTCGATCCCTCCTTTCAGATTCTAGAGCTGACTGAAGATTGATAAATTCCTTTTCAAGTTTTAACTTGGCAGTCTCCAGCAGGCAGTTTTTATCTTGTAGATCTCTATTGTTAGATTCCAGCTGCTGAATCTGTTTTGAACTTTCTGCCTGGGTTTTCCTTAACCGGGCTGCAGTATCAGACTCTGTTCGCAGTAAAGCATTGGTTTCATCCAGCTGTTATTCCATTCAAAACCAAACAACAACAAACAAACACACATGTATGTAATGAAAATAAGTCAATGTATTCCCCCATTAGAAACTATTTAAAATAAACAAAAACCTAAAAATATTTTCCAAATGATTTCTAAAATTAGAGGTAAAGGCCTTTTGCAACACTGTCAATTAAAACTAATGTTATCGCGTTAAAAATAAAACCCAGTATCTTTACTACAAATTAGATCCACCTACTTGTCTCTGGAGTTGATTCACTTTCTCAGTGGATATTTGAGAGTTTTGATTTCTTTTTTTCAAATCTTCAAGTTGATCTTTTAAGCTGTTAACTATGATAAAAAGCATTTCAGTGGCAAGCTTAGCATAACACACATACACACACTTAATTTTTTTCTTGATGAGTAATTAATATTCTACACCACAAACCATCATTTTCCAAATTTCGTTTTTTGTCTGCTTCATGATCAGCTTTCCTCTGATATTCTGCATTTTTGTGCTGAAGAAGCGCCTTTTCTCTTTCTAACTGTCTTAATGCTGATTCCACACTTTTCCGTAAGGTAATCTGAAATAATGCTTAAAGTTATTATCAAAAAAGTATGTATAAAAATGAAATCAAAACAAAAAATACTTGCTATTCCAAACAGATAAAAAAGATCTCAAAAAGGCTTTCACTGCTTTTTTGTTAAAACTGTAATAATGCTTTCTATGATTGTAAACTAGCACACTACTCTTAAATCATAAAGACCGTAAATGTTTTGTTTACTATTCAAACTTCCTGTAAATTTCCACAATTACTGAACTATCATTATTTAATACTTTGGCCTAAAATGTTATGAATAGCATTTTTTTCCCTTGAAATATTTACACATACTGAATTAACTCAAGTTTGCAAAAACATAACAGAATGAAGCCTATTTATAACATGATTTCCCTATAATTTAGTCCTATCCACCAATACTACAAGGTAGGTTTCAAGGCACGTATTACTATGGTACCAAGAGAGCTCCTTAGGTAAGTCAGACATCAAAGATTTTTACTAACAAAAATGTTAATAAAAAAGTGGGGCAACTTTACCTCCTCTTCTAGCTCCTTTGCTGTTTTTTCTAGGCGAGTATTAACAGATCTAAAGAATTTCAGAAAGAAACAGTAAATAACTTCTAATTTACAATAAAACATAGTCTATAAATTTAAAAGTAATTACATAATTACTTGGTAGCTCTCCTTTATTTTTCTGAGACGAAGTCTTGCTCTGTTGCCCAGACTGGAATGCAGTGGCGCAATCTTGGCTCACTACAATGCCTGCCTCCCACGTTCAAGCGACTGTCCTGCCTCAGCCTCCCAAGTAGCTCCCTTGGCCCCTCAAAGTGTTGGGATTACAGGCGTGAGTCACCGCACCCGGCCGTAGCTCTCCATTTCTTTCTTTCTTTTTTCTTTTTTTTTTTTTTGAGACAGAGTCTCGCTCTGTCGCCCAGGCTGGAGTGCAGTGGCGCAATCTCAGCTCACTGCAACCTCAGCCTCCCAGGTTCAAGCGACTGTCCCGCCTCAGCCTCCCAAGTAATTCCCTTGACCTCCCAAAGTGTTGGGATTACAGGTGTGAGCCACTGCACCAGGCCATAGCTCTCCGTTTCTGTTTTTTCTTTTTTTTTCTTTTGTTTCTTTGAGATGGAGTCTTACTCTGTCACCCAGGCTGGACTGCAGTGGCATGATCTCAGCTCACTGCAACCTCTGCCTCCCAGGTTCAAGCAATTCTCTGCCTTGGCCTCCCAGGTAGCTGGGATTACAGGCACCCGCCACCATGCCCAGCTAATTTTTGTATTTTTAGTAGAGACTGGGTTTCGCCATCTTGGCCAGGCTGGTCTTGAACTCCTGACCTCGTGATCCACCCACCTCGGCCTCCCAAAGTGCTGGGATTACAGGTGTGAGCCACCACACCTGGCCGCTCTTTTTTCAGTAAATGTTTAAACTTAAATTTTATAATGTAATATTTAATTATCTACAAAACATACTTGCACTTCTGTTCCAGTTCCTCTTTGGCTTGCATCTCATTGCTAAGATGTTCTTCTAATGTATACAGTTTTTTCTGAATCTGTCAAAAAACAAGAAACTGTAATTACGTATTTTGGTCATATTTAAAGATGAGAGGCTTAAAGAAAACAATGATAAGCTTATTTTGTCTTTCCACTAAACATAATGTCCTCTATAATGGTACAGTATTTGTACCTCCTTAATGTGACTTATATTGATAAAAGGAAAAACTCCCCCATCTCTTGCTTTCTATCAGAGTACACATGTATATATGAAACATACTTATGTAACCATGCATAAGAAGCTCTAACTTTGGCAGAATTGTTCTATGACACAAAGTTTCAAATTCATTATAAAGAATACCACCTCAGATATCTTCTGCTGCTTTTCTATGAATTATTTGCTTGAAAATATTGTCATTATTTGTGCTAGTCGGATAAAAATGAATACATCTAAAACAAATATTCAGAGTACTCAACTGAATATGCTCAAAGTAAAGAATATAAGCTCTTCTTTTATATCTTCCTATGTAGTGCTGGTCATATTACCGAGGAGTAATCAATAACTTTCGAAT
Organism: Homo sapiens; assembly: GCF_000001405.40. NCBI lineage: Eukaryota > Metazoa > Chordata > Mammalia > Primates > Hominidae > Homo > Homo sapiens. The sequence goes on from NC_000002.12 coordinate 11,217,683, forward strand.
AAATGATAGCTAATTAATTACAAGCCAGCTCCTCAGCAGCTTTCCCTAGCTATGTAAGTCTTTAAACAAGCAAAAATTACCGAAACTATTAAATAATCCATTTTTGGAACATTATTTACTTTTTAAAGGATTTAACTTTTTGAGCTCCTGTGGTGCCTTTGGTAAAATATCAGGCACTTTACAAATGTTGTCTTGTTAATATTAACAAAAATCCTACAAAGATGGTAGCATTGTATCTACTTGATACAGAAAATGAAATTCAAAAAAGGTAAATAATCAGGCCAAGATGGCATAGCTAATAAGTCGCAGTGGCAAAAATCAATGCAGGTCTATTAGACTCCCATGGCAATGTACTTTCCATTATTCCTTCTAGTGATCAGGTTCTCCATGGTTTTAAATACTGCATCTATCTTAAGCAAAACTCTGTTTTCCCTTAATAAAAATATACAGGCTAATGAACTAGTCAAGTTTAATTGCTTTTGGCTACTACTGCATTACAATAATTTGAGCACACCAGTTATTATATGCTAATCAGAAATTTTTGCTGCCAGTTATATGTCCTTGATAAATAAAAACAAAATTACATAATATATATTTTAAACAGATCCACAGAACAATAATAAAAGAGATACTTGGTAGAAGAAAGGTTGGGAACTTCTCTCTTGGGTAGATGTAGTACTCCAAATGCTAGGTAGGATATGACTATATTTAAACTTTGCGAGAGTGATGAGCTTTTCTCAGTTTTTCAATATATCTGACAACATCAACATACCTCTTGACTTTCCTATTTAAAACAAAACAGAAAACACATTAAAATACTAAAATGATGGTTATATTCTGTAAAATTCCTAAAACACAAACCATAACAAAATTATCCAACCTAATGCTTTAGCTTTCATAAGTTTGAAGAAAAAATGTTTAGCATCATCATTTATGTGTATGTGTATATCCATGTATGATTTAGCTTTGCATTCATTTACAAATTATAGAAGTCAATTTTCTAAATGTTATTATAGTTGTTTACAAACTTATTCTATCACTTTTGGCACTCAATTAAGCCTAAAGCCATGTAGAAGTCCTCTTTGTACTAGCCATCATGTCTTGAATAATGATACTATTCACATAAATCAATCATTGCAATGCTATGTTAAACTGTATTACACAAGGAATGCCATCTCATGATTTTAAAAGGAGCATCAAATTAGCTTTTTAAAAACATGGGGATTACTAAAATATTTAAACATGAAACTAAAATAACTACAGCAGTAAAAATGTATACGTACTTCATTTTTCCTTGATTGTATGGAATCAGTTTCTCTACAAGATGGAGAGTCACTTAATAATCTACATGGAAGGGGGGAGAAAATAAATTTTTTCATTTCATTTTAATCTATGTGCTGTTTTATTCAAGTTATTCTCAGACTTAAATATCAAACACAGATTTCTCTCTTTTCCCTTCAACACATTATTTACAAATGAAGCAATATTTTTCCCTCAAGACATTTGTATCATTTTCAATAATTTAAAATGCTAGGGCCAGGCGTGGTGGTTCACACCTATAATCCCAGCACTTTGGGAGGTCAAGGCGGGAAAGATCACCTGAGGTCAGGAGTTCGAGACCAGTGTGATCAACATGGTGAAACCTTATCTCTACAAAAAAAAAAAAAAAAAAAAAAAAATTAGCCGGGCATGGTGGTGGACACCTGTAGTACCAGCTACTCGGGAGGCTGAGGCATGAGAATTGCTGGAACCCGGGAGGTGGAGGTTGCAGTGAGCTGAGATCGCACCACTGCACTCTAGCCTGGGCGACGAAGTGAGACTCCATCTCAATCCATCCATCAATCAATCAATCAAATGCTAAACTTTTCTTGCCTTTCCCTCTTACGGGATAACTAGTCTTTAATTTTGTTTGCACCAGACTCACTAAATGAAACTATACTTCCCACCTCTTCATCTTATTATCTCATTTTTCTTTCTTTTTTTAATCTGTCACCCAGGCTGGAGTATAGCGGTACAATCATAGCTCCCTGCAGCCTCGAACTCCTGGGCTTCTCAAATATCTTTAATGCCTCATTCAACTATTGAACAGCTTTCAGTGGCTTCCCAATGCCAGGCGGTCAAAAGCCCCTTAGCAGAGCACACAACAATCATCTGTTGATTATTCTTCCCCAAAACTCACTTTTTTTTTTTTTTTTTTTAAGACATGGTCTCATTCTGTCGCCCAGGCTGGAACAGCTCATTCCAACCTTGAACTCCTGGCCTCAAGTGATCCTTTCATCTCAGCCTCTGAGTACCTGGGATTACAGGCGCAAACCACCACATCTGGCTTTTTTGTTGTTGTTGTTGTTGTTGAGATGGAGTTTCGCTCTTGTTGCCCAGGCTGGCGTGCAATGGCACGATCTCGTTTCAACCACAATCTCCACCTCCTGGGTTCAAGCGATTCTCCTGCCTCAACCTCCAGAGTAGCTGGGATTACAGGCATGTGCCACCATGCCCAGCTAATTTTGTATTTTTTAGTAGAGACGGGGTTTCTCTATGTCGGTCAGGCTGGTCTTGAACTCCCGACCTCAGGTGATCTGCCCACCTCAGCCTCCAAAGTGCTGGGATTACAGGCATGAGCCACCGTACCCGGCTTTTTTTTTCTTTTGTAAAGACAGGGTTCCACTTTGTTGCCTAGGCTGGTCTAGAACTCCTGGGCTCAAGCTATCCTCCCATCTCAGCCTCCCAAAGTGCTAGGATTACATGTGTGAATCACCACACCTGGCCTCAACATATTTTCTAATCTTACATCCAATACTCACTTCAGTTAACCAATATTTATTGAATGATCTTGTGTCAGACTTTCTGCTAGATGCAGAGACTACAGGCAAGAAAACCACATAGTCTCATCGAGTCCTCCAAACTGTAATGACATAGTAGCACCTGCTCTATGTTTGAGTGCTACTGGACTCAATGCGAGTGCTCTGCTCCCAATGTATGCTCACATTCCAAACATTTGCTTCCACTATTCAACACCTCACAACTGTCCCCTAACCTCCCCACATTTCAGCCACTCAAAACCTTTTCTTGTTAGACTTGGCTAAAATGCCACCTCTTCCCAGAGGTCTGACCTATTTCTCCCTACTCCCACCCCAAAGAGATGACTTCTATTTTTCTTCTGAACCATCCCAGATTCTCTCAGCATCTTTCTTAAGGCAACTGTCACATTTTACCCTTCTTTATGACTATATAATTCTCTTATATCCTTCACGAGATGACAAGCTTCTTCAAAAATAGGTATTTGTTTTTACTGTATATCCCCAAAAGAATGTAGAATGGTGTCTTGCAATAACTTATAAATGAATAACATATAACATTCAGAAATAATAAAATAAAATTAAGAATTCTTCTGATGATAGTCCTTTTGGAAAAAACAAATTAATACTTTATCTCCTATAATTGAGTCTCAAAATAACACATCATCTTATAGCTAGATTCTAAAAACAGTAAAATTTAACAAATAATAAACCACATACAAATTTTCTCTATAGTAGGTAAATCCGATGAAAGGCAGCTGATTTCCAACAAAAGCTTTAGGAATTGGGAAGGTTTCTACATCTCCTTTGTCATCTTCAATGTCATCGAAATTGCTGCTGTCTATGTCACTGCTGAGTTCAGGTACTACAGGAGCTGCCGCTATTAAAAGAAAAGAAATAAATTATTTCATTCACAACCAAAATATATAAACCATCCTATTTTATTATGATGTATTATTTATTATTTAATAACACTATATAAATTTGTAGCAGCGCATTTGCCATTTTATCGATTCACAGAATTAAAATTTTGTAATTTATTGCTATATTAGATCACTTTTAAATATAGATTAAACAAGGAAAGCAACATATTATTCTAGTTGTTAAAAATTACAAGCAGCAATAATTTGCACAGAATTTAGAGACCTCCATTTTCTACAATCTCGAAACAGAAATATTTCTTACCCTTAAAATGAATCAATGTCATATATACATAGTAAAAATAAGTTACTATGCTTACAGCAATATTTAGCAGAGTATGGTCTCCATAAATAATTGTTGATTTATCAAGTCAAACGCATTTAAATTAAAGGATTGCATTCCCTTGATTCTGAAAATTATTGAGATCTACAAAGCTTAACTTGGCAAATTAAGAAATGTGTAATGTTTATTGTAAAAGTGTTGAGAAATATTGCTAATAGTTTGCAAAGATATTGAGGAATATTGTTATAAATATTGCCACAGAACAAATTTGAAATGAAATTTCTCAATTTAAAAATGAGTTAGCATTAAGTGTTATCAAATATGCTTGTTATTTCAAAAAAGGAATCAACTTATGAGTTTCAGAATGTGATGGAATGAAAATATTTAGGTTTATTGACTTACTTTCTCTTATGTTATCCCAATGCCACTGATCATTCTTAAAGAAAGGATGCTGTCTGATTTCTTCCACCCCATTTCTCCCAAGTCGTACCTCCCTAAACAATGCAGTTAAAGATTGTATTATTTAAAAATTATAAAATAAAAAGATTAACTCTATGTCAACAGTTTAACCAAAATAAAGATCTCAAGTAAATTTGAGATATTTGTATTAAAAGCTTCAGCTTAAATGTTTCTCAAAAATAAGCAATCCCAAGTTACAGTATGTGATCTCTTTAGACAGATTTAAAAAACTGTAATGCACAATAAATGTCATGAAAAGTAAAATGTTTCTGTCTATAGTTTGCATCAAATGAAAGTACGTTAAGACTATCAAGTAAAAAAATTCACCTGCATGTGCCACGACTGAATGACAATAACTTCAGGATATAAACAGACATAGGTCTAACTTTCGGCAGAGAAGAGTTATTCAAAACTTCCCTAATAGAAATATTATTTTAAAAATCTCTCCCTTTCCTAAAAAGAATGCATATATTATGTTTGAAGCTATCCATATTTATTCTGGTAAAGTATATCTCTACATGTATATTAAACTTATCATTCTGCATATATGAAAAATGTTACAAAGAATTTCATTCTTTGACCCTCTGAGTCTTCAATGAAGACTGTATGGAAATAGAGAGCATCTGTGTTATACAAGGCCCTGGAGCTATGTTTAACATAAATAGGAAAACTGTAGACCTTAAGGGGAAGTGCTCCTAGCCATATTTACGGCATTAACTCGTTTTCAAAATATCAGTTTTCCACCTATAATCATTCCTTAGATTGCACACCCCTGCCCCATGACTACTAATTCAAAACTTTCATGAATAACACTCCTTTCATTAACATAAAACAGGTGTACCCTGTTGTACAATTTATCATCCAGCACAAATTATGGCCATCCCTACCAATCCTGCTCAGTGCCCACATCAAACATCATACAGGCTGTGTTCTTCTTCCACCCTATCCTCTTAGAAAGAGGCGTCTCTCCTTCTTTTCAAAGATAACATCTCCTCATCTCCAGGTCTTAATATATAAATCGTCATTTCCATTTTACTTTGAGTTTATCAGCACCAACTGCTCGTCAACCATGTAATTGACAGGTATTAAAGTTTTATTCTACAAATGACTGACAAATAAAAATAATTATCCTCTTTGATGAAAAAAAGAAAAAACATTTTACAATGTTCAGTTTGACGAGAAGAAAACAATTTTGTTAATGGAAATACATACTGCTGTAACTTCTCTGGGGATCAATTTTGTAACATCACTTAAGTTTAAAATGTGTATCCCAGAATTCCACCTTTAAGATTTTATCCTATAAAAAGTATGCAGAGATGAATGTGTGAGGATAGTCACTGCAGTAATGCTTGTAACAAATTAATAAGCAATAAGATGTGCTAAGGAATCTTAGCATATTAAAGCTAGAAATGCCCTTAGTTTTGTAATTTGAGACCACTGTTTTATGGATGAGTAAAATTATTTCCCAAAAAAGTAAAAATAATTTCCCCAAGATCATAAAGCTGATGTGTAAGTTTGAACGAGGGTGTGAGCATCCTCTTGTATATGTTGGTCCTTTGACAGGATGACTCCTATCACAAATATAAAACGGGACATTAGAAAAAAATGGAATGGGGTGAACAAAGAAGAGAAATCAAATAGTTTTCTAGCTTATCTTTTGGGGGCAGGTTTTCACACCTTTGTTCATCTATTTTGTTTTTAAAAGTATGGAATTTCCAGGATAGTCTTGCTCATATTCAAATGCAAATTAAAAAGGGTTGGGAAGGAAGCACTCCCAAGTCTAACACAAATAGTTTTTAAGATTATAACCTGTTGAGTATTTATCTACACAAAATACTCTCAAAAGTTATATAAGAGTAATATGGAATAACCAGCTTGGAGGATAAAATGTGAACAACACGAAAGTTTTATTTCTTTCAAATCCATTGTTTTACCACGTTCTATTTTTTCCTTTTTAGACATGAGGGTTAAGGTTAGAGTTCGATTACAACTGGGCTGTACACACATAACAACAAGGTAGCCCAACACCAGGCTTAGCAGAAGGAAAAGGCTAACCCAGAATTAGATGCTACTTGGGTAATGAGAGGCAGACTGATTTCATATGTTAATAAGCTAGGCATGCTTTTATTTCTATAAATTTAACATAAAGGGCTTCTCTACAAAGAAATTCAATGTACATTACCTATCTGTTAAGAAAGCACAGATGAGATTCTTTGCATGTTTGGAAATTTCTGCATCTTCAGGGAAACACAGTGAATTCTTATGATCCATAATTTTGCTATATGTTCCTACAAGTGAATCCGCATAAAATGGAGTATCCCCTAAAATTTCAAGAAAGAAGATACTGAATGTAACAGAGAATGCAAAGGAAACACTTTTCACCTAGTACTTAAATATGTTAAGTTTAAATTTGTCACATGCAGGGAAGAACAAATATTCTACGGGCACAGAGTCCCAGTCAAAACAACAGACATATTGTTATATTCTAAATCAAAGAATATATTTAAAATTTAACACCACCAATGATCCCTCATCCCTTAAAAGCAAAATAAAATCAATGATAACTCCCGAATTTGTTGAGTTTTTTTTTTTTTTAATTTAAGAGAGGAAATGTTTTACTGAATAGTCCAAGAGAAAGAGTTCCTATGTGGGGTCAGATCAGTCAGGGTCCTTTAATGCTTGGGCTGGATCAGCATTTTGAAATCATTCTCTAGAGATATGTTATACAACACAGTTGCCACTAGCTATAGGTGGCAATTTAAAGTTAAAATGAATTAAATAAAATGAAAAACACAATTCCCTAGTTATACTAGCCACATTTTAAGTCATGTTGTAACCAATGGTCACCACACTGGACAGCACAGATTTAAATCATTTACATCATGATAGGCCAGACAGGGCTGCTGCAAGAGTTAAACCAGCTCTATTATTTTACATAAGAGGAAGTCAGGCCCAGAGAGACAGACTGTGACTAGCTTAAAATGACATATAGCTAGAGTTGAAAGAGGGAAGAAATGGTCTCCCCATGCAGTGTTCTTACTAATGACTGTAATAGATGCACTGAAGCAAGTATAAAGATGGAAAATGTTGAAGGCACCATTTTGGCCAGTACTCAGCTAAAGCCACAAGTGTTACAGGCTCTGCCAGTACACCTACACTACAAGTAACTTTAATGAAAACCTGACTTTCCCAAATCAGCCAATCCAAAACTTCAAAAAATGTCTTCAGGTAGTTATTTTTGTTTGTGTTCAAAGAAAGGTGGAGGGAAGTGATGAATTCAAGATTTTATTTTTTATTTTTTAATTTATTTTTTAACTTTTTAAACTTTCTTATGTTAAAAATTTTTTATTTATTTTAATTTTACTCTTTTATTATTACTTTTTTAGACACAGTATCTCATATGTTCCCCAGGCTGGCCTTGAGCTCCTGGGCTCAAGTGATCTTCCTGCCTCAGCCTCCTGAAGAGCTGAGCTAGCACCACCCAGCCTGGCAGTCGTGAGAATTTAAATGGCCTCTTCATCAAATAAGCCAAATTACTTCCTCTAAAGTACCTTATTTTGTAAATCCCTAGGAAAGCGTGTCTAGGCAAAAAAGAGAATATACTCTATTTTCAAAAGATTACAAGACACAACCTAGGCCAGAGATGGGAGAACGGACAGCTACATGGGACCATATGATGCGTACAAACAGACTCACTTTGAAAGGCCCAAAATAAAGTAGGTCATACTATGACATGAAACAAAGCATAACAAGATCAATGCTACATACACAAGACAGTCATCAAGAGAAAACAATTTATGCCACAAAAAAGTTCAAGAGTAATTATTATTTAAATTTGCAATTTACCGAAAATTTCTGATTTTTTAGCAATAACCATAGTCTTTTATCATACAGGTTTTACACTACCATTTCTTTTAGGCTCATCTTTTAGAAAATATATTCTCTAATTCTAAAAAGTATATTTTTAACTCTAATTAATTCCATATTATGTTATTAGCCTTGACATACTTGCCTTGGAAAGTGGATTTAACTACATTTTCAACCCTCATCCCCATGCCACGTCACTGGCTTCCTTAGCCAGAAGGTACTAGTATTTTTATGACCCCAGTACTTACAAATGGGAAACATTAGGAATGAAATCTATGATGTAAAGAAAGTTTTGAAATACTTCAGCCTTTCAAATTTTGATTTGGTCATAAAAAAGAAGAAATAACTAAATCTGTCTCTGAGTTTTCTAAAACTGAAATGTTATTACAAAATATATTTATCTTGATAATCAAATGGTAAACACTGTATTTATAATTTATTTCACGAGAATTACAAACAATATATATGCAAGAAGTAAATGGAAGGAATACAGTTGTTTACGAAATCAATTATGTAATTACATAAACTAAAGAGATTTTTACTTCTCTACTACTATTGGGACAAATATTAAGTCTTATATTTAAATATTATAACAAATATGATTGATCAAGAAAATCTTAGAGGGCTAGGTGTGGTGGTTCATGCCTAAAATCCCAGCACTTTGGGAGGCTGAGGTGGGAGTAACACTTGAGGTCAGGAGTTTGAAACTAGCCTGGGCAACATGATGAGACCACTCCCTACAAAAAATGAGAAAAATCAGCCGGGTTTAGTGGCATGTGCCTGTAATCCTAGCTACTCGGGAGGCAAAATGGGATGATCACTTGAGCCTAGAAGGTCAAGGCTGCAGTGAGCCACATTCATGCCACTGCACTCCAGCCTGGGCAACAGAGCGAGACCCTGCCTCAGAAAAAAAAAAAAAAAAAAAAAAGAAGGAAAATCTTAGAATGAAGGCCCACTGAAGCTGTAAACTTGCTTCTTGTTCTAATATTTTAATTCAAAAATGTCTGATATATTTTTAATTCTTTTTACATTCTACTTATTCTATTTAATCACCATGCCAGTATCAGGCTTGGTATTAATTTTCCAATTAACAGTCTGCCCTATCAGATACTACTAATTCAAAGTTTCCAGAAATCTAATTCTTCCCTACGACAAAGGCAATTAATTTCCTTATATTCTCAAATTCTTGACTGAAATAAAGTATTATAAGAAGCATTTTGAAAAAAGAAGTTAAAATATTTACTTACCCACTAGCATCTCATAAAGGAAAACACCTACAGACCACCAATCACATTCTCGCCCATAGAAACCATCACCCCCTTGTGATTTCAGAACCTCAGGTGATATATAATCCGGTGTTCCAACTGCTGTATCACAATGTACCATGCCTGTCTGCATGAACAGGAGAGATAAAGAAAAAACAGTTCAGTGTAAAAACACACACTTATAAATGCAATGAATCCATTTATTACTAGATATACAATGATTACATATTGCTAACCAACAGAACTTCACTGCTGACATGACTTCAGGATACAGAGAATAAATACACTGGAAAATGCATTAAAATGCCTAAATTATGGGAGATAGGAATAAACTGTGAACTCTAAAATACAGGAGGCTTCCTCAATGAAAGAAGAAAAAAGTTTGGTAAAATGGAGATTCCATGCAAATCAACAACTTTTCTTTTTCTTATTTCTTACACTACAGTTATGAGGTTAGTACAAAATGTGGTCTTAAGGACACTGACCCAGGAAAAAGAATCATTAGAGAAAGGAAGCTTTCATATTTCCAGAATAAACTGAAGTAATCAAGATAACAAAGGGCCCCAGTTTGGAGACTGAATAAAGAATTGGCTCTTGTATTACCAAGAAAAAAAATGAAGAAATAGATCAAATGTTTAAATTAAAAGATCTTAGAAGTGTGAAAGCTATACTTCCAAGCTATATATTTAGAAATATGCAGCTGTGGCATCAATATATTTGGCATGATGATTTTTAAAAACCACTTATCTGTGTTTAGTTTCAGCAGATAATAAAATAATCCCTCCCTGATGTCTTTTTGACAAGTAAAATAACCATTATAGGGGTGTGTGTGTCTGCATGCTGCAAAATTAAATGACTAGAGAAGTATGGTGCTAAATGGTATTTCTTTACCTCTAGCTCTGTCCAACTTGCAATGATTTGAGAGATTAAGTGCCCTTTATTTCCTTTACCTGCCCAGTAAAGAGTGTGTTGCCCACATTCCTCATAAGGAAGCTATACAAACTACCTAATATTGAGTATTATGGCTACCTTGAGAAAAGGAGGTTGAACACATTTTGTAAACCTAATTTATGTAACTTTATATAAAACTTGTTATAGAAAAGATCTTTTCATTCATTCTCAAATTGGCAGAACTAACTCAATGGCTTTATTTTCCCACATATATAGCAAATAGAGAATAAAAGCTATTTTAGTGTGAATAGAAATTTAAAAATAAATGTTATGGAAATAATTGAGCAAACCATGGGAGTAACACTTTGTGTGGATTATTACAAAGGACAAATTATGAACAAGACAGTGCCTGACTTCAAAAGGCAGGGTATACAATTAATTTTTATCATGGACTGTCCTATAGTCTAGACTTCTGTTGGGGGAAAAAATCAATAGAGGCTTATTAGGTTAAAGAAAATTTCCTTATTTCACATACATCCACAGAAATTAAGCTTTTAAAAAATTATATGAGACTTAGCTACTAAAACCAACTTACTGGAGACACACACACAGACAGACACAAACACACACATACAACCAAAGGAAAAATTACTTAGCATTCAAAGGTTCAGAGGAAGGAGAAGAAAGGGCAAGATAAGAAAGAATTGGCATAAAGTTAGGCTGTAAAGGACGGATAAGCTAGGGTTTAAAGGAGAGAGGATGGTATGACAGGTTAGATAGAAAAAAAGAGCATAAAGAAACAGGAACAACCTGGTATAAACTTGTTCAAGAAATGCAGTGAAATCCAAATCAACTAAATGTAAAGTTCTACACAATGAAGACTGGAAGGATAAGCTGCATATCAGTGTGAATAACCACTTGCAGAATAAATACTTGGGTAGGACTAAAGATTTTTATTGGTTATAAACTATTATATTCTATATAGTAATAGTAATTACTAATAGTAAACTATATTCACATACTAAACTATGTGAATAACACTCTGCTTTTGGAAAATTAATGTTCTAACCATAATTTTTGGATAGCATACTGAAGTTTTTAAAACAAACATTTGAAAATGATATTTAAAAATACTTAAAAAGTGTCTTATGTGGAAGCCCTCAAATTATATGAATATGAAATCTACATTTATAACAAGTCTCTAACCCTGTTTAAATGAACTGTGAGAAGGATAAGTAAAAAACTAAAGAGATTGGTTTACCAACAGTGGGTGGGTGGGCAAAGGATGGAAAGAAGGGAGTAATGGGAACAGGGTATGGGAATATGGAGCAAGTGACTCTTCTCTGAGCATACATTTTGCATGGCTCTATCTCCTAAAACCAGAGGAAACTTCACGTATCCAAAAAAAAAAATAAACATTAAAACCAATCAGGATGTGGGGGGAACTCTAAATGCAACACAAAAAAAAAAAACAAGAAATGAACTTGTTTTATAAACAAATAATATAACCACATTAGAGAAGGTAGAAAGAAACAAAATAAACTAAGTAACTATGGAAAATAACATCTTAACACAATACTGTAAGACTAATTAAAAACAGAAAGAAGTGTACAAAAATAATATATTTTGGTTAGCAAATCTGTTTGTCACAGGGATAAGGACTGACAATTCTGAAATAATTTTATGTGTATACTAGGGTTCAACTGGTAAGTAAATATATTGCAGATAATAAGAGCCAAGAGTTTTACTGTTCACGAAAGAAATTACAAAAAAGAAAGGAGGGAGACAAGAATAAACCCAGTGGTGCTGGACTTGAATCAGAGTTATCAGTATGAGCTCCTAATTTTTAATATGCTATATATACAGACATATTCAGAATTAAATATAAACATGTGTGCATGTGGTTTATGGTTTAGTACATTTAGTATATACAATATATACCCCCTAACTCTGTCAGCTGGCAGGGCCTAGAAGTAATGACAGTCCAGAAGCAATGAGCACATCTAGCACCCAATTATTGATTTATAAATACCATTCTTTAATAAAAAGAATCAGAGCTTCTTGGAGAAGTGATTCCAGAGGTGAGACAGAGAAAATATAAGACAAGTCTTGAACATTGTATAGTGTCAAAAAATAAGAAAATGCTCCAAAAGGGGGATATGTGGAAAGGACAAAGAAGTCAACCTAAGGAGCTTTCACAAGATGGCAAACTTTGGACTGAGTTTCAAAATATGAATAAGAATTTTCCAGGCAGATTTTTAGACAGCATATACGTAGGCCAAGAATCATGATATATCATAGTACAGAAAGAACTACATGTAACTCAAGACTTCTAAGCCATAAAGTACTGTCAAATGATAGAGAATAGGGTACAAAAGCAGGCAGGGGGTCGTATCAGAAGAAATTTCATGTGACAAGCTAAGGAGTTTGAACTTAATTCAGTAGATGACAGAAATCTACTGAAGGGTATTAAGCTGGAAAGCCAGATAATCAAGTATGCATTTTCAAAAGGTTTCTCAAATTATTTTATTTTAAATGTATCAGATTAAATGTGTATTTTCTAAATATATTTGATGTGTTATCATGGTCAAAAAATATCATAAATCGAGATAACTTACTGAAAACACAAAACTGGTCAATCAGAAATCTTGGAGTTGGTCTAAAAACAACTGAAATGCTTCCTATAAAGGTGGAAAAAAAACTGTAAATGGAATTTTTAATAACAGAATCACTGAATGCTTCTGTTTTAGGAAATTCTTCTCTTTTCAGTAAATTCAGTGTTTTCAGTAAATTCTCTGAATTTATGATATTTTGGGCCATAATACATCAAATACATTTAGCAAATACATATTTAATATGATACATTTAAAATAATCTGAGAAACCTTTTGAAAATGCATACCTTTTTTTAAAAAAATTACTTAAAAAGAAAAGCTACCAGTTAGCTTTTAAAAAATTATATCTTCTATTTAGTCAAATGGTATATGCTAGAATATTAATGGATAAAAATCGTCTTCAGGTAATTTTTTTTTTTCTTCAGGTAATTTTTTTTTTCTTTTTGAGACAGAGTCTCGCTTTGTCACCCAGGCTGGAGCACAGTGGCACGAACTTGGCTGACTGTAACCTCCGCCTCCTGGGTTCAAGCGATTCTCCTGCCTCAGTCACCTGAGTAGGTAGGTGGGACTATAGGCCCGCGCCATCATGCCCGGCTAATTCTTGTGTTTTTAGTAGAGATGGGGTTTCACCATACTAGCGAGGCTGGTCTCGAACTCCTGACCTCAGATGATCCACCCACCTCAGCCTCCCAAAGTGCTGGGGTTACAGGCATGAGCCATCGTGCCTGGCCTCTTCAGGTAATTTAAAATACTAACATATAAAGTGGTCTTAAAAGGAGGTAAAGGTTGCTATAAAATGCATGACACGCAAAGAGTACACCCAACATAGCAGTAGCTCTCAACTTTTACTGAGACACATCTACATATAAATATCTTACAATGTGACTCTCACTCACATTTAGATAAGTTTTTTTTTTCCTGAGAGAATAAGGGTGATGGCAACTGCATCCAGAAAGTTGTGTAATATACAATTTATCAATTATATAATTTAATGAGATACTATTACTCTTAATTCTGATAGTGACAAATCATTTTAGTCCTTGTAAGTTTATAGTTGTATTTTATTTTTGCTTTTATCCATGGCATAACATTTTATAGGAAGTCAGGATGGCTGAAAAATAATTTGAGCATATATGTCTATATTATAGATAAAGTATTGGCTAATTTTTCCTGTAAAGGGCCAGACTCTAAATATTTTGGCTTTGTGGGCCACACAGGGTCTCCGTCACATATTTTTCTTCTTTTTTTTAAACAAACTTTTAAAAATGTAAAAGTTATTTCTGGCATGTAAGCTGTATAAAACCAAGTCACAGTCCCTTCTGTAAGTGGATGAGAATAAAACTATGGACATTTCTTTTTTTTTTTCAGACAGGGTCTTGCTCTGTCGCCCAGGCTGGAGGGCTGTGGCCTGGCACGATCTCGGCTCACTGCAACTTCCACCCCCTGGGTTCAAGCAATTCTCATGCCTCAGCCACCCAAGGAGCTGGGATTACAGGCATGCACCATCACGCCTGGCTAATTTTTCTGTTTTTAGTAGAAACGGGGGTTCACCTTGTTTCCCAGGCTGGTCTCGAACTCCTGGCTTCAAGCAGTCTGCCCACCCTGGCCTCCCAAAGTGCTGGGATTACAGGTGTGAGCCACCACAGCTGGCCAAAACTATGGACATTTCTAATGGCTTTGGTATAGTAACAATAATCAAACAAAGGCACATGAAGTGTTGAGCCTTAAACTTGCAATAAGACTATTCATGTTAAAAACTAATAGAAAATTATAAATCCAATGTACTATAGTTTTTAATAAAAAACTCTTTTGTTCTTAAACATTGTATAATTATCCTTAGTATTGCTTGAGGAATGGAGATCTGGGGTAAAACAACATTTTAAAAGTTCAGTATTTGTTAAAGAACACCTTTGACTACATCAGAATGAAGGAGTTCTATTCAAACAAAGGAAGGCATAGATGGGTAACACAATGGAAGATGATATCAGCAATATCTATGGAATCACTATCTAGATTATATAAGCAATCCCTGTACATGAACAAGAAACCAATTTAAAAGAGTTAAAAGATATAAACAGGTAATTCACAAAACAGAAATGACTGACAAATATATGAAGAGAGGTTTGTCATCATTAGTTACAAGATTAACATAACTGGTCAGGCACAGTGCCTCACACCTGTAATCCCAGCATTTTAGGAGGCTGAGGCAGGAGGATCACTTGAGCCCAGGAGTTTGAGATCAGCCTAGGCAACATAGAGAGATACTGTCTCTATGAAATATTAAAAAATGAACCAGGCATGGTGGTGTACGCCTGTTGTCCCAGCTACTCAGGAGGCTAAGGAGGGAGGATCCCTTGAGCCCAGGGGTTTCGGGCTACAGTGAGCTATGATTACACCACTACACTCCAGCCTGGGCAATAGAGGAGACCGTGTCTACAATAACAACAAAAAAAGATTAATGTAATTTTTACAAATCTTATTTATTTTTTTCTTGGCAACCTTAGTCCAATAAGATGAACATAATTGTTTAAAGATACTACTGTATATCAACGGAACTGGTAACCCTTAGAGAACTGAATAGTAAGTGTTAGCAAGGATATGGGGAGACAAGATCTCTCATGTACTAGTAGTAAGTAGTTAGAAACATTCACAGCCATTCTGGAGATCGGGCAATTCTTTCTTTATGTACCCTCTGATGTAGTAGTTTCACTTCTATGTTTATATTTAGAGAACCCCCTGTAAGCATATACATGGGACATATATAAAGATGTTCAAGATAGTATTGTTGTTAGCAGGGATTTGGAGGTGACCTAGAAATCGAACATCCAAGGAATAATAAGGTAAATTGATTGATAGATACTATGGAATACTAAGCAGCAGAAAGAAGCAATGAACTAACTGACATCAGGGAGAGATATAAAAACAATGCTGAGTAACAACAGCAAACAAAATGACATCTATATCAAGATACTGTTTATACCAGCTAAGAACATATAGTACACTATACTAATAATCTGCAAAAACGTATGGTGAACATATACTAGCTATCTATTAGGGAGAGGAAAGACAGAATGAGACAGAAACTGAATGGAGGAAAATATAAAATAAAAGCAAGATGAGGCCTTCGTGTTGACTACTCATGACAATAAACTATGAACCAAGGAGTATAATTAACTCAACTGTCTGTATCTGAGTTTAAAAACAGTAAACCGTGCTCACTTAGGCAGCACATATACTAAAATTAGAATGATACAGACAAGATTAGCATGGCCGCTGCACAAGCATAACATGCAAATTCTTGAAGCAGTCCATATTTTTTAAATTTATTAAAAATAATAAATAAAAATAAATAAAAGTAAAAATAGTAAACAAAATTAGGCCATGTTTTACTTTGCCTTATAAAGAGACAATTTAAGTATTTGCTTACATGCTTATACAATTATTCTGTAGGTACCATATTCTATCCCGTTCCCCATATTCTTCTTCTCTACACCTTGCTCTCCTTAACCACCCTTATCTTCCCTAAAAATATGTGGTATGATTTATTTGTCTGTACCCTAGTGCCAAAAGTTTTTGGTTTAATGAAAATCGCAATACATTCATGGAAGTACAACACAAAAACATCTTCTCTTATGTATAGCAGACATAAGTTTAGCATTCTATTAGGAAATTATTTCATACTTCATTTTCATTAAAGATAATTTGCACTGTTAATCATTTCACACTATATTATACCAAATACCACAAGAGGGAGCTTTGGGTACAATAAAAAACTCCACCTATTAAACATTGATTAAGGGTTGCAGAATATAACAGACTCTATCAAAAAGACCAAAAATATATAGGGATATTAAGTTCTAGCTGGATAGATTAAGATAGACAAAAATGGCCCATAAAGTATAGCACAAATTCTGACTATGTGAGGAAATTATGGACATTATGACATTAAAGAATGATCAGTCAGGTCAGGATTATCAGAAGGAACCTTAAAGCCGAGGTAAAATCTGAGATGAGCTTAGAAGTTGGAATGCTGATGAAGGTAGAATGATCAATAAAAGTGAATGTCATACAGGTGGCATGAACAAGTTAAGAGGTAGAGAGAAAATTACCTTAACTCAAAATAAACATTTGACTAGGTAACTACCAAGAAATAAGATTGGCTTTATAAGCATACTGGAAAGTTATAAAAAACATACAAAAGATGAAATACAGTTTGCTGTCAATATATATTAACATTTATAAGTCGACTCCTAGGACCAACAGGGTAATACAAAGGAAACAGAACCGATCCCTCTCCATCAAGAATTACTTACTGCACACTTACAGAGAAAAGGGCAAGATATATAAATTTTACAACCAAAATAAATCAGTATCATAATTAGCTACGAGGTTAATGCCACTGAACCTATCAATCATAATATGAATTGATCAACAGGTAAAGCATCGGAACAGATGATGTTCCCAAATTTATTCTGTGTGGTTGATGCAGAGGGAGTGACGAGGAGGTTGTAACATAAATTTCTTTACTTACTTTTACCTCCTCTTAAAGAAAAAAATGCAGAAGTAACAATGGTGGTGAAAATACCTATTTACCTTAATTTAGATTTTGTGTCCTTCTTCACCTAAATTATACATATGAACCGGTTTTGATTGGTAGCAAATGCTTGTCAACAGTCTATGAGGAAGATAACTAAGCTAAGTTTTTATTTCTCTTGATAAGTACTCTACAGCTACATAAATGATTACAAAAGAAATGTTTTAAGTTGGTTAAGGAAATGTTTTAAGTTGGTTATATCTTGTTTGGGTGCTATACAGTTATGAAAACTAAATTTACCTTTGTTCAAAACTATGAAGACCTGACTTAAAGTATTTCATTTATTTCTGTCCCTCAAAACACTATCGTTTTAAATAATTTGCTTACTTACTTCATCCATCTTCATACACGTGCCAAAATCTGCTAATTTTAGATGTCCATGTTTATCCAAGAGCATGTTGTCAGGCTTCACATCTCTGTGTATTAAACCCATGGAGTGTATTGCATCCAGAGCAAGAACAACTTCAGCAGTGTAAAATTTGGCCCATTTTTCAGGCACATCATAATTACTCATAAGGTTTACAAGGTCTCCACCAGGCATGTACTCCATTACCATGTACAGATACCTATCATCTTGAAAGGCATAAAAAAGCTGGAAAACAAAAGGAAAAGGAAAAATTTTTAAAAACCCAAACCAAAAATCATAATCAGAACAAAAATTTAAAAAACTATTATTACTATTGAAAAAGGCAAACTATTTTATAACCAAAACTAAAATTTATGAGATCTTTTATTTTAGACTCAGGCGTATGTAATGGATAAACAGTATCAGACAAAATTTTTATATGGGTACCTTATTCAAGCATAAATGAATATTTCCCCTCATGGAGAACACAATACAAAAGAAACTATTTAAATAGAAACATTTAAGAAAGAAACAAACAGGAATAAGGAACATTAAAGGTGAAAGAATGACAGAAGAATTCACTATAATTTAAAAAAAACAGCTTTCTGAACAAACTACTGCACCTAACTCACACAGAAAAGAGCAGAGGAGGTAGGAGCAATTTAAAAAAATCTAGAGATACTAGATTCAACGGACACAAGAAGAGGGAATAAGCCCCATATCAATGGAAAGAATGAGTCACTGGTAGCCATATTTGGAAGACGCGTAACTCTTCTCTCCCCTTCCCCATCACCTTGTTCATGATAAACAAGAGACATTCAGTTTACTGAGACTATAGCAGTAGCATTGGGACCAGAGAAAGAAGATACCAGTCCAGGTTGCTACTGACCCCCCAAACAGACAGAGAAACCACAATGTCTGAAGAAAACCTATCTGTACATTCTACCAAACAGTATGTCACACCCCTCCCAGAAACAAGCAATGCAAACACAAGTCTTCCACAGACAAACAGGGAAAAGATAAAACTAAGAATCAATATTTGAGAAAAACCAACATCATGAAATAGAGAAAACAGCAATTTGAGAAACAAAAATAATACTCAAGGAAATGTTTAATAGGACAAACCGAAGACAGCTTTAAAAATGTAAAATCAACCAGGCGTGGTGGCTCACACCTGTAATGTCACCACTTTGGGAGGCCGAGGCAAGTGGATCACCTGAGGTCAGGAGTTCGAGACCAGCCTGGCCAACATGGTGAAACCCCGTCTCTACTAAAACTATAAAAAATTAGCCAGGCGTAGTGGCAGG